>NC_000002.12:4555454-4858484 GCF_000001405.40 Homo sapiens | reverse complement strand
GTGGGGTTGCTATAGGATAGTCTAGCTCATTTTTTTAAATCTGTCTGCTTAATGCTGCACCAGTTTCACATGGTGACATCCATTTAATTATCCTTACGTTGTATAATATCAAAACATGGAATGCTTACCATTTCCCATCCTCCAACCATTAATTTTCTTAAATATTTTTATTGATTTATTATCGAAGGTAGACTTCAAGACTTACTCAAGTTTCTAAAAATGCCCCTTAGCATTTTAAGTTTGATCGTGGTAAATACCTAGATTAATTTAGGGAGAATTACAGTATGAATTCTTCCCATTCATGAGGAGAATATATTTATGTATTGAGTATTTAGATGTCTGTTAATATCAATTTGAAGTTTTCTTCATATTGTACTTTCATATCTACATTTAGGGTCATTCTTAGACATGTTCCATATATGTTTTGCCGCTGATAATGAGGGTTTTTTCAATTACATTTTCTAAAAGTTAATTTTGACATTCAGGAAATCCATGAGTTTTGATAGTCGTTTTAACCCAGCCATCTTACTGAACTCTGGTAATAATTCTAATAGAATTGTAGTTGATTTTCCTCATCATTTTTGAAGTAGAATTTATTTCATCTTCAAATTATCCATCTATTTTCACTTGTGTATTGAGCTATGGTTACTTATCGACCCTGTTTATAGCACTGGGGGCAACTCGAGTAACAAAACAGAAAAAAAGTACTTGCCCTTTTGAAGTCAACGTTTCAGAGGGAGAATACTAGAACTGGCAAATAAGAAGTTAAAACAAGAAAGCAAATATCATCTAAGATGGATATAAAAATCATTGAGAAAGACATATTAGGAAAGTAATCAGGAGTACTAGAAATGGGGAGGACTTTTTTTCTTCTAATTAAAATTTTTGTTTCTCTCCTTTAAGAAACACATACCTTACCATATCAGCAGATGATGAGCAGCATTTTAAACTGGTAATATTTGTGTCTGTTTATTTTCTTGGTTTTGTGTTTAGAAGAGATGCTTGCAAGATTTTTATTGAAGAAACATGATTTTGGCTACTTATCTGAAGTAGATATCATTTGTCATGTAAGGGAAGTATTCTCTAGACTATAACTTTATTATTTTAACAAATAGTGCTTGCTCTACAAGTGACGCACTTTAGACTCAGATAAACAAATATGCTGAAAGTTAAAGAATGAAAAAAGATTACTATACAGTCATAAGAGACTTGGAGTGATTATGCTTATAGTAGATATAATAGACTTTAAAGCAACAAATCTGAGAATGTTTCTAGAGTTAAAGCGGGGTATTTAATAATAATAAAATGTACAGTCCATCATTAATACAAAACAATTACAAACATATATGCACCCAACAATAAAACTCCAAGATACATGAATCATAAACCAATGGAATTAGAGATAGACACATTGATTATCGTAATTGGAGACTTCAATATCCCACTTTTGATAATTGGATAAAACAATTAGGGAGAATATCAATAAGCATATAGAAGACTCAATTGCTATAAAACAACTACAACTAATAGACGTCTATACAATACTTCACCCAATGGCAGCAAAATACAAATTCTTCTCAAGTGTGCATAGAACATTTTTCAAGGTAAAACATTCTTCAGGCTATAAAATGAGCCCAGTAAGTTTAACTGTGCTGACATCACACAAGGTATACTCTCCAAATATAATCAAATTAAACTAGAAAACAATATAAGGCAATTTAAAAATTAACAATACACTGAAAAAAATGAATTGCTCAAAGAAGAAATCACAAGAGAAATTAGATTCACACATAAGTACATATCCAAGAGATATGACAATACACATCTAGATCTAACCTTGCACAGGACTGTTCACAGCAGCATTATTTTTATTTTTATTTATTTTTACAGAGACAGGATCTCACTTTGTTGCCCAGACTAGAGTGCAGTGGTGCCATCTCAGCTTTTTGTAACCTTCAACTCCTTAGCTCAGGAAATTCTATGGAATTCTCCTACCTCAGCATCCTGAGTAGCTAATAGTACAGGAGCACAGCACATGCCCAACTAATTAAAACATTTTAAAAAAGAGAAAACCTTTGTTTTTTAGAGATGGGATCTCACTATGTTGCCCAGGCTAATCTAGGACTCCTGGCTTCAAGTAATCCTCCCACTTCAGCCTCCCAAAGCACTGAGATTAGAGGTATGAGCCACCATGCCTGGCCTGAAGCATTATTTATAATGGTTAAAAAGCACAGACAACCCAAATGTACATCAAGTGAGAATGGATATATATGACTTATATCTATACTATGAAATGTCATTCAGCAGTAACAAATGAAGTGCACATCAATGCTGCAAGGTGAAAGAACATTGAAAACATACTGAATGAAAGAAGCTAGTCACAAAACTACCTATTACGTGACTCCATTTATATGAACATGTTCAGTGTATATGAATATGTAAAACAAAATGTAGATTAATGCTTGCCTAGGGCTGGGGGAGTCTGGAGGGATTGGGGAATGATTGCTAATGGTACAGGGTTTCCTTTATGAGAAATAAAATGTTCTAAAGTTTGATGCTGGTTTTGAGCTATATGGGGCATTTAGACATAAAGTAAAATAAAATATATGAGAATGATCATAGCAGAATTCTGTGACCATAATATGTAACACTGAATTGAATAATTTAAGACAGCAGTCCCCAACCTCTTTGGTTTTTTGGAAGCCAATTTTTCTATAGATTGGGGTAGGGGGATCATTTTGGGAAGATTCAAGCCCATGACATATATTGTGCACTTTATTTCTATTACTATTACATTGTAATATATAATAAAATAATTATTCAACTCATCATAATGCCGAGTCAGTGGGAGCCCTAAGCTAAGCTTGTTTTCCTGCAACTAGATGTTTCTAACTGGGGGTGATGGGAGACAGTGACAGATCATCAGGCATTAGATTTTCATAAGGAGCACATAACCTAGATCCCTTGCATGTGCAGTTCACAATAGGGTGTGTGCTTCTCTGAGAATCTAATGCTTCTGGTGATCTGACAGGAGCTCAGGCAGTAATGAGAGCCATGGGGAGCAGCTCTCTTGCAGATGAAGCTTCACTTGCTTGTCTGCCCTCACCTCCTGCTGTATGGCTGGGTTCCTAACAGGCCACGGACAGGTCTCTGTAAGAGGCACCTTCGTGGCTCGGGGGTTGCGAACCCCTGCTTTAAGAGGATAAGTTGTAGAATTAGTGAAGTATATCTTAATAAAATTGTTTTAAGAAAAATAATGACTGATGATTTTATCAATATGTTTTGGCACTTCTTTGACCTATTATTTGAATGATAAGGAGTGCTCTGTATTGGATAAGCTTAGATTTCTGGAATAAATCTTACTTGGTTTTGTTGTTTTAATCTATTCAGCACTTGCTGATTTCCTTAGGATATTGCATTCTTATCGATGTTAGAGTGTTCTATTATTTGTCATATTTTTATTATGGCTTATAAAACAATCTCAGGAGGCGTCCTATTTTCAATGTTCTGAGTATTTTTAGATAGAATAGGAATTATGTCTTCTATAATGTTTTATTTGTATTCATTCATAATTGTGTATGTACACACATATCTTTGAGGTATTTCTTTGGAAACTATTAAAGTAATTTCTATGCTCGTTGCCATATTTAATATTTAACAGTTTCTTGTGTCATATTCCATTAATTTAAATTTATATTAGAAGAACAATATTGAAGATTTGCTAACATTTACTTGTGTACACTATTGTCTTTAAATTACTTATTACCTGTGTATCTTAGGCTTTTTATATATATGCTTAATCAATTTCATTATGGTGTATTTATATTTTATTATTTTTTGCACATATAAAGATTTATGTATTTTATTATGAATACAAAATGGGCTTTGGGTTTGTCAGTTTTATTAATTTTCTGTCTTATAACTTATTAATTTCTCTCCATTATTTTTTGGAAATGTATTTGTATGTATCCCTAGTCTTTATTTACATGTGTTTAGTACTTGAATTGGCTGTAAATATATCCATTTTTGTTTTTTAATTTTAAAAAAATCTTCTTGAGGAATACTTCATATATAACAAAATGAATTAATTCTAAATGGAGCTTGTTAAATTAGTCAAAAGTTTACACCTGTTTAAGCACCACCGCATTTTGTATAATGAAATATTTCCATCACAAATGAAAGTTTCTTTTGTTTCCCTTCCTGGTAAATCTTTTGCTATCACATTCAGGCAATACATGAACTTCTTGCTGTCATTGTGGAGCAGATTTTGCAGATTTTCATATGAATTGAATTATATTGTAGGTATTATTTTGTATCAGACTATTTTTGTTCTTTCCATTCTGACAGTGCACTCAGAAAGTCTCTCTGGAACAAAACCAGGACAATGTTGAGATTCACTTTACATGTTCTCCTTTTTTCTGGGATCACAAACCTGTATTGCCTATTGTCCAATGTCAGAAAATAGTTGTGTCTTACATATTTCCAATTTTCTAATTCTTTGCTGGACAGAAGCAATCCTGAAACATCTTAAGCTTTCCTAGTCAGAAATAAGAGTTTTTTCATTTTTATTTTTCAGTGATAAAAGTTATGTATTTTCCTCTAGCAAAATTTGTATAATTAGTTGGTATTATTTATCATTATTCTTATTATTACAGTGAATATATGGATATAAATTTACATAGATAATAATTATTTATAACAAAAGAAAAATGACATTCATATGATAAAATATCAACAGTTTTAGATCATTGGCTACTATAGGTACCACTATAGTACAATTTATATATTATATAATTTGAAACAATTCATAAGTAAAAATTAAATAGTGAAATGAGGATACAAATTCAGATGACAATTTGTGATTAATACACATCTTCCTTTTCCAGGTTATTATTTTCTGTATCTCACATAATAGCTTTGGTGCCCAGGACAAGCTGTCATAGACAGAAAGAGGAACATTACAACATGTAGTCACCATTTGAGCGCAACTCTTGTAATAGACAGAAAGAGGAACATTACAACACGTAGGCACCGTTTGAGCGCAACTCTTGTAGAGTGGAAGGGTCAGACTGCAGAACAAGCTTAGGAACCTCAATTGTGCCATTGGCTCTGCAAGATGGATAAGTCACTTATCCTTCTTGGGACTCGTTGTATATCAATATGATGACCACGGTGAAAACATGTGGAACAAAATTACAAATGACGCACTTATAAACTGCTGCTGTTCTTATCACTAGAAAATGTATTTGGAGTATTAATGTTTGATGCAGGCTTATATTTGAGGCTTCAATCTTTAATCCTTTCCCCAAATTGCTTTTGTGCAATGACTTAAGTGTGATGTTGCAGCAAGAAATAGAAGCTACAAGAAACTGAGGTAGAAGGTGGCTTCTTTGCCATTTTCACATTACAAATCATTCTCTTATCCTCCTAGGGCAGGCCTTAGATGGTGTATTTGGCATTTACTCTAAATTAAGGCAAATAAAACCTCATTGTTTGAATCAGAGTTTTAAAATATATTTGGCAACATAAACAGGGAGACTGGGAAAGTCAAATTCCTTTGTGGATATTACAAATATGTTCACGTTTTAAGACCTATGTGTTAAGTTTTAAAAAGTGTATTTTTAAGAAACATACTTTCTAAAGTTTATACAAATATTTTCATATCCTCCACGCTGAGTCCAAAACCAAAGTATTCAATGTTCTCATTTAGACCAGGGTAAAAGGCTGGAATGCACTTTAACTTGAAGATCAGCCATAAAATTTCCTCACTAGGTAATTGTTATTTGCATATGATAGAGACCATTTTATTATCTAAAACCCAAATCTCGAAGTAACTTAATAATGAGGGAAAATATGATTTCACTCATTGAATTTTAGAGGTAGAAAAGCCCAGTATAAACCTTATTTGTAAATAAGGTTTAGCGTAGACATTTGTCTTCATTTAGCAGGTGATACACACCTGGTAATGGGATCCTGAGTGATATTTCCATCTGAATATTTTCTTGGTGAAACATCTACCCATCTTTTTCATTTTTTTGGCAGAATGATTAACTAATTTTGAAAGTTTTTGATACTCCCCTTAGATTCTTCATCAGATATGTATTTCTGCAGATATATTTTCATTCAGTATGACTTGCTTTTTTTTTATTTTCTTAATAGTGCCTTTCAAAGAGCAGTTTGTACATTTTAATTAAATACAGTGACTAGGCCTTTTGTGTTTCATGCTTTTGTGCCCTATATAAAAAATTATACTTAAGTCAAAGTTAATTTTTTTTATTTTTTTCTTGTAGTTTTATACTTTTATAGATGTTTATATTTAGACCTATGGCCTAGTTTGAGGTAAAGGTTATGCAGGATCTGAGATGCTGATAGCGGTTCATTCTTTTGCATGTGAATTATCAATTTTTGTGACACCAACATATTTCTCTACTGAATTACTTCAGAGCCTTTATCAAAACTCAATTGACCATATATGTATGGGTCCATTTCTGTATTATGTGATTATTTTCACTCCCATACAACAGTGTCTTGATTACTGTGACTTTATAATAAACCTTGAAATTAGGGAGGCTAAATTTTTTAAACTGTTTTTACTTTTAATTGCCACGCTTATTCTATGTTCTCTGAATTTCTATATAAATTTTAGAATAGGCTGTTCAATATCTATGATAGAGGTCACTGGATTTCATTTGAAATTGTATTGAATTAATCTATCAATATTAATTTGGGGAGAATTAACATTTTAACAACATTGGGTATTCCAATTCATAAACACATTTATTGTTTCTCCATTAAAAGAGAGATAGACAATATCTCTTTAAAAAATTCCTCTTATCAGTATTTTACAGTTTAGAGCTGCATATCCTGCCAGTGTTTTATTAGATTTATACCTTTCATTAGATTTATACCTAAGTATCTTATGATTTTGATAGTGCTGTATATGATGCGATTTTTAAAACTTTAGTTTTCAACTCTTTCTTGGCAGTATATAGAAATGCATTTGACGTTTGATATATTGATCTTGTAGCTTGAAAATTTGTGAAACACTTCTTCAGTCTAGCAGCTCTTATGTAAATTCTTTTGGATTTTCTATGCATGTAATCACATCATTTGCTAATAAATAAAGTTGATTTCCTTGTTTGTAATGTGCACATCATCCCAGTCCAAAGTGTTCTTGAATTGGCAAGGATCTCCAAGACAGTGTTAAGACCATGGGAAAACCTTGCACCTTGGCACTGAGAGCTGAGCTGCCCGTGTCCAGGGAAAGGCTCTGTGAAACTGTTAGATACTGGCTGTTGGGGTTTGAGTGTAGAACAGAGTCCAGTGGTTGAAGAGAGCACATTCCCTTCTGTTAGAAAATAGTGCTCTTCCCTCACTTGAAGATGTTGCAGATACCACTGCCCTACAAGACAATGTGTATCCACATCAATAGCCGGTCTCTCCTGCACTCCTGGCCAGCAGACCAATCACTGGGGAAAGGCAGGGCCTACCATGGAGGAAAGAGACCGTGCATCGTCAGGGCTGCAGGACCCAGCTGTGTTCCACCAGGGAGAACCTGAAAAGTACGGACAGGACTGCACATTGAAGATGCTGAATCACAGGGGTGCAAAATGAAGGTGGATAAGACATAATTTATCCATATGGGAGAATTCTACTAAGATAAACACAAGATGTAGCACTCTGTCAAGGCCCTCGGAAGATTATTCTAACGTTTTGCTACGATGGCTTTTGGAAGCTAGGCTAAAGAAGAACTCGTACGACATGAAGTTTCTATCATCAAATGGTACAAGAAGGAACCAAAAGGCTTAGGGAAGCACAAGACAACCACAAGAATGAACATATTATAAAAGGTCAGAAAACTGCCTCCAGCAGACGTGCTGCACAGCTCTGTCCTCTATGAACCAGCTGTGCTCTGCTGGCTCCTGCCTCCTCCGGCTGCCTTGACTTCTGATCCCTAGCACCTCACATCATGAGTTCTGTGTACCCTTCGGCTCACTGTACCATGACCAGATACCCATCCCCAGGCAAAAAACTTGGCAAGCTTGGATTCACTGCATGAGTTTCTTTGCTCGCAGGGATTGGAGTTTGGCCCTGTCTGCTTTCCATTGTCTGAATAGAGTTGCCTCACGTGTTTTGCCCACTTTTGTGGGGCTGACAGTTGGAGGGCTCATGCATTAAGGTTTACTCTATGTTATGCTGGAGCAGAGCTATGTCACTTTTCCTCTAAATGTTGAATACGACACGGTGCTGTTCTGGTAACAAAGTAAGACAGCTGATATGGTTTGGCTCTGTGTCCCCAACTAAATCTCATGTTGAATTGTAATCCTCATGTGTCAGGGGAGGGACCTTGTGGGAAGTAATTGGATAATGGGGGCAGATTTCACCCTTGCTGTTCTCGTGATAGTGAGAGAGTTCTCATGAGACACGATGGTTTAAAAGTTTGGCACTTCCCCTTTCACTCTCCCTCTCTCCTGCCGCCACGTAAGTCATGCCTCACTACACCTTTGCCTTCCACCATGATTGTAAGTTTCCTGAGGCCTCCCCAGCAATGTGGAATTGCAAGTCAGTTAAACCTCTTTTCTTTGTAAATTACCCACTCTCAGGTAGTTCCTTATAGCAGTGTGAAAATGGACTAATACAGCAGCTCAGGCTTGATAGTAGATTAGTGAATATTTAAGAATATTAGTGTTTTTCAATTCAGCAGTAGGTGATATATTTGTAAATGTCTTTAAAATACATTCCAAAGTAATTGTGAATGTCAAGGGAATACTGTGCCAGGAGCCAGGAGAGCTCCAAATCAGCTGGTGCTAGCTTTGGTATAACAATCATGTGGGCAGTTATTTTGCATTTTTAATATTTTGTTCCCAGATGTGTAGTATAAAGTAGCAGAACTGGAAATTAGTGACCATGGAATAGTAAAGAGGGAAAGACATTCATTTATCATTTATTTCATGCTCTACAATTGGTTGATACAGAAACTTGGATCCAGAGCCATTCTTAGGCTCTTTACAGAGTAAGAAAGAGTCTGACTCCACTTTTGACGTTTCATCACTGAGAGTGGTCAAGCTCCACCCCTTGCCCTTCCTCTCTTGCCCCATATCTGGCCAAGTCCATAAAATAGCCCATGTGTTCCCCCACTTGACACCTGTGGGTGATTTCAAACCATGCAAACCCTGCCCCTGCAAAAGAACCTTAACCCCACTCCGTAAGCACAACACAAATCAAAGCCCCTTGGCTGTCCTCTACTCAACCCACTTCAGATCAGGTTGGGAGTGTGCCCTGCTCTCTCCAGAAAACCCCAGCACATAAGTTTGTTCCTTCTCACTCACTGTGTGGGTAGCATCAGTCTTAACTTCTGAACCAGCTTTGGGTGGGGACTTGACCCCATTATCTGGGAGGAACTGCAAGATACCCATCTCCAATTCTAAGACTACAAAATTTTATAAATGAAACATTTTACAATGAAAAATACAGACCAAAACCCCAAAACACACTAACAAACAGGGTTTTATGAAGCTCTTAAAGTTCTACTCTAATGATATAAGCCTCACTAATTGCTCAGTATTATCTTCATAGAAAATTGTCAATAATTACCATGTACGTCATTTTACTCAAGTCATTACAACATTTACCTAGAATAGTCTACAAAGTATCAGACTTTCCATTTTAATAATATTTTATAATATATGTCAGTCAATATTTATGGCAACTTCTGTATACCTGCCACTTAAACCTCCTAATATGAAAAACCTAAGCACATTCTTCAAGGTAAATCCTAATGACCATTTGGCCATCCTCCATATCAACTGCCATGCATTGAGAGAGAGTGATACGTAAGAGTGCCTTGTCATTTATCCATAATAGACCCAAAATGCTTGTTGAATATTATACAATTATACATTACCTCTAGACTACCAATGAAAATGTTTTCTCTTTATGGAATTGACTTTATCTTTTGCTTATAGAATAAAATATTTTTAAAATATATTTTTCAAACTAGTACCCTTTATTAAATTGGTAGAGATTAAGAGCAATTTGTACTCATTCTTGCACAGTAGGGGAAAAAACTTCCTTATAAACAACCTAAGGTAAAGACAGGTGTAAATTGGTGCAATCTTATTACCATGCTACACAACTTCAGGGCTCCATTCACCAGGCACTTCTGCACAGAAGGTCACTCAGCAGCAGTCATAGTGAGGTTTTATGAGCATCCCTGTCAACAGTTCAAGACTCTGTGCCAAGGAAACAACTGGGAAATACACAAAGTTATATGTAGAAATCCCTTCAGTATAGCAATGTTCATCCTCGTAATAAGCTAAAGTCAGTAAAATTTCCTTGGGTAGGGGGTGAGTTAAGTATGTAATGGTGCATGTCTCTAGTGGAATATGAGGCTACAACTCAAACTCAGAAAATCAATCTGCCTTTAAGATGAACATTATCCCATGGTGCATACGTACCTCATTTTCTTTAACCAATCCACTGTTGAGAGTCCACAGCCTTATAAAATAATGAAATTATTATATATTTTGCAGCAATATGGGTGCAGATAGAGGCCATAATGCCATAATCCTAAGGGAATTAATGCAGAAACAGAAAATCAAATACTGCATGTTCTCATTTGTAAGTGGGAGCTAAACATTGGTTACACATGGACATAAAGATGGGAACAACAGACAATGGGGACTCCTAGAGGAGTAAGAATGGAAGGGGGAGTGTGGGTAGAAAAACCACTCATTGGGTACTATGCTTAGTGCCTGGGTAATAGGATCCATACCCTAAACCCCAGCATCACGCAATACACCCATGAAATAAACCTGCACATGCATCCTCTGTACCTAAAGTAAAAGTTGAAATTATTTTTATAAAGATGGACATTATTTCATCTGTACTAGTTTAAAAAGTCAAATTATAAAAGAGTACTTATTTTATTCTCCTTTAAATTGTTTGAAAAAGTTATGAAACATTTTTTTATATCACCATGTCAATAGCACCTCCTTGCTGGAAGAATTATATCTCATTTGCATTATTTTGAAACCTGTCTCCTTTTCATAATATTTCATTGCAAATTTTCTACCTTTAAACTTAAAAAAAATCACTTAGATTTTAGGGAAAAAACATTACCCCAAACCTGGTTTTTGGTGTGGATTATAATATATCCTGGTACCAAAAGAATATAATTATGCTTATCTTGAGTTCTTTTTTCTTTCTATATTTCAGTGTTGTCATATGCTGTTTTAATAGAATCATTTCCTCTTCTTTACTTTTTATAGAAACAGCTTTTGCTTCATGAGAACACCTGCTAAAGATCACTTTGAACAAGATGCACTGTCAGTTAATAGTACTTAAAAATATATTCACAATTGCCATTAAAGAAAATTTTGTAATTTGTATTCATTTTAGTATCCAAAATAGCTTATTTCATAATACATGCCAAAAACAAAATATTTTCCATAGTTTTGGTTTTTATATGGTTCTAACATCACAACTAAACAATGTAGGTATCGTGTGTCTGTAATTTTTGATAGTACACTGCAGCATGTAACTTTTTTGTTTCTTTGAGATGGAGTCTCACTCTGTAGCCAAGGCTGGAGTGCAGTGGCAGGGTCTTGGCTCATTGCAATCTCCACCTCCTAGGCTCAAGTGATTCTTATACCTCAGCCTCCTGAAGAGCTGGGATTACAGTCACCTGCCAATATGCCCGCCTAATTTTTACATTTTTAGTACAGAAGGGTTTTCACCATGTCAGCCTGGCTGGTCTTGAACTCTTGACCACAAGTGATCTGCCTGCCTCAGCCTCCCAAAATGTTGGGATTCCAGGCATGAGCCATCATGCTTGGCTGCAGCATTTAACTTTTTAACCACATCCTCAAGTCTACCATCTTTGTATTAAGAATTAGAGCATGAAGGGAATATGTAAAGATATAAACATATAAAGTCCATTCTGGTCATATATTTCTCATGTCTAAAATAAAATACCAATTCTTATATTTATATGTAAGTTCAAGCAGAATGGCTCTCTATATAGTATATTCTTTGATTTCATTTCTGAGATAAGTTTTTATAGAAGAAGAATTATACACAACAAGTTAAAAATTATAAATCTACTTGTTTTAAAATTTGGAAAGGAGAGGGAAATTTTTCAGAATCTCTCATCCTAATATGAGTCCTTTTTTTGGTTTGTTTGCTGGTACCTTGCCATGAGGAACATTAAGTGTCTGAGTAGAAGCCACCAATTTTTAATTCAATGGGTCTCCTATAGTGTCCCCTGTGAAATATTTTCCCCTTTGGGAGCTAGAATCTATAACCCTGCAAAGACTAGAGTTTCAGGAAAGAAAATAAAAAACTCTCCCAATTAGGTCACTGGCAGTGACTTTAAACTGAGCCATTAGTACTTTCAGCCTCTATTTCCTAGACCCAAGTAGCCCAGGTCTGGGGGACTCAGCCTCGTATAACAGTCATGATTTTAGATAGCGAGCCTAGAGATGGCACACTGGAAGTGCAAATTAGCGCAATCTCTACCATGCTGCAAAGATCCAAGGAAGCTGGCTGTGACTGTCACAGGGCATCATCACAGACACGGAGCCTCTGTTGTCCTCAAGAGGATGACACCAGGCTTCAGCGTGGTGGCCTGGGAAGTCACCAATGGATGTTTGTTCTCCTACACTTCTGGAGAACAGAAGTCCCCAAGTCAAGTTGTTGCCAGGGCCAGGCTTTCTCTGAGATTCTGAATAGGTTTTTCCCTTGCCCCTTGCTAGCTTCTGGTGGTAGCTGTCAATACTTGGCATCGCTTGGCTTGCAATTACATCCAATTCCTGCCTCTGTCATTACACAGTATACTCCCTGTGTGCCTCGCTCTCTTCATGTCACATTTCCTCTTCTTATAAAGACAACAGCCACATTGTATTAGGGCTCTCCATAATGATTTTGTCTTAACTCTATTACTTCTGCAAGAATTCTATTTCCAAAAAAGGTCACATTCAGAGGTATCAGAGTCAAGACTTCCGCATATTTTTTAGGGAACACATGTCAACTAATAACAGTGGATCTTCTTGGCGGTAGACTCTAAGATAAGAAGTTTATTTGAAAGTGCTCTTAGGATTAGCATACTTTTGTGAAAGGGAAAAATACAAGATTGCAGAGGGAGAATTTAGGCTGCAATAGAGTCACAACAAAGGTCTCAGCCAACCAGAAAGTGTGCTCTAAATCTGGGATGACCCCTCAGAATTGTCCTAAATTAGAACAAGGGGTGGAGAAATTATGCCACCTACGTTAACAAGTCATTGAGTTCAGACCTTCCCCAGAAAGTGGGATAAAGCTTCAGGGAAACAGATCTCTGCAGCTGAGGGCTGCCAGCCAGCAGCAAACCCGGGGGTCGTGGGAGGAGTTCCTTGAGTATTGAATGTCGGGTGCTGGCTTCAGCCAGCGTCTGCAGCCTTTCACTTGTGTCCATCTGCTTCATATCCTTCTCCCTCTGAGCTGCTGAATGCCTTCTGAGTACACAGATACTACCACGAGAGGGAAGTTGGAAATAGGGATTACCCAGAATTGACCCAAAGTATGAGTGTATACCTCAATAGTTAACAAAATATTACTTTATACTGATTGCTGATTCATTGGTCTTTGAAAAAAACGGGTAAATGAATTAACTAAAAAAGTGTTGCACATAAAATATTTTGGTAGATAGAATTTATAAAGGGAAAATAAAAGGGTTTCTGTGGTGGTAAGAATTCTGGAAGCCACTGCTCTAGATGTCTCCTCCCCTTCCCACACTTGCA
Organism: Homo sapiens; assembly: GCF_000001405.40. Classification (NCBI taxonomy): domain Eukaryota; kingdom Metazoa; phylum Chordata; class Mammalia; order Primates; family Hominidae; genus Homo; species Homo sapiens. The sequence goes on along the minus strand of NC_000002.12, from coordinate 4,844,709 downwards.
CCCACACATGCTTTCTTCTTTCCTGTAAGCAAAGATCAATTCTTCCCTAGGTGCTGAAGATAGCATTCCTTTGTTTCTTTGTAATACCTTCGTGCTCCCACCTGGGTGTCCTCTCATTCTCCACTGGTTCATTCTCACCAGCACACAAGTGTACACTGCAGAGCCTCCTGAACAGCTCTCTTGGGACTTTACATTCTCATGAGCCAAGACTACTTTTCTCCCTTTCCCTGTTCCAAATTTTGATCTTCCTGTTGTGATCTTCTCTTTTGCCAAATTTCTCTCCAGTCAATTCTTTCTGTTTCCTTATTTCTCTTTTACTGTTGTTTCCACTTCAGCCTGCGTTCACAGAAAGGGCTTCTGTCAGAGTCAGTAGACATTCACGTGTCGGCAACTTCCATGAATGCCATTTTAGACCATTTCATCTCATCTGACTCAACTGTTCTCACAGGCGTTTCTGGCATAGAAAATCATCTCTTTTTCTTGGTTCTCTGTCCTTGCATTTCATGATTTCGCATTCTGCTAGTTGACTTCCCGCTGCTTTTACCTCCCTTGTCTCCCCAAACCCCAATTTTTCCTGGTGACTTTTGAAGCTAATGGAATTGTGAACACTTTTCTTTCTTAGAGCTTGGTGCTGTCCCTTTTTAATCATCTTCATTTAATATTGTCTCAGAGGACCTTAAATAACAGCTAGGTACTGGCAATTCCAAAATGTGTATTTTATACCCAGACAAAATTCAACTCCAGAGTCTGTGCCCAGCTGCCCTAGGACATTGCCTTCAGACAACTCATTGATTTTCAAAATTAAAATGACTAAAACGGAATCTTAATTTCTACCCTCCTCAACATACTCATGCATTACCCGTTTGAAAGTCCTGTTTCTTCAGGCTTCTTGTCTCTGACAACAATGGCACCAATCTCAAATCATTTGAAATAAATTTGCTTTAAAAACTTGCAGTCATTTCCAAATAACCCCTCTCCTTCACTTCAACAGGTCCTATTAGTCATGCTCCTGCAAACCTTGAACCTATCCAGTTCTCTCCATAGCCATCACCCTAATCCAAAACATCTTTTCCTATGATATAACAAGAGTCCCCAAGTAGTCTTTCAGATTTCATTTTGGTCCATTCAAGTCCATCATTTGTGTGGCAGAGTAATCTTTTAAAGTTCAGCTTGGATCATGTCACTCTTCTGCTTAACATAATTCAATTGCCTTCCAGTGCATTTTCATACAGAATCTTCTTCACATGCCTAAGGGTGCACAGTGTGACCCGGCTCCTCGAATCCATTGCTCCCCGTGGCGTTTCTAGCCCATGTGGTGCCCCGAGGTTCTGCCTCTCATTTCCTCAGATGTGGAACTCACTTCCTTGCCTCAGAGCCCACACACATATGCTGTGCCTGCAGTCTGGAATGTTCTTCCTCTTTGCTCTTCTAGCTGGTTTCTTTTATACCCTGAGGTCTCAACTTTAAAATGATTATCACAGTGATGTATTTTAACCACTCCCAACCTGCATGCCTCTTTCTCTTTCATGGAGCTTTGCTTTCACCCGATCACATGAATTTGTTGTTTTACTTTCTTTTTGTTTTTTGGAGATGGAGTCTCACTCCATCACTCAGACTGGAGTGCATTGGAGCAATCTTCGCTCACTGCAACCTCCTCCTCCCAGTTCAAGTGATTCTCATGTCTCACCCTCCCAAGTAGCTGAAACCTCAGGTGTGCACCACCACGCCCGGCTAATTTTTGTATTTTTAGTAGAGACAGGGTTTTGCTGCCATGTTGGCCAGGCTGGTCTTGAACTCCTGGCCTCAAGTGATCTGCCCTCCTCAGCCTCCCAAAGTGCTAGGATTACAGGTGTGAGCCACCACACCCAGCCTGTTGTTTTACTTTTTTATTGTAGGAGTCCATTGTTAACATCTGACTCAAAAAAGTAGTAATTATGTATGCTCCACCTTCTGTTATGTATTGAACAAGGGCCTGATACATAGCAATTACTTGACATATATTTTTTCAATGAATAAATAAAATGATTCCTCCACCTCTGTTTTCAGAGGTAACCAGGGCTCTGGTGTGTTTCACTTGGTCCCTCTGTTATTTCACTTGATGTGGGAGAAAATGGAAAGCCGGCTCACAGGAACTCTGTGTTCTCTGTCCTCCATCCACACCCCCTCCGCTAGTCCTTCTAGCGCCATGAAGGACCGGGTTTCAGTAGGCAGATGCGGAAAGGAGGATGGGTCACAAAGAGAACAAAGACCTCGTTAGATGGAGTTTGGGCACCAGAGTCCTTGAAGAACAGGTGGCTCTGCTGAGGCTTTTGAGGAGCCTCTGACACATGGATATGTGATGCCTTAAGATTGTATTCGGCACATGGTTATGTGACGGCTTAAGATTGTATTTGGCACAGAGCTGAGCAACGGCCCATGGTCGAAGGCTCACCAGGTAGCACCCTTTAACTAAACAGCATAACTTTCTAAGTGGAAAGACAGCTTTGTGGAGTCCAGCACAGCAGCAGTAGTAATCTTTTACGCTGGAAAGCTTTCGTTTTTCTACATATATTATTGAATTTAATCAACTTCAGCCTGATAGTAGGGTTGATATTTTCTCCATTGTGAATATTAAAGGTGTACCTAAGAGTCAAGAACATTATTTCTTAAGGCAAGGGTCCCCGATGCCCAGGCTGTGGACCAGTACTGGTCCATGGCCTGTTAGGAACCAGGCTGCAGAGCAGGAGTTGATTGGCAGGCAAGTGGGCATTATGTCCTGAGCCCTGTCTTCTGTCGATCAGTGGCAGCATCAGATTCTCATAGGACTATGAACCCTATTGTGAACTGTGCATGGGAGGGACCTAAGTTGCACTCCCCGTGAAAATCTAATGCCTCCTCAACCATCACTCCCCCACGGATCTGTGGAAAGATTATCTTCCACTACACTGGTCCCTGGTGCCAAAAAGGTTGGGGACCGCTGGCTTAAGGTACATCTGTGCCCTAAGGTCCTCATTTAATCTTCTTATGGGAACTACGCATCCAAAAAGGGCTGCTGTCTACACAGGCTTCTACAAATACTTTATTTGCATTGACCCTTTGCAGGACTTTTGCTATTTAATATCAAGAATTGGACTGAGATTAAGGACACTTTCTTTGCCCTCAGTTTCTCTCTTAATATATTGTCAGGTCAAGGATTATATCCATTAAAATTCCCTGTAAAAATAATGTAATGCATTGAGATCTGCCCTCTGAAAAGACTGCATTTTCTCTGCTCCACAGCATCTTTAATAAACTGCAGAGGGTGGTGTGAGGTACGTGGTCTTAAAGGCAGGCTGCTGTTAGCACTGTGCCAGCCACAAATCAAGTGCATGCATGCCAACTCGGTCTTCTGTTAAAAGACTCATAGACATAAGCGGTCTTTACCACAAATCTAGAAAAAAATGCATAAATAATACAATTTATGGGCTCCTAAACTGGGGGAGGCATAAAGAAAATCAGAGAAAAAGGAAGAAATGGGAAAATGTTGCAACAGTGTATCTTTGTAAGAAGAAAACATGTACTTTATTCCAATTGTCTCCAAAATTATGCAACTAAAGGAAAGGAGCTGTCAAATCCCTTGCTAATTAAATTCATACATTTGTTCCTCTTCAAAAATGGCCACACACTCCATCTGCCAGTGCAGAATGCTGGGGTTTTTCAGCCAATATTCTCATGCTAAGCTGTTCATACTGAGGCCAGGGTCACAGAAGCCCTGAACCCTTAAAGCAGCTTTCTGAAGAGATCTGAAAGAATTTTCTGTTTGCACTTGAGTTATTTATCTTCACTTTTATGATAAAAAGATCGAATATTGCATGAAAGTTAAATCATCAGAGAGTTCAAGTTGCAGGCACAACACTGACAGGTTGACGAACATTTTTAGTGGTATGATAATTTGGTTGAAATGCAGTGATTCTTTTTAACAGCTCATATTAAATCAGAGGAGTCGTTAACTAGAGCCACTCAAAAAAAAAAAAATCTCAGACATTTCATGTGCATTTGCCGTGGCATGCGTGTTTCACCCATGTGCTTATTGTCTTTGTCCCACACGGCTGCACAAAACCTGCAATGATTGCTTCTCCTACCTGAAGGACCGGGAGGCTTTGCTTACCCCTTCCTTCCTCACTAGGACCCCACTCCAATCGCCCATGAAAATCTCATGCTTCTCTATTTCCAGCCTCAGCTCAAGTACAACCTCCTCTGTGAATCCAAGAACATCCCGTTCTACAAGAATTGTGTCATTCTCTCTTTCCTACTCACCTCTCTATCACTCACTCGGTCCACAAATATTATTCAAAGTGTTTTTGTTCCTCAAGTCGATCTTTTTGCAAGAGCTTGAATCTCTTGTTCCCTGGATTCCAAGTACTTTCTATATTAATCATTCATCTTTTATTAAATAAAGGACTTTTTATCTGAATTTACTATTTGTTGCTATATAAAATTTGTATTGAAGTGTACATTTAAATAAATATATGACTATGTAGTATCCCTTTAGGCAAGGTTTAATCATTATGAATATTGTTGTTATTATTTTTGTAAGTAATAAAGCCCAGTGGGTGCTTAGTAATGTGATTGGAAGGTGATTCTTGTTCTTAACAGATGCCCCCCAGTGAAGTTTCAGGCAGGTTTTCCCAGAGTGAATTCGGTGTCCTATTATTCAATTCCGCATACTCACAGGCCGCACAGTCTTTCCTAGATGTGCCTAAGTGGCATAAGCCACAAAAGTTAATCCCTTTGTCCTTCTTGCCCCTCTGAAAATTTAAATATTGCATGCACATTTAGAAAATAAAATTTCATTTCTTGAATAAGTTACTTGTAATTCTGAGTTTTGATAGTGTCATTTTCTTTGAGAACTTTTGGAGGAGGTTAAAAAGTTGTCTCTGGTTTAAAGTAGAAAGGTAACAGACACAATCATAACTAAACTTATTTAATCTAAAGAGCAAGATATACCCGAAAATGAGGCTCTGGCCTCTCCCAGTGTTCATACTCTCCCTCTCAACTCCACGTCCAGATCTCAGACCCACTGCAGACATCCCCCAGCCAGATCTCCTGATCTCATGTCTCCTGATAGTAAGATACCTTTTATTATTTGATACTTAATTTGATTAGTAGTTGAGGTTGTATCTGGTTTCTTCTCTTCTGCTTCCACAGGGTTCTGTCCTCTGGCTGCTCCTCAGCATCTGCCCAGACCCTGTTTGAGACACTTCTCACACCTAGTAAACATGGGCCAGAGGTGTGCACCCAGGTTAGCTGACGGTAACGTGCACACTCTCCATGCTCAGGTTCTGGGCTGCTTGACCTGAGGTTCTATGTCCTCTTTCTTAGCAAGAAGCCCTTTAAATGCACTCTTTTTTGATAAAGGTAAATAAAACATCTTCAGGTCAAAGTAGGACAATTTTTTATTTAATAAGCTTGTTGGGAAAACCATGTGTCATACATTGATTAGTTCACATGTGTACCATTAGGCTACAGATCAGAATTATCACATTTTCCAGAGTAATAAATTCTTGAAATGTGTCTACCTCCTCTGGACACCAGACATTACATACATTCTGGGAAACTTCAAAGGACCTTTCTCTTTTCATTTGCTTCAGCCCAGAGTGGCAAAACCCACAAAGGTAAGACTCTAGATAGTTATATTTCCCTAAATCAGATTGAAAGGTTTCCCTCCAGTCTTTATCCAATGTGACCAGCAGAACACTGAGAGCCCTGTTCTCTAGTCTTCACAGGCTGAATTAGGATGTAAGCTGTTTACCCACACTATGCAATGAAACAATGGAGAAACCCATGAGAAGACAGGCTCATGGCATATGAGTACATGTTTTAATTTTCAAATGATGGGAGGTGTAAAAACAGCAACACATTTTACCCCGAGGGGGTACAGAGCCAAAAATTCCAAGGCCATCTGCCATATACAAATTCATAGCAAAATGAACAGCTGTGGGAGTTGCTTAGGTGGAAGTTTTCTAGAAAGATATAAACGTTTTGGTCAATATTCTTTGCAGGTGGAAGTAAGCATTGTTTTAGATGCCAAGATTCTTGTACCTATAGTCCCAGCTACTCAGGAGACTGAGGAGAGAGGATCACTTGAACCCAGGAGGTGGAGGTTGCAGTGATCTACGATGGTATCACTGCACTATAGCCTGGGAGACAGAATGAGACTCTGTCTCAAAAAAGTGGAGGAGGGGAGGGCACTAACCGTCTTGACTTGAGTTCTATGTCTTTAAATCTCACAGTGTTGTTAGCCCTGGCTAGTGAAGCACTATTTTTTTTCCCAGATTTATAGAGAAATCAGTGCTAAATTAAAAAGTATGTATATTAAAGTGTACAATGTGATGTTTTGATATACAAATGATTACCACAGTCATATTTATCACCTCACATAGTCATAAGACTTCAGTAGTGAGAACACTTAAGATCTGCCCTTTCAGCAAATTTCAAGTGTACACTGCAGCATTGTTGACTGTAGCCACCATGTCGTACATTTTACTCCCTCATCTTGCATTACTGAAATGCTGTATCCTTTGGCCAACACCTCCTGGCTTTCCCACACACTCCTAGACCCTGTAAGCACCTTTCTACTCTACTATGAGCTTAACTTTTTTGGATTCTACATTGTGATGGTAAATATTAGGTGTCAACTCAATTGGATTGAAGGATGTCTAGATGGCTGGTAAAGTACTGTTTCTTGGTGCGTCTGGGAGGCTGTTGCCAGAGGAGTGGATATTTGAGTCAGTGGCCTGGGAAAGGAAGACCCAGTCTCCATGTTGGTGGGGACCATCCAATTGGCTGCCAGCATCGCTGGAACAAAGCAGGGGGAGGAAGGTGGGATAGGCTGGATTGCTGAGTTTTCTGGCCTTCATCTTTCTCCCGTGCTGGATGCTTCCCCCTCTTCCTCCCGCTCTTGGACATCAGACTTGGGGTTCTTCAGCCTTTGGACTCTTGGACTTACACCAGTGCCTTGCCAAGGGCTTTCGTGCCTTCAGCCACAGATGGAAGGCTGCACTGGCAGCTCCCCTAATTTTGAGGACTTTGGACTCGGACTGAGCCACTACTGGCTTCCTACCTTCTCAGCTTGCAGATGCCCTGTCATGGGACTTCACCTTGTGATCATGCGAGCCGACTCTCCTTAGTGAGCTTCCTTTCATACATACATCTATCCTATGAGTTCTGTTCCTGCGGAGAACCTGGACTACTGCACACATATTAATGAGGTTGTGCAGTATTTGCCTTTCTGTGCCTGGATTATTTCATTTTCTTCATCCGTTCATCTGTCCACGGACATTTAGATTGGAACCACTAATTTTTGACTAGTGGTCTTCTCCTTAAGATCACTGCAGATGAGAAATACGACAATGTAGGATTCACTCACAAAGTGTAACATCCACCCAGGGCCAAAGACCTGCATTTTATAGGGAGGTTGTGATTCTTTTCTGCAGAACAGAATCAGGGTCTGTTTGGTTTGCTCGAGGGTGTGTGAAAACATTTTCAAAGAATATTTAAAAAACAAAAACAATTCATTCGCATAGATGAAACCAGAGGCATGGTTCCTCTTTGCCTCTACGTGTATGGGGTTCTCACTCTGTCTCTGTGTCTCTTTCTTGCTGATTGGCTGATCCTTAAAATGCAATGGTGTGTCACGTCAACAATATGAAAGTAGGTGAACTCGGTGTACCAAGATATAAGTTGGGGATTCAGGAGGACATATATTTGTATTACTTTGATAGGAAAACATATTTCCAAAAATTATTACCAGCATCACATATGTATGCATTTTAGGCTTTCATAAATCACTTTAGTGTCTGGATTCTCATAACTCCCTCTCCATTAAATTTCTATGTAAATTAGATTGAAATTTGATTAATCTTTTAATAAAAAATTGTTGTTTTGTTTTAACCTATACAGAAAACCTGACCTCAATAATATGTAAATAGAAAAGAGAATCATATTTTATCCCTTTTTTTTCAGAAAATTGTGGATATTCTTCTGATTTAACACTGTACCGAAACTCAACAAGTGACAGTTTAACAAGGTTAGTTGAAATGTGGAATCTTAAACCATATCAGTAATTGTTTTGTACAATCTGTTGGTCTATCTTGCATTTTGAATGAATCTTTACAATATTTTGAATTATTACGGATACAAGTTATCCAAATGTCTAATGGTTGCTGGAGAACTCAAACTCGATCATAGACAGCAAATATTCTTGGTTCCTTTCCTTGAAGTGGCACCCTTGCTTCATTCATTTTCAGGATGATGTTTGTCAAATACTCCACTCTGAATAACCACCATTTGTCTCTCATTCTTTCCCATTAAAATTAAATGTTATAACAAAGTGGTAGCTTCAGTGTGAAACTCAATCACACAAGAGATTTCTCTTGAGGCGACTATTGTATTTCAGTACACAGTAGAAATGCTTAATGTGTAAGCCCCATTTCATCACGTACACTATTGAAAAGATATATTCTTAGTGTTGAGTTTTAATAAAGTAATGTTTAGTGCTTCAAGGATTTTCTTCAATGAAAATGGCTTTTCTTCTCTATCCAGTGCATGGAGATGAAGGCTACAATGCCTAGCCCTGCAGATTGGGGTCAAGTCCTTGATTCATGTTAAGGTGCCAGCAGTTTCACCCACCATTGCTTTTGCACCACCAGGGCAAGTACCAACACACTACAAAAGGCAAATTATATCTTCGCGTTATTATGAAAAGAGTTTTCACCTCATAGGTCCCTGAAAGTGTCTCAGGGACCACCCCCCAAGGAATATGCAGACTCCACTTTGAGAACTGCTGTATTACACAGCCACCACTTTTACTTTAAGTATTGTTGAAGAAATTTAGATTATTCTTAGAATGACACCATCTTTCTTCCTTCAGTTAAGTTGGTAAGGTTTATTACTATAGTAAGAAATGAAGTTGGCCAATTTTGGAAACTTCATTCTCTCTTTTTTTTTTAGACTCAACTGGATCTGTAGTTAAAAATAATGATAAAATCATTTAAAATTATGTGAAGTCATGGAAGAGTGATGTAAACTCACGCAATCTGACTTTTTTCTTTTGTTCTGATGCAGATGCCTTTATTAAAAGATGAGTTTTATTAACTAGAAAAACAAGTGGACTAAATGACTAGTGTTCTAACTCCTTTGACATAGTTCAATAAAATTGATTGATAAAGTCGAACATTGACCAAAAGAAAAAACTTCCAACTACTGCAGGAATTTACAGATAGGAGAAAAAAAGAACTTTTATTTATCTGTCTACTTATCTGTCTATCTTTGGCAAAACATTATTATTTTTCAGATAAACAAGGTCTCCAATATGTTGATTTAAAACAACAACAAAATTTCAAGTCTCTTTTCTACCATGTGCAGGTTGTGTAATGATAGGCAACTACGTCTTAAATACTGTTATGCCAAGAGCCAAAAAAAAAAAAAGTATTAGAAAAGAAGCTGGGAAAATTTATTCAATAATATGTATAAAAATAGATTTGATCATAGTATACTGTTTTCATTTATTACTATAATTACTGAGTACATACCTGTGACTCAATGTCTACTGATACAATAATTGCACAGCACATGTTTTAATTGTTCTTCCAGCTCTGTTGGTAGTTCTCAGGTTCTCTTATTGCCCCTGTCTAACTTCATTGTGAGTAGTAGGTCACATTTTGAAGACCAGTAATTGGAACTATGAGGGAGGACCAACTATGACTGGGGAGCAAATCAAAACTGGGACCTTGGCAATTTTTGTACCAAACTGAACTAACCAGACACAGCAAAGGAGATAACTCTCCTTCAAATTCAAAAAGCAATGACATACTCATTTTGGGATTGTAGCTATGAAATATTGATGTAAATTGATGAGTATTTAAAAGAACATTTAATATGGGGTTAAATGAACCTTTCTAGATGTGTTAGTCAAAATAGTCAAGCATGTTTTAGGCAGTCATCTCTTTAAATCTGCACCATGCTATTGGGGTATCGGAGTGAACTTCAGCTGATTGATCTTGCTAAAAGAAATAGCACTAAGTTTAGAAGTTTTTAAAATACTCTTGCTTTCTATAAACTGCTGCTTGTGTTTATGGGAGGCAGGCAACACTGGCAGTATTTACCATAAACACTTGCAACGGTAGGTATTAATGGCATTACCATTCTTTCTAAGAGCGATGCTAGCAAAGGATATGTACAGAGAGAACAGTTTGCAGCTGTGAAATTGACCCCTGACCCAAATTGTTTGGAAAGCAATATGAAATGTATTTTTATTCTAGGATATCAAAACAATCACATATTTGTTAGACCTCTGCCAGCAAAACTGGTGTAACCTTTCAAAAAAATTTTTTTTACCCGGTATTTTGAATATTGCTAGAATCACCTGAGCCTTACCTGCAAAGCCTTTAATTCAGTAGGGTTGGGACAGGTTTCAGAAAGAAAGAAGCATATCAGAGAATTCTGATTCAAGTATATGCACACACACACACACACACACACACACACACACAGTTTCACAGTGTTTGTATGCTTCATTGAAAGGGTCATTATTGGAAACTTTATTGGTGATCAGAGCTAAATTGTTTTTCTTTACATGAAGGGAGAATACATAAAACCACAATTCATTATCACTGTCCAATCACAAGATCTTCATACAGTGTTCATTAAATATTTGTGGTGAAAGCAAATAAGTGTTTCTTACCTCTGGTATTTTGATACATATAGGTAAGCTCTAACTTGATAGTCAATCTCATCCATTAGGGAAAAACAGTATTGCAGAAGTGGATAAAATCATAGGATCAAGAATCAGTGTACCAGATTCAAGGTGGGAAAATTACTTAACTTTTTTGACCTGTGTTTTTAATCTGTAATTTTGGGATAGTAACATCACCTACTTCAGTGAGTCATGGCAGGCATTAAATAAGATACTAACATAATGTGCCTGGCTCATGGGAAGTGGTCAATATATTTAAACCATCATTATTTACAGTTTATGTTCTTAAACATTTGTGAAACTTCATACTAAAATGTATTTATTAATTTACTCAATACATTTTAATGCAAGATTTAATTAGTGCCAGATACGCCCTAGTTCCAGGAGCCACAATTGCTAATATACTCTAAGGGAGTTTGTGCATGTACAATGGGAAAACAGATGACCAAAAATAAGCAAATGCATATATAACATAATGTTAGATGTAAAATATGCAACAAAGAAAACAAAGGACTTAAGATCAGGAGTTTGAGACCAGCCTGGGCAACATGACAAGACTCCATCTCTACAAAATTAAAAAAAAAATCCGGGTGTGGTGAAACATGCCTGGAGTCCCAGCTATTCAAGAGTCTGAGGCAGGAGGATCACTTGAGCCCAGGAGTTCAATGCTGCAGTGAGCTATGATTACACCCTACACTCCAGCCTTGGCAACAGAGTGAGTGCGACCCCATCTGAAAATTAAATTAAATTAAGTTAAATTTAAAAAAGCAAAGCAGAGTAAGACAGATTAAAAGTAGCAAGGAGTACTATTTAAGAAGGTTATTCAGAGAAATCTCTTCTGTGTAAGAAATACTTCAGCAGAAGATTAACTGAGGAGGTGAATTATATGCGTATCTGAGGGATGAAAATTCCCGGAAAAAGAAACAGCAAGTGCAAAGATCCTGAGGCAGATGTACTATTTGGGCAATTAAGGAATGGAAAGCTGATTTAAGTAGATAACTTAAGGCCCTCAGCCATGTGACAAATAAGTATGACTTTATTTTAATTCTATGTGTCATCTGAAGCCATTGGAAAGTTGTCCTTAAGGGAACAGCTGCTATTGAAAGATTTTCGGGATTATATAGTGGGTCACCAGAAAAGCAAAAATTGAACCATCAGCAAATTAAATCATCGTTTATTGTTTATGCTACTGAGACACGATGCCTTAAAACTTAAGCAGATATTAGTGCTTAAAAAACACTCACCTACGAATACCTTTAAACCTTGCTGAAAAGCAAACTTTAAGAGTCAGTCCCAACTCTAATTACAAGTATGGATTATTAACGAGAAATGAAAGCAGAATTGTGTCTCCAGTTGAAACTACCCACAGGGTATATATCATGAGAGTCTTTTCCAGGGAGGCTGTAATGAAGTCCCATTGGAATTCTTGCAGTTCCACGAAAATGCCATGTGTTCACATCCTAGGGTGTGCCCGGGTCTCCTTAATCAAGTCAGCCCATTTGAAACAATAAAATATCCTTGACATGTGGAGGTAAATTGTACTGAACACGTGCACATTATTTGCATTTTAATATTCGTCTCAGCAAATTAAAAATATCTTACGCACTCAACATCATTACAATCCACATTAAATGAAAGGTATTGTTCATGTGGAAGAATTAATAAATGTGAGAATTCACATGCAGATAACTCTTTGTAGAAAGCAGCATATCAAAATGTACTTGGTGTTGATTGATTTAAATGCTCATAAGGCTTGTTAGCAAAAATTCAAAATGAGAGTTTTGAAAATTCATTTGGACAATAGTAAATGCAACATTTTAATTATTTTATTTATTTTACGGAGACAATATGTGCATCTCATGCTTTGCATCTTTCCAAATCTTTGGCAACAAATACCCTGCAACATCTAAAGCAGATGGCCCACTAATTTTAAAGTCCCATGTTAACCAAAAATATTGGAATATGGCAAAAGTTGAATTAATAAAATGATATGCAAACATCCAACAAAAACTAGTACTTGTGCCAAAGTCAATAAATACTCAGTTGGAGCTCTCCACTGCTAGATCCTGCACAAGCCATAATAAACATATTCTTTAAGGCTTCCACAGGCCTCAGCATGGAAGCCAGATGGAGGTTTTTATTTAATCTGGCCCTATTAAGCTGGAGTATATTTCCATCCTTGTTATCATGTGCCTGCACTCTAGGTTTAAACTTTAATTGGGAGAGATCTGAAGTATTAACTCTATGTAGTAATTTGCCTAAAAATATATAATATATACAGCCAGTGTATGCTACCGATACTTCAGACTGGATCATTCTTGGTGGTGGGGCTGTCCTGTGTATTTTTAGGATGTTTAGCTGCATCCTGGCCTCTACCCAACAGATACTTGTATCACCCTGTCCCCTTACTTCTAGTTGAAACAATCAAAAATATCCCCAGAAATTGCCAAATGTCCCCTGGGGGAGAATTGCTTCTGGTTGAGAACTGCTGTCATAGAGCTGGTTTGAAGGAGACTCCTAGGATACTGTGTTTTCCATATGTCAATAACTTTATAGGACATTTAACACCTATCAAGAAACAAAATTTAATATAACATTTCTCTGTTCTCCACTAATTTGTGTTGTAATTCAAGTCAGAATTCCTATAAATGTTTGAAAGAAAAACTGATGAATTCCAGTGTTTCCCCAGTTATTTCTGCAGGATGGTTGTAAGATATATACATGAGATGAATAAATAACTTAATAACCAAACCCAAAAGGATGATTTTTTTTTTGCTTTTTCCTTCAGCCTATTGTTTTTTGAGTCCAGCTTCTGTTTAACATCTTATAAGTTGTATCTTAATTATGTTGATACCCAAAGAGATGAACAAGTTCTAGCAGTGTGGATTTGTTTTTCTCAAAGCAAAATGATTCCCGCCATTGATAAAAGTCACCAAAATCCTTAATCAATGTTGCTTCATGAATCTCTTAGTAATAACAATTTTTTTTCATGCATGCCTGAGTAAAATACTTAATTTTGTATTAGTGGAAATACATTATTGTTGCAGGTTCTATGTTTTCATATGTGAAATGGGCTCATGTGGTTAAAGCACTTTCTTTTTAATGATTGCATTCATTAATATCAGAATAAGATTGCCTGCCATACCTCTTAACATTGAAAACACAAGACATTATCAGTTAAGTAAATTAAATTCTTATAATAAAGATAGTTTTATCAATCTACTAAAAACTGTTGTGTTAAAAAAAAGATCTAGTATGTGCATGTTGCTTTTCTGTGTAACCTATTAGCTACACTCTGAATGTCAGCAACTCTGAAATTCCAGTCAAACTTTATAGACTTAGTCTATTGATAATTGATAATTGATCCAATCCTTATACCAGCTCATTTCTAGCGCTCTCAAACTTAGACTAATCAGAATGGCTATTATTAAGAAAACAGCAAATGCTAGTGACGTTACAGAGAAAAGGTAATGCTTATATAACGCTGGTAGAAGTGTAAATTAATTCAGCCATTGTGGAAAGCAGTGTGGTGATTCCTCAAAGAACTTAAAATGTAATTATCATTCGACCCAACAATCCTATTATTGTGTATATATCCAAAGTAATAATCTAAATTGTTCTACCATAAAGACACATGCTCACACATGTGAATTGAAGCACTATTCAGAATAGCAAAGACATGGAATCAAGCTAAATGCCCCTCAACAGTACACTAGATAAAAAATGTGGTACAGATACACCGTGGAATACCATGCAGCCATAAACAAGAACAAGCATGTTCTTTGCCACAACAAAGATGAAGCTGGAGGCCATTATCCTCAGCAAACTAATGCAGGAACAGAAAATGAAATATCACATGTTCTCATTTATAAGTGAGAGCTCAACAGTAAAAACACATGAACACTAAGAGGGGAACAACAGGCAAACTCATGACCCATAACTTACCTATATAACAAACTGGAACATGTACCCCTGAACCTAAAATAGAAATTTAAAAAATAAAGTTAATACATTAGAGAAAATTAAATCATGTACAAAGATATGTTTGGAAGCTGGAAGTCGAGGGCAACATACTGTCGTGCTTTAGATTGGAAAGGTGCATTTTCATGATTTAGAATGGAAGAGCATGTCTCCAGGTTTTAGAATGAAAGGGTGTGTTGCTATACTTTAGAATGGAAGAGTGCATCACCATGACTTAGAATGCGAGGATGCATTTCTACCCTTAACCATTTATCTGCTATTCCTCCCTTTCACTCAAACCCTGAATTCAAATCCAATCTCCTGAGTTTTCGAGTCATGTGATATATTTTATAAGTTATGTCATATCAAGAAGTAAAATTTAAGACCCAGAATAAGACATAATTTTATACAATGTCACAAAAAGGAAATACAGATTCTTGTTTAGAACATATGCTATATAAAACCTACATGGAGGCAGCCTTGACAAAGGTGAAAGGAGGGGGATTTAGCATGAGGCAAGCTGGGCTTGAGTTCTGTCTCTGCCAGGAGCTCTGGGGATGAATTATTTGACTTTTGTGACTTGGAAATATATTTTTCCAGAATTAATATTACTTTATTAATAGCAACATTAATAGCGTAGTGATATATTTATTGCCACAAACAAGAGCTGACCTAGGAGACCAAAATAAAACTGAATTTAGTTATTACAAGTCCTTCATAAGCAAGTGGTTTAGACACGAAAAGAGCAAGAGTAAATATTAAGCCTTATGAAACTTCTTACAGATCCTTCCTGGTAAAATCAGTAACAACCTTGAATCCGTGGTCAGATGGAACTGCATCAGTTTGACAGCACATTGAGCACATGGGTGAGTGCTCAAGCATGTGTATCAGAGTTAATAACACTAGTTTTCATGTGGGAAGGAAAGTACATTTTAAACAGGTAACAGACAAACTGTGGGAAGAGGAGAGAGAATGGCTCCCACTATCGCGTTCGTAAGTAGAGGTTAACAGGTTCCTATCTGTTACTATTAACTCTGCTACACATGCTTGAACACTCACCATGTGCTCAATGTGCTGTCAAACCTTCAATCCACTTAATGCACATCCCCACTCTGGAATATGTGTACCATTGTCTGCTTTTGACAGATAGGAAAAGGAGGCCCAGACAGGTGTTCCTCCTCTATGTCATGACTCATACGTGGATTGAAACAAGTTTTTGACTGTAAAATCCTGGCTATTTTCATTTCATTCTGCTGCTTCTTTCAAAAATCCAAACAAATATTATCGCTTCCAAGTCGTTCATGATAACATTCCTCTTCTAGATTCACAAAAGACTCAAAGCATCTCTGTTGTGTTCATGTGACAACTTGTTTTGACCATCTCTATAGATCTCTCCTTGTCCTACTCACAGATCCATGAGAAACGGGCTGTCGTGTATTTAAATGTCAATCCTCAGTGACAAGCAAAACACTGCTAAAACCAGGAATTTGAAAATACCGAATGCTTGAATCGGTATATAAATAGAAATAATAGAATACAAAGTTGAATTAGAGAATGGGCTCTGGCTTACAGTTTGAACAATTTCAAGGACAAAGTTGTGCTCTTCCTTCACTTAAAGACACACATATACATGCACGCCTGCATATATAGCATAATCAGTACAAGTTCCTTTTGTAAGGCAATGAGCTCTTGATCTTACAAAAAGAATGTGTGCTGATTATGTAATTTAATAATATGTTAGAGACATTTGGTAGGTTAAAGATGTTGAAAAATCAGACAGGGCCTGTATTAGTTCTCTGCTTCCTTGAGTAGCTTTAATTAAGCCCTGTACATGTTGCTCTTGTTCTTAATAAGAGCCCCTCTTATTCTCTTCTTTCTGTGTTTTGAATTCTGTTCTAGACGAAGGAACTTAATTCTACCTGAAACTTCCAGCTCCAGCAGGTGAATCAGTGTCTTTAAAGCAGGGCTTATCTTGTGGTTTTTATTATTCCTCTTGCCCAACACACACCGTTGCAATGTGAACAGTGCCTACCTGCTTACTCACAGGTGAATATTCTCCTCCACGTGCAGAACTAAATCACACAATTTATCACACTGTTTAAGCACACTAACTTGTGCATATCTCTTCAGATTTTTCTTTCTGATGCCCAGAAATGTCAATTAGAGAGCTTCAGGTACATTGTCTCAGAACCAGTCTTCAGTAATCATCCCTCTAAAGTCAGAATTTGAAACCATTGTGGGTCAGATTTGCAAATAGCTGTGCCACTATGAGTTAGTTTGTTACAATTAGTACTTCAAGTGCAAACTGTTAGCATGCTGAACATCCTTCAAGGAGATCATTTACTCTGTAAATGCATCAGTCTAATTTAATCGAATGTCAACGTGAGATAAAGAATGCTGTATCCGGGGGCTCTGGGTTTGCATTGAAAATTCTATTTGTATCTAACCCTTACGACACTGATTTGCATAGTGTAAAAAAAAAACAGATTCCCTCTCTTTGTTTTCTCTTTTGAAATAAGTAAGGTTATAAAGACTTCAATAATATGGATTTTTTTTTCTACTCTGTAATGCTTTTCTATAAGTATTTCATTGTGGCATTTCAGAATTATCTTGTGAAAGAGAAGAAACTCTGGCTTTTATTGTAAGTAATGTTCTGACAATTATCACTAGTGTAAAAGTACTTTCTAAGAATTTGCCTACATCCCCCTCAAGGGCAATTTTCTGGCTCCTTAATGCATTAATGTTAATATTAGTGGTAATCCAAGAGCCTCTCCTACTTCCATTTCTTTAGAAAGTCTAGAGGCCCCCATACGGGCAATCTTTTCTTTTGTCACTTAGACTCTCTGTGTTTAAAGGTACCCTTTAAAAACTGGGATTGGCCTGCATCCACTGATAGACCTTGGACAGTTTGCTGTTTTTTTTTGTTTGTTTGTTTGTTTGTTTGTTTTTGTTTGCTCTGGGGATGCAAAAGAGGGAAATCCCTGCACTTCCTCTCTGTCTTTGTGGCAGCCGGGATTGAATTGGGGAATGCATCTGCAGAAAAAAAGAAAAAAAAAAAGCAGGGTTGGCAACTCCACCTCGACATGACTTTCAACATGAAGTCCAGCAAACTTGCACACATGTGGAGATAGATGGAGGGAACAGAGCAGTGTCACACACATGCATGTAACAGAAGCACTCCCTGACTTCGCAGGGAGCAAGAGTCTGTGCTCCAACATGAAATGAATCAGGACGCCAGCGATGTCGGCCTCTGCCAGTTGGCGAACGGCTGTCTTCCCATCGGAAGCTTCTGATTCCTGCCCTACAAAATGGAAAGATTCAACCAGGGACCAGTTGACCCATGTTAAAGATACTGCTGGCAGACTCAGGGTTGATATATACTTTTGGTTAAACAAGCAGAAGATAATATAGTTTTGAGTGTGCAGATTTTTTTTTTTAAACAACACTCTATGTGGAAAGCACTTACTGAATTAGGAAGCATCGTCCATTTTCACTTTTAAATACATAACTGCATTGTCTATATAAGATTGGCCATATTTAGTCATCAATGATGTATTTACAGTGGCGTGATTCATTCGTTTTTACAAATGAATTTTACAGAGTGGAGAGCTTGCTAAAATAAATCAAATAAAATAAAGAAGCAGTTGAGCTGCAAAAAAAAGTTAGGATAAGTTTGATACACCAAGTGAATACTACTAGTTTCCACACCAGGACCAAAGATTTGGGTCACAGGTCACAGATTAAACTGTAAATATCTCAGAAATTAAGGGAAAGAGAGGCAAATAACTATATAATGTATCAATGCAAATCCCTCAGTTTCTCACTTTATAGCTCACTAGATAAACATGTTCACATAAGTAATTTTAATAATCCTTACAGTATGTTTTTTACATTTATTCAATCCTCACCTACGCCAATGCTTAATGCAGTGCCTAAAAACCAAGGACTATAAAACCAGATCATGAAAATTTACCCTGAAGAGTATTTAGAATTGTAAAGAATTGTAATATTAAACTATTCAATTTGAACTACCTTTTTTTCCAGATATGAAGATTAAACCTTAAAGAGAAGTTGCAATTTGCCCCAGGTAGGAATCTTGAGTCATCTTAAATTTATGGGCATATTTTACTCTCCAAAAGACTCAGGTAAAACACCAGGAATTTGTTTCAAAATAACATGAATATTACAGAAATATTCTCACATATAGATGCACCATTAAATACAACTAGGAAGGAAAAGAAAGGATCTTAAAACACACTCGTCTCTAGATTGCCCATTTATAGTCAGGCCTCAGAGATGCTGCAGGTTCTGTTTTAGATCTCCACACAAAAATAAATAGTACAATAAAGGCAGTGACACATTTTTGTTTGTTTGTTTCTCAGAGCATACAAACTTACGTTTACACAATACTTTGTCTAAGTGTGCAGTAGCATTATGTATAATGGAAGGTGCATGTTTTACTTCTAAAAATACTTCATTGTTAAAAAATACTGACGATCATCTCAGCCTTCAGCAAGTTGTAATCATTTTGCTGGTGCAGAGTCTTGCTTTAGTGGTAGTGGTGGCAGCTGACTGATGATCATAGTGGTGGTTGCTGACAGTTGAAGTAGCTGTGGCAATATCTAAAAGTAAGACAACAGTGAAGTTTGCTGCATTGACTGACTTATTTTTTTCAAAAGATTTCTCTGTAGCATACAATGCTGTTTGATAGACACATAACCAACAGTAGAATGTCTCTCAAAATTGGAGACAATCCTCTCAAATGCTGCTACTGCTTTATCAATTAAGTTTGGTAATATTCTCAATCATTTGCTGTTATTTCAACAATATTCACAGCATCTTCACCAGGAGTAGTTTTCTTCCAAATAAGCCACTTTCTTTGCTCATGCATAAGAAGCAACTTCTCATCCCAAGTTTTGTTCTAAGATCACAGCAATTCATTCCCATTTTCAGGCTTCACTTCCAATTCTATTTCTCTTGCTATTTCCATCATATCTTCAGCTACTTTCTCTACGGAAGTCTTGAACCCCTCAAAGTCATCCATGAGGGATGAAATCATGTTCTTCCAAACTCCTGTTAGTGTTGATGTGTTGACATCTTCCCATGAATCACAAATGTTCTTAGTGGCATGGAGTCTAGTGAATCCCTTCCAGAAGGGTTTCAATTTACTTTGCCTACATCCATCAGATAAATCACTATCAGTGGCAGTGATGGTCTTATGAAATGTATCTCTTAAGGAATAAGACTTGAAAGCAAAAATTAATTATGATACATAGACTGCAGAATGGGTGTTTTGTTAGCAAGTATGAAAACAGTATTAATCTCCTTGTACATCTTCATCAGAGCTCTTGGGTAACCAGGTGCATTGTCAATAACCAGTAATATTTGAAAGAAATGTTTGAGCATTAGGTATCAACAGTGGGCTTAAAATATTCAATAAACCATGCTGTAAATAGATGTGTTGTCATCCAGGCTTTACGTTTCCATTTACAGAGCACAGGCGGACTAGATCTAGCATAATTCTTAAGGGCCTTAGAATTTTCAGAATGGTAAATGAGTATTGGCTTCAACTTAAAGTCACTAGAAGCATTAACCACTAACAAGAAAGGCAGCCTGTCCTTTGAAGCTAGGTATTGACTCCTCCTCTTAGCTATGAAAGTCCTAGATGGCATCTTCTTCCAATAGAAGGCTGTTTTGTCTACACTGAAAATCTGTTGTTTAAGATAGTGCCCTTCATCAAGGATCTTAGCTCGATCCTTTGGATAATTTGCTACAGCTTCTTCATCAGCACTTGCTACTTCATCTTCTATTTTTATGTTATGAAAATGGCTTTTTCCCTTAAACCTCATGAACCAGCCTCTGCAAGCTTCAAACATTTCTTCTGCCGCTTCCTCACCTCTCTAAGACTTCACAGAGTTAAGCAAAATCAGGGCCTTGCTCTGGATTAGGCTTTGGCTTAGAGAATGGCGTGGCTGCTTTGGTCTTCTGTCCAGATCACTCAAACACTTTCCATATCAGCAGCAAGGCTGTTTCCTTTCTTATTATTCATGTGTTCACTGGAGTAGCACATTGACTTTCCTTCAACAACTTTGTGTGTACATTCCCAAGTTGGCTAACCTGGTGCAAGAGGCCTAGCACTTGGTCTGCCTTGGCTTTCAACGTGCTCTCCTAACTAAGCTTGATCATTTTCAGCTTTTGATTTAAAGTGAGAGACATGTAACTCTTTGTCTCACTTGAACAGTGATAGGGTTATTAATTGGCCTAATTTAAATATTGCAGTGTCTCAGGGAATAGGGAGGCCCAAGAAGAGGAAGAGAAATGGGGGAATGACAAGTTGGCGAAGCAGTCAGAACTGACACAGCATTGACTGATTAAGTTAACCATTTTATACAGGCAGATTTTGTGGTGCCCAAAAACAATTGCAATAGTAACGTCAAAGGTCACTGATTCTGATCACAGATCATTATAATGACATAATAATAATGAAAATGTTTGGAATATTTCTGGAATTACCAAAATGTGACACACAGACACAGTGTGAACACATGCTGTTAGAAGTGTGAAGCTGATAGACTTATCTGACGCAGGGTTGTGACAAAACTTTCATTTAAAAAAAAAACACACACTATGTGCAAAGCACAGTAAAATGAGTTGTGCCTGTACTTACCTACAAACAGCAAGCTGCCCTTTCTTCCCCCTTTATCCCATGCTGTGGTTCTCCACTGACATCAGCATCCATGCAACTTCCGTCATCTCATACATAATGCAGGATAATTTTGGCAGGCACTGATTGGCCATCCAAGAGCCATTTGGGGGAATGCTCAGGAGAAGCTGTGCATCACAGTGGGATGATTTAAGCAGTATTCATAGGCCTGCCTCGCCTTTCTTGTTATTTTCTCCTGGACTTCCCTAGTATTTACAATTTCTATTAGTAGATAAGCCCCTTTGTCTATGATTTATCCACTAGGCTATGTCAAAATGGACAGTGCTAGAGTCAATGTAGAGAGCTGTCTTGGAGTCTAGTACATGAAATACTTCAGTGAATTTTCGAACATGGACAACCAATAAGTGATTGAAATGCAGACAGATCCTTGAAAATTAGGTAAGAGTACAGTTGTGTTTTAGAGACCTAGAGGAGAGAACTAAACCTTCTGAGATATGGGTCTGATCACAGGAGAATGGACTCAAAGTGAAGGATAAAAGCAAAAGGCATGGGATGGGGACAGTGGAGTGAGAAAAACAAAACTAAAAACAAAGCTGGTGTTACCAGATATGGGGAATCCCTGAAAACAAATATCCACTTTTGACTGTGTCAAGGACTATTCCAGGCACAGATATTTGTGACCAGTGCATTCAATTTCAACTTGGAAATTCTGCATAAAGGCCTACTACACAGGTGCTAACTCATAAATTCAGAAGTTACAGATAATGGGACCACATACAACCTGAAACACTTGATGGTGGGCCCCCAGGTTTGTCCCAGCTGTCGTGGCAGAGCCTAGAGAAAGCCAGCTTCTACTCCCCCACCCTCCAACACTGGACACCTTCATTATACATGGGCCACTCTTCTGTGGGCAGGAATAGAAAGACCTAAACCAGACATGGAAATTCAAACTATTCACAGCATCCACTAACTTTTTCATTCATTCAAGAAATCGTTGTTGAGTGCATACTTTGGGCCAGGTCCTGCTTTAAGCACAGAGCATCAGATAGTAAACAAAAGTGAAAAAACAGATTCTGTGGTGTCTGACTAGCCACTACAGGCAAGGTGCATGCAAGGAAAGATGTATCAATACTGCCCCAGAGAAGCACCTGGTCTAGTGGACAATAACATGCATGTGCATGAATAAGCATATTGGGAAGTAACACACACTCTAAGGCATTTGAGTGTCCCTGAAAGACAGGCAGGAAAGGGTGGGAGGAAGATATTCTGTTTGCAAGTGACAGCGGATATTCCGTGCTGGAGGGAGCATGGGAGCTGGACCTTGATGACGTGAAGAGTACACATGTGGGAAGTAGAGTCACAGCTTCCCATATGGAGAAATTTGTCTATGCCGCATCAGAAGGGTAGAAAAGAAGAGAGACGTACTGGAGAAGACAAATTCATAGATGATCAGAACTTAAGAAGCGGGAACAAAAACAATGGGAAGTGGATTTGGGTCAGACTGTGCCCAGTCTGAAGTCTCAGCTTCAGGATCAACAGAAGGTCTGATGGGAGAAGGGTAGGCAGATTTTTGTTTTTGAGAATAATGAGTTTTGCAAATAGATAACCAAATATAATTAGTATAATTTCATAAAATTGAAAGTCAATAGGGCTTAAAGGGATAAATATAAAGTGGCCTTTGTGCTTAAATCCAGTAATATTGTCATTTTGTCGTGTTATTATTTTATTTTGACAATTATTCAGCAACCACTAACTCACTGACCTCCCTTTCATCCTCAGATAGTAAAGATCTAAAGTTTATCTGTACTTTAATCTGAATGATCTGAAATCCCAAGATGCTAATTTTTTAAAACAGATGATATATAAAAATACACATCTCTTTTATTTAGGAAAAATAAAGGCAGAAAACAACCAAAGATATTATGTGCCAAGGAAGGGGCCTGACAGTTCCCTGATGTGTGGGTTGTGATGTTCATTTGTCAAGTCCACCTTTCATTCAACAGGAAAACACACCCAAACATATGTGATTGACTTCCGTATGTGTGCAAGACCTAAATTATATTAATTACACTACTTATATTAATCTTGCTTCTTCTAAATTGCTATTGATTAATAAACCACATAGTTGCACTTCTAACTAATTTTCTAACCAATCTCCCTGTAAATTAAACACAAAATACACACACACACACACACACAAACACACATACATTTTTTCGAGAACCAAGAAACCACTGATTAGTAGTATGAACACTTTAATAGAGTGCTGTTTTAAAAAATGTAAAAGAAACTTAAAACCATACTTATTTAAATAAATTCTGCAAGCCACTTTAAGCTGTGGAAATTTAAGGTTGTCAATATATTGAATCCTAATTAAGCATTAGAAGTACAAGTATATTGGCAAAACATTACACATGTAAAACTAATCTCTTGGATTTTACATTTATGCCCAAGAACAAATATGGTTCCTGAAATGTGCTACTAAAACCACAAAGCGCCTGTTTTTATGAATTCAAATTGCTTCGTATCATTGTTAGAGGAAGTGACTTAGACTCATGTCCCTTTGACATTTACAAGGCCCATGACTGGACAGAATTCAGCAAGAGCTCCTTATTCCTCAAATCCCCACGGTTTCATTACCAACTCCTCAGATCATTTTGAAGACAGTGCTCACTGAGAACAGGCCAGAGGGGCCAGAGAGGGAGAAGATGCATGTGATTATAAAAAGAGAATAATGGGAGAATGAGTGAATCAAAAGTGCTCTTGAAGATGGTAAATAATCCACTCACAGCCAGTTAATCTGAGCTTATTCAAGTAGTATGCTGGAAAATACTACAGTATGCATTGATCAGTCTCCTGTCTAAAATATTTTTTTCAGTAACATTTGTGATGGTTTACTTAGGAATCTAATTATAAAGAGAGACCTCAATAGTTTAATGATAAACTGTACATTATTTAAAAAAAAACAAGTGTTGAAAATAAAAACCTCAAAAATCCTGCCAAAATTAAACATTTGGTTTAGCAAAATATTGACTACATGTGATCATCATATACAGATTTAGCCATCATGTCCTATGTTGCTAAATCTTCTCTCAGTTTTCAAGCTGATTTCAAAAAAAGATTGAAATAGTATTTTGTTCTAATAATAAATAGATTGATAAAATAATTGTTTTTGTGCGACAGTACTGTTGTCTTCTCTTTTATTGTTAAGTTCTGGTTGTTTTTAAAATGCAGCATACTGTCATGCAATTAGAAAACACATTCATACATGAGTGAAATATTTTTAAATTATTCTTGCCATTTTAAACATTTGATACCAGTCTTAGTTTGGACTGCTATAAAAAAAATGCCACAGTCTGGGTGGCTTAAACAATGCACATATATTTCTCACAATTCTAGAGACCTGGAAGTCTAAGACCAAAGCACCTGCGGATTCAGTGTCTGGTGAGGGCCTACTTCCTGGTTCATAGGCGGCCGACATCTCCTTGTATCCTTACATGGCAGAAAGGGGTCAAGAAAGTTCTCTGGGATCTCTTTTATAAGGGCCCTAATACCATCTGTTAGGGTTCCACCCTTATGACCTAACCATCTCCTGAACGCCCCACCTTCTAGTACCATCACACTGGGGGTTAGGATTTCAGCATATGAATAAGGCGGGTGAGCATGAACATTTATTGCAATGCCATGGACAACTTCATTATGTAAACAAAATATATGGATGTTATTTTACTACACATAACTTAAATGTACTCAAAACACTTAGTATGTTCTATATTGTCAACTACTCTACTTGAATGGTGAAAGAGAACCATATTCTTCAAAATGATAACACTTTAATGTAGCTCACTTCAAAGAAAAAATATTTTGTTCAAAATATGTTCTAAAAAGTTAAGAAACAAAAAATGTAGTCTTATGTTGATATCATTGGCAGAATTTCTAACCAAAAGATTATTTAAGTCAGTGAAAATTGTCAAAGTTAGAGAATAATTTTTTTTTTTTTTATGGAGGGAGTTTCTTTGGTGTTTCTAAGTCAGAATATAGTTTTACTGCTTAAATAATAGGGTTTTTGCTGGGTCCAGTGGTTCATGCCTGTAATCTCAGCACTTTGGTAGCCCAAGGCAGGTGGACTGCTTGAGTGAAGAAGTTCAAACTCAGCCTGGGAAACATATTGACTAAAAAAAAAAAAAAAAAGCTGGGCTTGGCGGCACGTACCTGTAGTCCCAGCTACTTGGGAGGCTGAGGTAGGAGGATGCTTGAGCCCTGGAGGTCAAAGCTTCAGTGAGCCATGATTTTGCCACTGCACTCCAACCTGAACAACAGAGCAAGACAGTGTCTCAAAAAATAAGGGGGGTTTCCAAAAGTAAAGACATTAAGCATAATTTTTTTCTGATTTGGGCAAACATGGAATGGCATAGCTTTAGGAGAGGATGTCAGTGGGCAGTCATATCCAGGCTGGGTAATGGCAAGCAAGGGAATGGACCAGGAGCACCATGACAAAGAGGTTCACTTCTAGGCTTGGAGCAGATATTAAGAATCCAAGCACAAAGTAAAGTTTGCAAATTTGCATGGGTCATGAAGTATGTATGAAGAACAGGCACAAGAGAGGAACTTCAGACAAATAAAGAAGTAAAGACCCTACAGAAAGAACCACTCACAGATTTACAGCAAGAGAAGTAAATCTCTAGTACTAACCCTACACCAAGTCATGACAGAGACGATCTGTGATTTTCTGCCCACACCTTTTGTATTTATTCTCCAGTAGTATCAACATCCCCAGGGTTTCCTAATAAATCAGGCAGTTTCAGACGTCTTTGCCACTGTACATTTTCCTTGTGTTGCATGTGCATTCCTCCATGCTCCGTGTAGCCAGAGCATCCATTCAACAGTCTGGATGGGAACTCTCAAAGCCTAGGGGCAGCTTAAGGGCTTGTGTAAGTAATCGAGTCCTGAACCATGTTCTCCATCCAAAATTTTACATGAAAAATTGCAAGATTATAATTGACACACACTATGTCTACAACATATATAACATGGCTGGGCTCTTTGCCTCCACCCAAATCTCACCTTGAATTATAATAATCTAATCCCCACGTGTTGTAGGAGGGAACCGGTGGGACGTAATTTGTTCGTGGGGGTGGGTCTTTCCCATGCTGTTCTCATGACAGTGAATAAGTCTCACGAGATCCGATGGGTTTATAAAGGGGAGATCCCCTGCATATGCTCTCTTGCCTGCCGCCATGTAAGATGTGACTTGCTCCTCCTTGCCTTCCATGATTGTGAGGTCTCCCCAGTCATGTGGAACTGTGAGTCAGTCAAACCTCTTTCCTTTATAATTACCCAGTCTCAGTTATGTCTTTATTACCAGCATGAGAACAGACTAATACAATATACATTATGTCAATTTCATTATCTAATATGTTTATAAGTCTTAATTTCTAAATATTTCATTATATTCATAACCAATTCATATGCTGTATGTCCTTAGTTTCATACTTGCTTAGCCAATTTTCCATAATGATTTCTGAGAAAGCACAGCTGACCATAACTAATATCTCAAAAGAAAAATTATACAATTCCTTTAAAACTTAAAGCAAAACAAATAATTGTATGTAGATATGTAGATATGGATTCCCTGAGTGCATTTTATAAAATCTGTGCATTGGTTAGTTAGAGTTAGGGTATGGGGAGTAGTCTAAACAGAGGCCTTGAGGATTTGTAAACAGCCTTGCTCCCCTTGGGAGCCTGGTTAACAACTCATTATTGAACACTGTTTAGGTGTCAACTCTTCTGAAAAGCCTTTCCTAATCCCCTCAGACAGTCACTCTTTTCACTTGATTTCTCCTGTATCTGCCACATTCTGCTGTAATTATTACACTGTGCTTCCCCTCCCAGATTATGGCTTCTTGGCATTAGTATCTACATTTTTTTCTTTCTTTTACTCCCAGAACCTGTCCAAAATCCTAAAAAACACATAGGGCTTAGTAAATACTTGTTGAATTGAATTAAATTTAGACAAAACTACCAACACCAAAACAAGAATTAAAAAACTAAAAGGAAAGACAAGACAGCATTTCAATACTTAAAAAATTTAGCAACAAGACCAAAGCATAGTTGGAGGTTTGTTTCTTGGCCAGAGAATTTTGCCATCTTTTTTTCCTAGCTAGAGAACTTTTGCCAAGTGCCTAAGTTAAAAAAAAAAATCAATGAGCCCTTATTCCTCAACCAACTTGTAATGAGAGCTTACTCTTTATAATGGCCTATCCTATCTAGTGGGGACAGAGGAGGAAGTAAAATTCCTCAGAAAGTTTATAGCCAGTAGTGAAAATCTAATGAAAATATAAACCTTAATATTTGACAAATAGTACAGTAATGAAATATTCACAACAGTTTGGGAGAAGAGTTTCTAAGAAAAGGCTCAAGGTAACTCAAGGCAAGTGAAATTTGCACTGTATATTGAAGAATAAATAGAACTCCACTGACTTGGAACAGAGGCAGACAAGGCAGAAAAATATATAAGCAAAGGTAGAATGAAGTGGGAATTTCCAAATCGTCTCGTATGACTGAAAGGAAGGAGAGCTAGCCACCACAGGAGATGAAAGCAGATGCATGGTTGGCCCCCATTGATAGGGTTTTCTTGCTAAGCTTGTATTTCATACTATAGCAAACCATCAAATGTCTCATTTTTGCATACAGATACATGTGTACTTGTACGAGTACTTACAAAGATGTAGCTCTCATATGGGAACATAAATTAAACTAAACAGTAACTTATCTAATAGACACATAAATATGGGTGGTTAAAGAGGGTGAATTTTGAAGCCAGTTCACTTGAATTCAAATTCTGGCTCTTCCCCTTAATAAATGAATAATCTTGAACATGTTACTTCATCATTTTATGCCTTGGTTTACTAATATGAGTGAATGGGATGGTAGTAATGACCTCAGTAAAATATTGTGTTAAGTCATGTAAAATCCCTGGAAGAGGACCTGGCAAAAGTATTCAATCAGTTGTATTCATGGTCTTTCTGTAAAGCATGTGAGCACCTCAGAGCAGGAATTGTTTCTTGCACTCACGTTTCCATCTTTCACATAAACAAGCAATTTTAGGCTCCCCTGTTCTCATGGGTTTTGCGTCTAAAGATTCAGCCAATCACAGATGAAAAATGTTCTGAAGAAAAGGACGGTTGCATCAATACTGAACATGTTTAGATTTTTGTTATGTCATTATTCCTTAAACAGTACAGTGTAACAACTATTTACATAGAACTTACACTGTATTTATTATAATGTAATCTAGAGATTAATTAAAATATAGTAGAGGATATGCATAGATTATGTAGAAATGCCATATTATTTTATATCAGGGACTTGAGCATCTGCTGATTTTAGCATCCACTGGGGTCATGCAACCAATCCTTCACTGATAGCAAGGGAAGATTGTATAGGAATTTAGCCAATATATGTTAAGAATCTGATAGAGGAAAATACTAAAAATGTCTAGATAAACTTACTTTTTGGGGGCAATTAATCTGTCCACTTCTTGCATCTTAAATCTTTTTATTAAAGCTGTGCAAAACCATTTTGCATTCCACATGATGGCAGGTCTCCCCTGGGTCTGCATTTGGCCACTCTCTAGTTCCTCAGTTTGTAGTGTTTGAGGTAATTCACTATTTCCCTGAGACCTACTCGTTTACTCTGCTAAGTTCTGCAACCATTTTCAGTGCAGTTCCATCATGTATCAGCATTTTCTCTCCCTATTCTTACTCTGCAAGTGCATTGGGTTAAAGAACATGTTATGTCTGCATCCCAAAACCTAGCATAACGCTCTGCACAACTATGTGCAAAGTTAGCAAAGTAACTGCTAACTGTTAGTAGAGTCACAAGCATGTTCAAAGCTAGCAGAGTAACTAAACAGTCTCAAGAAATAGTGAATAACCTCAGACATTACAAAACGAAGACCTAGAGAGTGACCAAATGCAGAGCCAGGGGAGACACTACTGTCATATGGAATGGAGACATGGAGAACATGCTTGATATGGTTTGGCTCTTGCCCTCATCAAAATCTCATCTTGAATTATACTCTCATAATTTCCATGTATTGTTGGAGGGACCTGGTGGGAGGTAATTGAATTATGGGGGCAGGTCTTTCCTGTGCTGTTTTGTGATAGTGAATAAGCCTCACAAGATCTGATGGTTTTATAAGGGGGAGTTTCCATGCACAAGCTCTCTCTTTTGCCTGCCACCATCCACACAAGATGTGACTTGCTCCTCCTTGCCTTCCACCATGATTGTGAGGCCTCCCTAGACATGAGGATTAAGTCCATTAAGCCTCTTTCTCTTGTAAATTGCCCAGTCTGGGATATGTCTTTATTAGCAGCATGAAAACAGAGTAATACAGTAAATTGGTACCAGTAGAGTGGGGCACTGCTGAAAAGATACCCGAAAATGTGGAAGTGACTTTGGAACCGGGTAACAGGCAGAGGTTGAAACAGTTTGGAGGGCTCAGCAGAAGATAGAAAAATGTGGGAAAGTTTGGAACTCCCTAGAGACTTGTTGGCTGGCTTCAACTAAAATACTGATAATGATATGAACAATGAAATCCAGGCTGCAGTGGTCTCAGATGGAGATGAGGAACTTGTTAGGAACTGGAGTGAAGGTGCGCTTCTTGCTATGTTTCAGCAAAGAGACTGGAGGCATTTTGCCCCTTTCCTGGAGATTTGTGGAACTTTGAACTTAAGAGAGATGATTTAGGGTATCTGGTGGAAGAAATTTCTAAGCAGCAAAGCATTCAAGAATGCTGTTAAAGACATTCAGTGTTATAAGGGAATCAGAGCATAAAAGTTTAGAAAATTTGCAGCCTGACAATGTGACAGAAAAGAACATCCCATTTTCTGTGGAGAAATTCAAGCTCACTGCAGAAATTTGCATAAGTAATGAGGAGCTGAATGTTAATCCTCAAGACAATGGGGAAAATGTCTCCAGGCCATGTCAGAGGCCTTCATGGCAGCCCCTCCCATCACAGGCCTGGAGGCCTAGGAGGAAAAAATGGTTTTATGGGCCAGGCCCAGGGCCCCCTTGCTCTGTGCAGCCAGGGACTTAAAGCCCTGCATCCCAGCCATTTCAGCCATGGCTAAAAGGAGCCAAGGTATAGCTTGGGCTTTTGCTTCAGAAGGATACAAGCCCCAAGCCTTGACAGCTTCCACATGGTGTTGAGCCTGCAGGTATACAGAAGTCAGGAATAAAGGTTTGGGAACCTCTGCCTAGATTTCAGAGGATGTATGGAAATGCCTGGATGCCCAGGCAAAAGTTTGCTGCAAGAGTGGGGCCCTCACGGAGAACCTCTGCTAGGGCAGTACAGAAGGGAAATGTGGGGTTGGAGCCCCCAAGCAGAGTCTCTACTGGGGCACTGCTTGGTGAAACTGTGAGAAGAGGGCCACTGTCCTCCAGACCCTGGAATGTTAGATACACAGACATCTTGCACCATGTTCCTGGAAAAGTCATAGACACTCTACGGCAGGCCATGAAAGCAGCCAGGAGGGGGGCTATCCCCTGCAAAGCTACAGAGGCAGAGCTGCCCAAGACCATGGGAACCCACCTCTTGCATCAGTGTGACATGGATGTAAGATATGGAGTCAAAAGAGATGATTTTGGAGCTTTAAGATTACATGCCCTGCTGGATTTTGGAATTGCATGGAGCCTGTAGCCACTTTGTTTTGGCCAATTTCCACTTTGTTTGGCCATTTCGAATGGCTGTATTTATTCAATGCTTGTGCCTACCCCCATTGTATCTAGGAAGTAACTAACTTGCTTTTGATTTTACAGGCTTATAGGTGGAAAGGGCTTGCCTTGTCTCAAATGAGACTTTGGACTGTGGACTTTTGAGTTAATGCTGAAATGAGTTAAGACTTTGGGAGGCTGTTGGAAAGGCATGATTGATTTTGAAGTGTGAGGACATGAGATTTGACAGGGGCCAGGAGTAGAATGATATGGTTTGGCTCTGTGTCTTCACCCAAATCTCATCTTGAATTGTACTCACATAATTCCCACATGTTGTGGGAGTGACCCATTGGGAGGTAATTGAAGAATAGGTGCAGGTCTTTCCTGTGCTGTTTTCATGATAGTGAATAAGTCTCATGGGATCTGATGGTTTTATAAGGGTGTGTTTCCCTGCACAAGCTGTCTCTTTTTGCCTACCACCATCCATGTAAGATGTGATTTGCTCCTCCTTGCCTTCTACCATGATTTTGAGGCCTCCCCAGCCATATGGAATTGTAAGTCCATTAAACCTCTTTCTTTTGTAAATTGCCCAGTCTGGAGTAGGCCTTTATTAGCAGCATGAAAATGGACTAATACAATGCTTTTAAACTCTTTGTAGAGAATGACCCACATGAAGATGTGACAGGTCATGTCAGCTGCACTGCTGATGCTCTTTACTATTTGCTTTCTAGGTGGAAGGTTATGGTGCTTCCTACTCAATAGCTATTACTCCTTCCTGGCTGGTTTAGGGCTCTGTGTAGAGAGCAAGCTTCCCCTCTCTCTCGTGCTTCAGCGGCACAAGTCTCAGATTCACCTCTGTGCTCTCTGCTTGGTGCCTCTCCCTGCCTCTTCCTTTGGCTCCCTCATTCTTTTCTCTCTGAGACTGAGGGAACTTCCATGACTTTTTCATGAGAACCAGTGTGCAAAATTCCTGGGAACACCCCAGAAGGAAAGGGGTCAACACAACCGCAGACAGTAGTTTAGTCATGTGAGGAAGACAAATGAGTAGATCAGCCTTAGATTAGTCCCTGGCTCTGCCACTTCACAGGGCAGGTCACCAGGTAGCATGAATGTCTGGCCTTGTCAGAGAAAATGAAAAGAACAGATGAGACTGTTGGAAAGACTTGAAAGACTTAGAAACACATCAATACCTGTGGGAAATATTTTGATAAGAGGTATTTCTGAAGCTGACTGTCTGATTTAAGAAGAAAAATATCTTGAAGAACAACTCGAGTTTAGATGAATATTTTATGGAAAAATCTCCTTATAAATTAAAAAATATATATATCTTCGTGTTTTTACCAAATTAGTTCATGTTGGCCTTCTTCGGGGAGATTTTTAGTTCTTAGAGGAAAATCTTCTCAAGTTTAACCATTGTATTAATGACTTGGAGTGAGCTTAAGTTAATAATTGCGTTTTTTAAAACTTTTCAAATCTATTTATTAAACTTATTATGTGATTACACTGAAAAATGAGCAAACAATACTGTTAAATAATGCCTAAGTAAAACAACCAGAAAAAGGAAAATAAAAATAATTTCTGAATAACAACTTGAAAGTTTCAGATTATTATTTATTTCTAGTTATTATTTTTAAAATTTTAGTCTGTTTTCTACTACTTTAAATTTAGTCAAGGAATTTAAAAGAAAAAATTATTAAGGAAAAAAATCAGCTGCTCCATACCTGTAAATAAAGGTGATGATTAATTTTGCAAACATTTCAGATGTTTGTGGTGAATATTTTCTGTTAGGCACCGTACAATAAAACGGGCATTAAACAAATGCCTACTAACGATTAAAAATATCTAGGAAACTAGTGATACCCACGAGATTTGCATGTGGCAACACATGAGATTGAGATTGCTCTCAGAAAGAAGTCAGAGCCTCGGGAAAGCCTGTCATTACATGGAAACAAGCTGGTCAGGAGGAACTCCTAGTACTTTGACCTCTGATAATCAACAAAAGAAGAATTCAGGATGACCTTACAGCTATAGAAACTCCTTACAACGTTGTGGATTGCAAAGAACATGGGCTTTGGGAGCAGACATTCTTGCTTACTACCTTAGTATTATGAACCATTCAGTGGCTTTTCAGTAAATCACCTACTATGCCACTGATAACTCACCAGCAAAATTAGGACAGTATAGCCATGTTGTTCTTACGTCTGCCACAATTTTGAGTACAAGATAGATTTCATTACTGGAAGTCCCTATTGTTATTATTAATTTTCATAATATATTTCAAAATAAATAATGCTTCACTTAGGCTGCTGAGATATCCTAGTTCTATTCTATTTATTTTTCCAATGACAGGACAGATGCTTGAAAGCAAAGGCCCAATCTACCTTCCCCCACAGTGCTGTATATAGTGAGCTGACATATACTTAAGTAGGTGAAAGTGTTTCACAGTGTCAAGTTCTGCACAAATGATACCTGGAAAATCTTAGAAATGATTTGGCTTCAGGAGAATTTGAGCCACCTACTTTGAGAGTACATCTGCCCCATGCCTTCCAGATCTCATAGAGTTCTGCAGTGTTTCTTCCCATTTAGGTAGCTCACTCAGTGATCACTCATTGGGAGCCATTGGTGTTTCTTCAAAGACCCTTTAATCCTCTTAACCACACAACACTTTAGGTCCAACTGTGGGTCTTTTTGTCCCTTAAATCTAAGCTTGATCCAGAATGTACCTCACTAAAGAATTTGTCTTCAGGCCCATATGCATCCAATAATCAGAGGTGACATGAACCCACCGCCATGTTGCTGTCTTTAGTTCCTATCTCTGTGAGCTACCGGTTGTTCCTCTGACAATCCACTTATATTTAATAACACAAGTGGACCTAAAACATAAATGGATTAGAATTTGTGTTCCCCTTTCCACATTTGAGTAAATATAATACTTAACTCTCAATTATTATTTTTAAAAGTTAAATAATTTTGCAAGTCTGAAATCAGAGTTGCTGTCATGGTCAACTGATGACTGAGCTCCTGGATTTATTAACAAACAAATAGTGTGAGTGTTTGCCAGGAAGCACACCAGCCCCAGGCGGGGTGGACTGTGAGCAGCAGTTCTCCTCTGGGTCACCACATAGTATCCTCAAAAAAAACCCTGAATGTGATTGAAACCTTTAGGATTATTAACAACTGGGACCTATAGATGTGCCAAATCTGAATTTTTGTTGTCTATTAACACTATGTTTTGAAATTTTTCTACACACAAAAAATTAGTAATTGAAGGTATACCTTGACTAGAGTATGGAGGATAAAGGTAATATGAGATGCAGTGTCCAGGATCAAGATTTGAATACTGGCTTTATCATGGATTAGCTGGCAATTTGTCTAGTTTTTCTGAGTCAGCTTTTCACCTTGAAAATTGAGCATGTAATTATTTTCCTCATTAGCTTTTTGTGGAATAATAATAGCAACAATAAAACAAAACATAAACAAAATTTAAAAATCCAGCACATTGCTTTTCTCATGGTAATTACCAAACAATGTTTTCTTCTTCTGTTAACAGAAAAGTCAGCGTTTCCTTTCCATCTCTGGACAACTTAGATTTTTAGATAGTTATATTTTACAAAGAAGTCAAAAATTTCCTAAGACATTCCATCAACTGGTCTTAGTTTAATTCCTTCAAATCAGAAAGCATCAGTGTCATTCTTTTTGCCACTGGATTGTTGTTGATGTATAAAGTTAGTAATTTTTTATCCTCAGCCTTTTTCATCAAGCTAAGGGTTCAGAATTTTCTTAATCAGGACTTAAAATATATGATTTAAAATCTCTCACTTTTGTAGTTATTTTAATTTGCACAGCTTTTGGTGTACTGAGATCTCTCTTACAAGTGTGGACCTGGACTAGTGGAGGTATTCTAACCAGAGGCAAAAGGCACTTTTTATGAGCCACAGGACCCACTCCCCTACCCTCCAGCCCAGGTATTTGTGGGCTGGTGAATGATGGAGACACATCAGAGAGGAGAAAAACATCTAATATACTGAAAAAAAATTCTTCAGAATAAGGAGCTAGGTGAGTCCAAATCACCATCAAGTGAATTTCAAGGCCTCTATTATTCAGAACAGGGATTTCCCAGAAAAATCAGTTTGAAAGAGACAAAGAAGGTGTTGTCAATGGCATTTGTAAATTTGAAATCTCAGTGAATTGTGAGCCAAATAAAAACCATCCATAGAACACTGGGTTTATTTAAAAGTTCTGCAACAGATAAATACCTGAATATGTCTAAGAATTTTTTTTTTTTAGATGGAGTTTCGCTCTTGTTGCCCAGGCTGGAGTGCAATGGCACGATCTCTGCTCACTGTAACCTCTGCCTCCCAGGTTCAAGTGATTCTCCTGCCTCAGCCTCCCAAGTAGCTGGGATTATAGGCATCTACCACCACGCCTGGCTAATTTTGTATTTGCAGTAGAGATGGGGTTTCTCCATGTTGGCCAGGCTGGTCTCAAACTCCTGACCTCAGGTAATCCTCCTGCCTTGGCCTCCCAAAGTGCTGGGATTATAGGCATGAGCCACTGGGCGCAGCTGTCTAAGGATTTTTTAAGTGATAAAAACACCTGTATAAAATTTAATAGTTATTAGATCCATAAACAGAAATACAATGAATGAATAAATGTGTATGTGAGCACACATGCAGCCTCTGCTGTGGGCTTCAGTGGGGATACAGAGACAGCACCAATGCATGGGCACACCTGACAGCCAGCCCTGGTGGAGCTGACTGGGAGGCCATCTGCCCCTCAGTATTTCCCTAACCTAGCATGGAGAGCTGAACAACTTTGCACTTGGAGTCATTGCAACCTGAGATTTACATTTAGCTGTTTCCAGTGACAGGTGCATCCTGGCAAGTTTTTCAAAATACATGAGCTTCATTTTCACATATGTACAATGGGATAGTAACGTTGATCTCAAAACTCATTGAAAGTGTGCACATACTACCTCTTCCATGGGGCCTCCCCCATTCTTGTAAACAAACCCAGGGGAGGCCACTTATATCTGGTCTTTAAGTGACAACAGGACACAGTATGTGAACATGTGAACATGGCATATGGAGGCAGTTAACATCAAATATCCATGGTATTTTTGCTGTTCAAAAAATCATGTTTATTTATTCTTTACAAACAATAAAAAATTATTAATGGTTTGCAATAATCCTTTCAAGCACTTCATACACAAGGCACGGTTCTGCATGCTGAGAGCACTGAAGCAAGCAAGCCAGAGCTCCGGAGGGGAGACGGATAATAAACAGGCAGCAGACACATAGGAGGTGATTTTATATTGATGAACTCAGTGAAGAAATGCAACCTGGAGGTAATACTTTAAGAGGTCAGAAGAAAGGAGGTGATGCTTGAGATGAGACCTACCTGGCAGCAAGAGTACCGCCATTGCAAACACTGGAGATGGAGGCACGCCGTGATATGTGCTCCATGGGCTCACAGTTCATTGCGGGAAACAGCCAGGTTGACAATGATACTAACAATCACAATGCCCTGTAAATGTGAATGAAGTGGTTCTTGCTCATAGAGAACCCAGGTGGACCGGCCACACTGAAAGGGGCATATGTTCACAGCTCATGAAAGTGCTGTGTGCGAAATAAGAAAGTACAACTAATTGCAACTGGGCCAAAGACCACGTCTTGTTTGTTAAGAGCCAGACACCGAGGCAGTGAAAAGGAAGGAAAGACAATTTACCCTGCGCCCACGACGGACAGGTCATGCATTTGTTGTTAGCCTGTTCTTTCTCATCTTTAGAATGTCGATACTAATACACGACCCTCAATGTTATTTTGCTGTGAACATTTACTAAGAAAATATCCATAAAATACTGTACAATTTCAAATTTGTGCATCATATTTATATATACACCTGTGTGCATGTGTATGTATGAACCCGCACACATACACACACATAGATACATGCATACATACATATACGTATATGTAAAATATCATTCATATTTTCATTGATGTAGCATAATATGTAAACATGAATTCATACAGCAGGCTTGGAAATATGATGAGAAGGATTTTTTATTAGAAGCAAAGACAGATAGCTCAGTTTCTTCAATCCAAATTGGAGCATTTTATCTTAGACATTTTGCTAGTTTACTTACTACTGTCAAGATAATATCTGCTACTTCGGGACAGGGGTAATGTAGTTTTCTTCTTATATGACTGATAAACATCAACAATTTTTTAATGATACTTTGTGATGACTATAATATTTATGATAATCCAGATCTGTCATTTTGCATGTTTTCTTTTTATTTTTTTAACATTAGTAAACATTTGTGATGTAAGTGGAAAAAAATTAAGCGTCTATGAAAAATAACTATGCCTTCAAATTATATAAAAATATTGAGAACATTCTGGATTTCCCAGGTGATTTTAGCACAGATAGATTCAACACTAAACCCACAGTAAGATAAAATGGCCAGAATTATTTTCAAGACATAATTATGTTTTTTATTGCAGGCATAATTATTTTTAATTGTAACCAAATTTGTGGGAATGCATGAAAATGCAAGAGTACATGAACAGACCGTTATAATACTTAGAAGATGGCAATTTCTGTGTAACAAACCATACTCATTGTGCTCTTGAAACTGCTTCCTTGTAGATGAAAAGTGGATCGAAGAGATTTTAGTATGTATAGTCTAGGTCCAGATCATTATTTGGTGAATATATGAGATTTTCTTGAGCACTTCAGGTCATTTTAACCGAAAATATGCCACCATGAACTGTAGAGAATCCCACAAAAGGATTTCAGACCAAGCTGGTGGCATGATAACATGATTAAATCATTGATCTAGCTGAATGACTGCAGGCCATTAAGAAAGAAACTCCTGTTGAACAAAATTAGCAAAATTATTTAATTACTGATTAAAGATATAAGCAAGTGACATGGGTTACGATTTTAGCCTTGGGCTTCTTAATTTCTTTTTCTTGTAATTGGGAGGGTTCTATTACAGATCTTTATTTTAAATGATTTTTTAGTTAAAAGCAAAAAAAAAAAAGTCCTTCAGCTTTTATATAACCACACTATGTACATGTATAAACATGCATATATATGTATATATATATATATAAACATGCATAGAGACAGAACATATATATACAACATATAAATCAAAGAGAGCTTTAAATGAAATACAATAAAATAGAAACAGCAGTTTTCTTTAGAGAGTGGGATTATACGTGACTTTCTTATTCTCTTTATATTTTTTAATTGTCCTTTTAGCTTACTTAGTGAAACATGTTGGTTTTATTGTTTGAAAATATGTAAATCCTATCTCTTTTTTTTTTGCTATGAACGTGTTTAGATTTTCCTGAGGTGCAGGAATTCTTCAGTGCTGACTACTCCTAGAACAGCATAACTGATGTAACCCTTTCCCTGCTGTTGACATGTGTCACATCACATTAGTGATTAAAAATGCATCATTTCTTGGAATCCAATGTTAAGGTACATAATGTTTTTTAAGAATTGATAATTCTGTATCTTGCTCAAATTTCTAGTAAATGTCCATTTTCCCCCTCCACATCGTTATATTTAAACTTAAGTAAAATAATCAGCACCTAACAGGCATGTGATAATTCACCCTGCATTATACTAAATCATGTTTGTCTCATTGCTTAATTGTATGGGCTTTGGAAGCATGTTTAGCAGTAATAACCTGTTTCCTAAATGTAGAGTAAATGGTTTGTATGGGAATCATGTAAAAGCAGAGAGACTGGTTAGAATATAGTTAACATTTTTTTTAACTTGGTCGTGACACATCTATTTCTCTTGAGCTGGTAGGGAGCCCATGTATCACTGGTG
This sequence comes from Homo sapiens, assembly GCF_000001405.40. Classification (NCBI taxonomy): domain Eukaryota; kingdom Metazoa; phylum Chordata; class Mammalia; order Primates; family Hominidae; genus Homo; species Homo sapiens. The sequence goes on along the minus strand of NC_000002.12, from coordinate 4,805,800 downwards.
TTTTTTCTGTCTATGGCTGGTTGCCCTGGATGTACTGCCATCTCCTTGGGAGAAAGGATGATAGGCCCTGCCCCTGGAGTTTCTGACCCCAATACAGGGTCCACTGTTTTTCTCCTTCTCCTAAAAGAAACTCAAGAATGCTCTCGTACATGTCTCTCAGGCTAGTATAATCCATTCTGGAACCAAAACGTTTGATTAATTATTTCATTTTTGTACTTAGATTCTGGGGGGTCTCCTGTGGGGCAGGCTGAGACCGTCCTCCATAGAAAGGAAACTGGCCCTTGTCTGGGGTCTGAGAACTTGGCTGGTGACCAGCTGCCCAAGCTCTTATAACATCTTCCCTGAATGGTAAGAGTGGCTCACTGAGCCTGACCAGTGCACGCAGAATGGTCTGTGCTGAACTTTCTTTCTGGAGGTCTTGAGTGTGGGTATGAGCTAGACAGTGGGTGCCTATGTGACCAGCCCCCAGTGAAGATGCTGGGTGCTGAGTCTTTAACGTGCTTCTCTGGAAGACAGCATTCCCATATGTTATCAGGACACATTGCTGGCAAGTGTGTCCTGTGCAACCTCACTGGGAGAGAATGCTTGGAAACTTGCATCTAATTTTCTTCCAAATTCTTTCCTTTCTCTGATTTTGCATTTTATCCTTTAACTGTAAGAAATGTTAGCTATGAGTACAACTATATGCTGAGTCCTGGGAGTCATTATGGGAGTGTTGAATCTTGGGGATCCCTGAAATCCCCCTGACATAGGAATGTAGGCCTAGGATTATAAAGGATATCTTAAGTGCCTTATACTTTGTCTACAAAGAAGTGTCTATGAAAGAGCGCTTGTGGGGAATGGGTTAATAGGAGTGTTTAGAAGAAACCCAGCATTGAAAATGGACCACTGATCACCCTTCCCCCAAAGTCAGTGTATTTTCCCATCTCCTCTCCCCAAATCTATAAGTGAAGAACAGCCTTTCACAAGTAGCCTGTCATTTGTATTTCTTACCCTCTAAAGCCTTGTAAGTTTTTTGTGTTTTTTTTGTGTGTGTTTTTTTTTTTTTTTTTTTTTTTTGAGACGGAGTCTCCCTCTGACACCCAGGCTGGAATGCAGTGGCGCGATCTCGGCTCACTGCAAACTCCGCCTTCCAGGTTCACGCCATTCTCCTGCCTCAGTCTCCCGAGTAGCTGGGACTACAGGCGCCGGCCACCACGCCCGGCTAATTTTTTGTATTTTTAGTAGAGACGGGGTTTCACCGTGTTAGCCAGGATGGTCTCGATCTCCTGACCTCGTGATCCGCCCGCCTCGGCCTCCCAAAGTGCTGGGATTACAGGCGTGAGCCACTGTGCCCAGCCGCCTTGTAGGTTTTTAATATGATGAATATGAGGAATATGTGTAATGTACGTGGGTTAGGAAGCATAATACAATGAACACTAGGAATCCACCGTTTCACACAAGATGTCTACATTATCCCTCTACTGAATCTATTCAAGCACTCCTTTCTTACCCTATTGATTCTCTAGCCTCCTCCTCCAAGGTCATAATTATTCTAAACTTTGTGTTTGTTATTCATTTAATTTTTTTTTTTTTTTGAGACAGAGTTTCCCTCTGTCATCCAGGCTGGAGTGCAGCAGTAAGATCTCAGCTCACTGCAACCTCTACCTCCTGGGTTCAAGAGATTCTCCTGCCTCAGCCTCCTGAGTAGCTGGGATTGCAGGTGCCCACCACCACGCCGAGCTAATTTTTGTATTTTTAGTTAAGATGGGATTTCACCACATTGGCCAGACTGGTCTTGAACTCCTGATCTCAGATGATATGCCCGCCTCAGCCTCCCAAAGTGCTAGGATTACAGGTGTGAGCCACTGCTCCCAGCCTTCATTTGCTTTCAAAAATATATTCGATAACATATGATATATCTTTCTAGCTTAATTTTAATTCTTTTTATTAACATAAACAAAATGGTATCTTACCATACATAGTTATATAGAACTTGTTATTTTCACTGACTAGTTTGTCTTTAATCACCGTGGATGCTATTACATGTAACTGTAGTGCACTCATTTTCATCACTGTATAATACACCTTTTTGTACTTATATTTCCATTCTTCCATTATGAACATTTAGGTTCCAATTCTTATTACTAAGAACAATGCTATTATGAACAAGTTTTTGCATATGTCTCTAGCTGCACATTTGTGAAATTTTCCCTAGGGCACATACCTGGGAAAATATTTGCTGGGTCAGATTTCCAGTAAATACTAGTTTACATCGTATTGTGTCAAATAATTTCCTCAAATTTCTTGGAGAAATTTATGCAATGACATCATTTAAAAGCTTATCCTCTCTACTACTTGGTATTATCAGACTTCTTAATTTATTTTCAATTTAGCCTCTATAGAATGGCAAATTATTGTGGATAAAATATGAATCGTTTTCTGCCTGAGAATGAGGTTAGTGTGTATGTTATCACTGTTTCCTATTCTGTGAAATCATTGTTTCTGTCATTTTTCCAGTTTCCACTGGGCTATTTGTTGCTGTTTATTTAGGGATCTTTTGTTGTTAACACATATTGTTATATCTTCTTCCAGTGTGCCATTTATGTTTTTTGTTTTGTTTTGTTTTGTTTTTGTCTTTTGCTTTTTTGGGGGACAGGGTCTCACTCTGTAGCCCAAGCTAAAGTGTAGTGATGTGATCTCGGCTCACTACAGCCTCCACCTCCCAGGCTCAAGCAATTTTCCGGTCTCAGCCTCCCAAGTAGCTGGAACTACAGGCCCACATCACCACGCCCGGCTGATTTTTGTACTTTTTTTGTAGAGACAGGGTTTCTCCATGTTGCCCAGGCTGGTCTCAAACTGCAGAGCTCAAATGATCCACCTGTCTTGGCCTCCCAAAGTGCTGGGATTACAGCTACAAGCCACCATGCCAAGCCTTATGTTTGTACTTGTCTTGAATAACAAGTTTATCCAGTGGATCTTTGGTTGACTTCTTGTAAGAATTGTAGTTTTTGTGATATACTGATGGTCATAACAGTGTTTCCTAATATGTTTCCCCAAATCTATTATAACAGCTTTCTCGAGGTGTGATTTCTGTAAAAGAAACTAAGCATATTTCAAATGCACAATCTGACAAGTTTCAACTCATATATGAATGCATGAAACCATCACCAAAATCCATAGAGCAGATTCCTCACCCCAATGCTTAGTGATGCTTTCTATTCCCTTCCTCCTGTTCCTCCTCCCACCTCGTTATCCGTAACCAAGGATCTGCAATGTGTCACTATAGATTAGCTTGCATCCCGTAAAACTTTATATAAATGTAATAATAAAGTTAACACATTTTTGGCCATTTAAATTCTGCATACTTATTGGAAATGCATTTATCTTGTTTCACGTACCTACTGTTCATTCATTTTTACTGCTGAGTAATATTTTATTGGATGGGTATTTAAAAACGTGTTTGTTAGTTCAACTTTTGGTGGTTATGTTAGTTTCAGTTTTTACCTATTTCAAATAAATCTGCTTTGAACATTCATGTACCAGACTTGTATGGTCATGCACTTTAATTTCCGTTGGGTAGCTGTATAAGCGTAGAATGGCTGGATCATATGCAGGTGCACGTTGAGCACTTCAGAAAACAGCAAAACTGATTTCCAAATTTGTTGGACTATTTCACATTTTCACCAGCTGGTATTTGAGAGTTCTAATGTGTTCATATCCTTGCCAACACTTTTTATAGTGAATCTTTTTAAGTTATTTAAATTTAATACATTAATTATTGTGTTCTAATAAATCATTATTACTTATAAGTTAACATTTCAATTTTACGTTTTATTTCATTAATGATTCATAATGTTGAACAGCTTTTCAAGTGCTAATTTGCCATTCTTATTTTTTTTTTGGTGAAGTATCTGTTTAAATAATATTTTGCCCATTTTTAAAAAGTTGAGTTAAGTGAGTTGTCACAGTTCTTAAGATAGCATAGATACTGGTTTTTTGTTTGATATCTAATTTGCAATGATTTGTTTCTCTCAGTATTTGGCTCGTGTTCTCATGCTTTTGAGTGTGTTCCAAAGAGCAAAATTTGTTGTTTCTGTTGTTTTAATTTTGAAAAGTGTAATTGTTTAATTTGTTCTTTAGGGATTGCGTTTTTGATTTGAAATCTAAGAAATATTTGCCCAACCTAAGGTCAAAACAATTTTCTACTATGCTTTCGTCTTACTATTTTTTGCTGTTGATGGTAGGTTTTTAAATTTACAGGATTTTAAAATAGGTTTTATATGTTTTTCTAACTTTTAAATTTAAATATATCCATTTTTTTTTTTTTTGTATTTTTAGTAGATATGGGGTTTCACCACATTGGCCAGGCTAGTCCGGAGCTCCTGACCTCAAGTGATCCACCCATCTCTACCTCTAAAAGGGCTGGGATTACAAGCATGAGCCACCATGCCCGGCCAATATATCATCAGTTTTAAGTTTATTTTTTATAAGGTTCAAGTTAGGGTTTGAAGGCCTCCTTTTCTTTTGCTTTGTTTTATTGTATACATATCCCCAGTCATGACCAGAAAACTGACGAAAAAGTCTACAATTTCTCCATTAAATTACCTTTGCACATTTTTGGTAATTTCAGTTGGCTATATATGGGTAGGTCTGTTTCTGGACTCTTCTATTCCATTGATCTACATGTCATTTACATTTAACACCACAGAGTCTTGAAATCAGATAGTTAGTCCTCCATCTGTGTTCTTTTTTAAAAGATGTTTTGGAAGTTCTGGTCCTTTGAACTTCCATATGAATTTTCAAAACAAATATCCAGTTTTTGAAAAAAATCATGCTGAGATTTTAACTGCAATGCTTTGAATCATAAGTCAATTTGGTGGAAATGTACATATTAACAATACTGAGTCTTCGGACCCAAAACAAGGGCTGTGTGTGTGTGTGTGTGTGTGTGCACGTGCGTGATGTATTTAGCTTTTTAATTTAATTATTTCAGTGTTTTATAGTTTTCTCTTACTTTTTAAATATCTTTTAGACCTGTAAAGATGTCACTCTTTTCGTTCCTGATATTAGTAATTTGTTATGTTTTTTGTTTTTATCGTTCTGAAATGTTTATCAGTTTTATTGATTCTCGTAGAATCAGCTTTTGACATTGATTTCTGCTCTTTACTTTTTTGTTTTCTTCTTTGCCTGGCTTAAGGCAGATACTGGAATCACTGATTTAGGAATTTCACCTTTTCTAATACAGTAATCAGTGCTGTAAGTTCCTCCTAGTTGCTAGTCTAGCTACACAGCAAAAATTATAATCATTTCTATTTTCCTTTTCATTCAGTTCAAAATACTTTCTAATTCTTTTTAAATCCTTTCTCAAATACATGTAATAATTAAGGAATTATTTTTCAGTTTTAAAATACTTGGCCAGTTTCTATGTGTATCTAGTTTATCTAGTTTAATTCTACTGTGGTCTAAGAACACTTTTTTATGATTTGAATATTTTTAAATGTATTGAGACTTGTTTTAGTAATCTGAATATATTTAATTTTAGTTAATGTTCCATGTGCAATTGAAAAGTGTGTTTATTATGCTGAGGGTGGGTAGGGTGTTTCATAAATATCAACTAGATCAAGTTGGTTACAATACTATTTAAATCTTTTATATCTTTACTGATTTTTCTGCCTCTTTATTCTATGTACTATAGAAAAGCATTAAAATGTCTGAGTACTTCTGTGTATTTCTCGAGATCTCATTGTAGTTCTACTAGTTTGTTTCTTTATATATTTTAAAGCTTCATTATTATGTACAAAAATACCTAAGACTGCTTTTCCCCTTGTGAATTGGCCCTTTTGTTACAAAATTTCTCATTAGGAAATTGTTTTCATTCCTAGTAATGATCTGTGTTCTAAAATCTACTTCATCTAATTAATATAGCTACTCCAATCTGTAGTTTGATAGTGTGTATTTTACTTAACAATTTGTCTTTATACTGAAATTGGGTTTCTGTAATCAGCATATGGTTAAGATTGTTAAGTTATTTAATCTAAAACTATTCTCCTATTAATTTGATTGTTACATTTAATGCAACAATAAATGTGATATTTGGCATGTTGAAGTTTAATGTACCATTTTGCTGTTTGTTGCTATGTGTCCCATCTTTTCTTTGTTCCTCTTTCCTCTTTGTTTCATTCCTTTGGATAAATTCAGAATTTTAACAATTCCATTTTATTTTATTTATTGCTTTATTTGGTATAACATATTGTTGAGTTATTTCATGATTTGATTCATAATTTACAGTACGCATTTTTGACTTACTACAGGCTACTATCAAGTGAGATTATATCATTCCAAGTATACATAGAACTCTTAAACATTTTACTTTTACTTTCTTTCCTTCCTTTTTTTTTTTGGTTCTATTGTTATTTTATATTCTACTTTTTACAAACCCACAATATAATTCTTGTTATTTTTCTTTTAATATTCTATTCAATTATTGGTAAAGAGCTTTAAGCAATATGAAAAACTAACTTTTTTATATATACAAGTGGTTACATTTCTGGAATTCTTTATGGGGAATTTGTTTTCTGCATGATATAATTTTCTTTTTCTTCTTGTATCATTTCTTATAGTATAGGTTTTCTTTGCATGTGTAAAAAGTCTTCATTGTGCCTTAACTTTTGAATTTTTTTTTTTTTTTTTTTTTTTTTTTTTTTTGCTGAGTAGAGAATCCTAGTGGTGACAACTGGGTTTTATCTTTAAAAAAAAAAATTCAGTACTTTAACAATGTTATTTCACTGTGTTCTGACTTATACTATTTGAAATAAAAAATGTTCCAGGCTGGGCACAGTGGCTCACACCTGTAATCCCAGCACTTAGGGAGGCTGAGGCGAGTGGATTATCTGAGGTCAGGAGTTCAAGATCAGCCTGGCTAACATGGTGAAACCTTGTCTCTACTAAAAATGCAGAAATTAGCCGGGTGTGGTGGTACGTGCCTGTAAGTCCCAGCTACGCAGGAGGCTTAGGTGGGAGGATTGCTTGTACCCGGGAAGTCAAGGCTGCAGTGAGCTGTAGTCACAGTACTGCACTGCACTCTGCGCAACAGGAATGAGACCCTGTCTCAAAAAATAAATAAATAAAATTATTTTTCATGATCTCTCTCCCTCTTCTTCACTCTAATTATATGTCTGCTAGAGCCCTTGAGGGGTTCCCTATCTCAGTGACGCTCTGTTCATTTTTCAGACCTTTCCTTGTCATTAAATGTGTACAGTTTTTATTATTATATTTCTAGTTGACTAATGCTTTTTTTGGCAATGATAAATCAGTTATTATTTCCGTCTAGTGTATTTTCCATCTTAGACACTGGAGTTTTCAACTCTAGAATCTTTATTTTTGTCTTCCTATATCTTCCTTGCCTCCACTTATGTTCAGCTCAACCTCTTCATTCTTGAATAAATGGGACACATTTACAATATATCTTTTAGTGTCCATATCTATCAATTTTATCAACCAATTTTATCACATGTCATTTCTGGTCAGTTAATATTAACTGAGCTTTATTCTCAAGTGTGCGTTTGCCTGCTCCTTTGCATGCCTGCTGAGTTGCTATTGATGTCACTCATAACTTTGTGTATTTTACCTTGCTTTGTGCTAAATATTTTTGCATTTCTTTCTTCTTTTTTTTTTTTTTTTTTTTTTTTTTGAGAAGGAGTCTCGCTCTGTCACCCAGGCTGGAGTGCGGTGGCACGATCTCGGCTCACTGCAAGCTCCACCTCCTGGGTTCACGCCATTCTCCTGCCTCAGCCTCCCGAGTAGCTGAGACTACAGGCGCCCACCACCACGCCCGGCCAATTTTTTATATTTTTTAGTAGAGACGGGGTTTCACCATGTTAGCTAGGATGGTCTTGATCTCCTGACCTCGTGATCCGCCTGCCTCGGCCTCCCAAAGTGCTGGGATTACAGGCCTGAGCTATGGCGCCCGGCCATATTTTTGCATTTCTATAATTATTCTTAAGCTTTGGGATATGTTTAGGTTACTGCACAGCCATTTGATTCTTTTGGGCCTTTCAACTAGTCCCAACTAGCAAGTTGGGACTAGAGAAGCATTTAGTCTGTTTTATGCCTTGACTGGGGTGAAACCCTTCTGCACTGCTCTGTCTGCTGTTTCGTCCATTATGTGGTTCGTTACTCTGACTGGTGGGAACAGGCACTATTCCCAGCTTCTCATGAACTACGGGCACTGATTACTTTAATGCTCTTAGGGAGATGTTTCTTCAGATTTTTCCTTCATACTCATGTGCTGACAAGAAGTTTGGTGAATACTAAAGGGAAACCCTCCACAGTTCTGCAGAATTCTGCCTGTGCCACTTGCTCCTTTCCAAGGCTCTGTCCTGGGAGCTGCCATAGCCTTGTCCATCCCGGACTGTCTCCTCAACCCCTGCCAGGGTTCCCCTCCTCCACCACAACTGAGACATCCTTCTAGGTAACAAGCTGTGGGAATCAGAGTACTCACCGCGCGTCTTTCATCTTTTTCAGGAATCCCTTTGCTTCAGTGTCTGATGTGCAATGTCTTCAGAAACAGTTTCATGTGTGTCGTCCTATTATTTTTTAGTTGTTCCAACTGGGAGAGTAAATCTGGTCCCCATTATTCCATTTTACCATAAGCTAAGCTGTATCAAATTTATGTTTAAATAATATTATTATCGGTAAATATTGACAAACTTTTTTCTTTTTTTATTTCCAATTTTTATATATTTGTTAGTTTGTATCGTCTAACTGTGCCAGCTAAGTCGTTGATTTTTGTCTTGATTTTTCAACGCATATTTTATTTTCTTCCTTTTTCAGTCAATGGAGTTTTAAAAATGTAATCATTTATTGCATTTTTCCTTTACTTGATAAAATATAAAGCATCTACATCCACTTATTTTGTTACCTTTTAAATTTTAACATACACAGTTAACCAACTCTAAAGTTTATGTCTTAAGCTCCATCCCAAATAATGAAAATATTTTAGAATCTATTATGCTGATTTTTCCTTGCACCAGCTCTAAATCTCTGCACACTTCTATTATCGTAGCATTGTTGCTGGTATGGTGTGTTGGTAGTACATTTTATTAATTGACATAACAAAATGCATATTTTATTATAAGTAAATTCACCCATAAAATCATTTTCTGAATATATAATTGAGAACTGACAATTATTTTTATCTCATCATTCTGAGTACATATTGTCCATTGCCTTCTAAGTTCCATTACTAAATTGAGAAGAGTAATACAATTTTTTTCCAATTATTATTATTATTATTGGAGACAGAGTCTTGCTCTGTCGCCCAGGCTGGAGTGCAGTGGCATGATCTACGCTCACTGCAACCTCTGCCTCCCAGGTTCAAGCAATTCTCCTGCCTCAGCCTCCCAAGTAGCTGAGATTACAGGCGTGTGCCCCCACGCCTAGCTAATTTTTGTATTTTTAGTAGAGACGGGGTTTCACCATGTTGGCCAGGCTGGTCTTGAACTCCTGACCTCAGGTGATCTGCCCGCCTTGGCCTCCCAAAGTGCTAGGATTACAGGCGTGAGCCACCGTGACCGGCCTCCAATTATTTTTAAGTAATCTCTTTTCTCTACTTAAAACCTCTTTTTGAATTTGTAGTTCATGGTTTTTTTGTTTGTTTTTTTTTCACCAGAACCCTCACGTTCTTTTATTTTATTTTATTTTATTTTATTTTATTTTATTTTATTTTATTTCGTTATTACTATACTTTAAGTTTTAGGGTACATGTGCACAATGTGCAGGTTAGTTACATATGTATACATGTGCCATGCTGGTGCACTGCACCCACTAACTCGTCATCTAGCATTAGGTATATCTCCCAATGCTATCTCTCCCCCCTCCCCCCACCCCACAACAGTCCCCAGAGTGTGATATTCCCCTTCCTGTCCATGTGATCTCATTGTTCAATTCCCACCTATGAGTGAGAATATGCGGTGTTTGGTTTTTTGTTCTTGCGATAGTTTACTGAGAATGATGATTTCCAATTTCATCCATGTCCCTACAAAGGACATGAACTCATCATTTTTTATGGATGCATAGTATTCCATGGTGTATATGTGCCACATTTTCTTAATCCAGTCTATCTTTGTTGGACATTTGGGTTGGTTCCAAGTCTTTGCTATTGTGAATAGTGCCGCAATAAACATACGTGTGCATGTGCCTTTATAGCAGCATGATTTATAGTCCTTTGGGTATATAGCCAGTAATGGGATGGCTGGGTCAAATGGTATTTCTAGTTCTACATCCCTGAGGAACCGCCACACTGACTTCCACAATGGTTGAACTAGTTTACAGTCCCACCAACAGTGTAAAAGTGTTCCTATTTCTCCACATCCTCTCCAGCACCTGTTGTTTCCTGACTTTTTAATGATTGCCATTCTAACTGGTGTGAGATGGTATCTCTTTGTGGTTTTGATTTGCATTTCTCTGATGGCCAGTGATGATGAGCATTTCTTCATGTGTCTTTTGGCTGCATAAATGTCTTCTTTTGAGAAGTGTCTGTTCATATCCTTTGCCCACTTTTTGATGGGGTTGTTTGTTTTTTTCTTGTAAATTTGTTTGAGTTCATTGTAGATTCTGGATATTAGCCCTTCATCAGATGAGTAGGTTGCGAAAATTTTCTCCCATTTTGTAGGTTACCTGTTCACTCTGATGGTAGTTTCTTTTGCTGTGCAGAAGCTCTTTAGTTTAATTAGATCCCATTTGTCAATTTTGGCTTTTGTTGCCCTTGCTTTTGGTGTTTTAGTCATGAAGTCCTTGCCCATGCCTATGTCCTGAATGGTAATGCCTAGGTTTTCTTCTAGGGTTTTTATGGTTTTAGGTCTAACGTTTAAGTCTTTAATCCATCTTGAATTAATTTTTGTATAAGGTGTAAGGAAGGGATCCAGTTTCAGCTTTCTGCATATGGCTAGCCAGTTTTCCCAAAGACAAAAACCACATGATTATCTCAATAGATGCAGAAAAGGCCTTTGACAAAATTCAACAACCCTTCATGCTAAAAACTCTCAATAAATTAGGTATTGATGGGATGTATCTCAAAATAATAAGAGCTATCTATGACAAACCCGCAGCCAATATCATACTGAATGGGCAAAAACTGGAAGCATTCCCTTTGAAAACTAGCACAAGACACGGATGCCCTCTCTCACCACTCCTATTCAACATAGTGTTGGAAGTTCTGGCCAGGGCAATTAGGCAGGAGAAGGAAATAAAGGGTATTCCATTAGGAAAAGAGGAAGTCAAATTGTCCCTGTTTGCAGACGACATGATTGTATATCTAGAAAACCCCATTGTCTCAGCCCAAAATCTTCTTAAGCTGATAAGCAACTTCAGCAAAGTCTCAGGATACAAAATCAATGTACAAAAATCACAAGTATTCTTATACACCAATAACAGACAAACAGAGAGCCAAATCATGAGTGAACTCCCATTCACAATTGCTTCAAAGAGAATAAAATACTTAGGAATCCAACTTACAAGGGACGTGAAGGACCTCTTCAAGGAGAACTACAAACCACTGCTCAATGAAATAAAAGAGGATACAAACAAATGGAAGAACATTCCATGCTCATGGGTAAGAAGAATCAGCATCGTGAAAATGGCCATACTGCCCAAGGTAATTTACAGATTCAATGCCGTCCCCATCAAGCTACCAATGACTTTCTTCACAGAATTGGAAAAAACTACTTTAAAGTTCATATGGAACCAAAAAAGAGCCCACGTCACCAAGTCAATCCTAAGCCAAAAGAACAAAGCTGGAGGCATCATGCTACCTGACTTCAAACTATACTACAAGGCTACAGTAACCAAAACAGCATGGTACTGGTACCAAAACAGAGATGTAGATCAATGGAACAGAACAGAGCCCTCAGAAATAACGCTGCATATCTACAACTATCTGATCTTTGGCAAACCTGAGAAAAACAAGCAATGGGGAAAGGATTCCCTGTTTAATAAGCAGTTCATGGTTTTTAAGTAATCTCTCTTTTCTCTACTTAAAACCTTTTTGAATTTGCAGTTCATGGTTTCACTACCATTCATCGAAACACAGTTTTCTTTTTATTTATTCTGTCTGGTACATGTTATGCTTTCCCTCTAACTTTGGATCTTACTTTGGATTGATCTATTTCATTAGTCATAAAGACTTGCTTTTTATTATCTGGTCAAATATCTTCTTCCTTTTCTCTTTGTAGTCTCTTCTTCTGGAATCCCATTAGATGTTTGGTAGAATTACTCATAATATTCTCCTTACCTCTTGAATTCTTCATATTTTCTGACTTGTGCCTCTGGGCTGCATTCTAGGTAATTTTTGCAGATCCATTAGTGAATCTGTCATTTTTCTTTAATCAGCTATTTAATAATTAATTGAATTATTATGTCTTATATGTAGGTATATATGCATGTATGGATATGTATACAAATATATAGTACAAACACACGCATATGTACATATATACATATAAACATTTTATATGGTTATTTTTCAAAGCTCTCTCATGATTTTGAATAGATTTTATGGCTTTCTCAGTTTATTAATTTTTAAAAGCCATAAATATATTTCATATGCACAATGCTAAGTATTGCTTATCTTATAATTTCAATATCAGGGAGTCTAAATGTAATGTTTGCTTTTCTATCTGACTCTCATACATGATGATGACAATTTTGCATGTTTGCTGATTTTTAATTGTGGTCTCTCATATTTCATTGATTTTAATTTATGGAGAACCAGAATCCCTAACCTGAAGATTTTTTTTTCAGAGAAGATTTACGTTTGCTTCTACTGCGAGTTGCGGGATCATTGATATGGAGCCACTTCAGTTGAAACTCTGGGGAATATGGGTGCCCTTGAAATTAAAGACATAATCAGAAAGAGAGAATGAGCTGCACAAGGTAGAGGGACAGGCTTTGTTTTGAGAGTGGGAAGAGACTGATAAATAGTTCAAAAAGTACAAGAAACGGAGAAGGACTTAAAAATTGTGTCAGTAGAAAAAAAAAAGACTGAAGCCCTATGAGTATATGAGATTATGAAAGAGTTAGAATATTGTGCATAGTGTATAGTCTTAAAGCTTCTCTAGAGGTAAGTATTCAAATAAGAATATTGCATGGGAAGCAATAGACAGAAGTAAACATAAAAATATCTTTTCCTCAGTGTAAATTCAGATACAAAATGGTAGACTGAGAGAGGTGGATTTGGCTTAAAGCTTCAGCTCTGTAACAGAATAACCATCTATAGGAAGATGGTTACGCTTCTTCCTCAGAAAAAGAATCCTACTTTTATTTGGAATGGCAATGGCAAAGCAAAAGCAAAAGATTACATTTCTCTGTCTCCTTTGCAGATATATATATAGTGGTCAACTATATGTGGTCAGAAATAGTCATTGGTGTAAGTTCCAGAAAATACCCTTTAAAGTAGGCTGACTCATCTAGGAAGTGAATGCTCTTTTGCTTCCTGTCTTTCCCCTTTTCCTGGCCAGAAATTCAAATCAATGGCTAGACCTACAGTAGCCATCTCTCAACCTCTTAAAGATAGAAACAAATGATGTCAGCAGAAAAATGAAGACATCTGTGTTTCTGGTAACTTCCAGGGGCCACCAAACAGTGCTTGATTGTCTACTTCAGAATAACAGCTGAATGCATCTCTGCTTGACACACTACTTTATCAAAACAGTTATTACTTCCTTAAAATGAAAATAATATCCACCTCACAGAGATGGGGTGAGATATAAGACAATATACATGAAAGAGATTTTAGGACTATAAAATGCTAGATTAATGACTATGTATAAAAGTTAATAAGCCAGGAAGCCTTTCTGTGTTGCTTACTTTCCAAATGCACAGTGATGTGTTCATGTAGTGCATAGCAACTTTAAAAAATCATCACTCAGTTCAAAATATGTGTGTGAAATTCTAGTCATTATTTGTTAGTGATGGTGGAGTTTTGTTGCACATTTTGCTGCCACATGTCCACTTCTCAAAGAAAAAGAAGAAGGAAAATGAATGTGAAGGCTCCTACTGTACAAAAGCCAGCAGGATGTCTGCTTTTGATCTGTATGTTTTCTTCCCTCCATTGTTTTATTGCGAAAGTTACAGTCGGTGACACATAACATCCTTTAACTTTCTGCAGTCTTCTCAGTGACAGCTGATGTCCCTTTCTAAGTCTTGGGACCCGGAACCATAAACCTCTCCTTCCCTGCCATAGACTGAACCTCCAGGATACAATTATTACCCAAAAATATTCAGAACAAAGCCCCTGTTTTTGACATAAATCAGTAGTTTCTGAATCCTTAGAAATGAAACAAATGCAACTCGTGTTTGCACATCAGCAGTCGCAAAGCCTTATGAAAATGGTGCTGCACCAGTTGGTGCTAATCGGCAGGGAGCTCTCCTTGTACAATCCAAGGATCTAGTTTTCTGGGTAAGGCTACCAGCAAGTGTAGACAAATCTGTAAAGACTCTGAGAGTCAGAGTAATCACACATGTGGTATCGTTTGAAAGGAATGCACAGAATTCCCTGAAAATACTCAAGAAGCAGCAGCGCAGGCTCTACTGAAGACACCCTAGGGAAATATACTTGATCGCCAGTATTAAGGCAAACTTCAATGGTAGAGTGAGGGTTAGATTGCAGTTAGGCTGGTGTAAGAGTTTCTATCATTTTATCCAATTATAACTTTTAAAACGGGGATGATCTTGGTTTGAAATTTTTTATAATAACAATCAAATTCTGACAAGAAATGTTTCTTAGGGCTAAATGTGGGAGACACTCTTGAGACTGAAAGATAGATATACACTATTTGAATTGAATGTTCCAGCTACTAAAAAAATAGACACCCAGAAAATGATTTTTTCAAGAAAAAATTTTCAATTATATTAAACAAACCTTTATTACCTCTGCATTTTCTGGAAGGTAAATTGAATTAGCAATGGTCCTTGCCCTCAAGAAGAGTTCATTCTAGAAAGCCAGGTGAAGTCCCAGTTATGGACTATAGCTAAAATGAATGTGAGAGTGAGGAAAACTCTGTTGTTGGCTTGGTGTTCAATGGTGAGGAAAGTTTTGAGCAAGCAAATGATGTGAGCAATGCGAAGGAGATGGGAAGTGGAACAGGTTGACACACAGCACACTTGTGAGGACTTTGGCTTGCCAAGACTGTGAGCCTTGAGATCATGATGGGGTCACAGGAGAAAGGAGAGTGAGGGAGGAAGACACAGGCAGGTGACTCTCCATAACTCCCATTGGACCTGAAGACATTCTGTTAAATTTCATAAAATTGGGGTCTTCTTATGGTTGTGGGTGAAAATAGCAAAAATGATTAGCCATGTCAAGTATACTCTGTGGACCTCTCATGGTTCCTAAGATTCTTTCTGGGAGGCTATGAGGTCAAAACTATTTTCATAATAACACTAAGACATTATTTGCCTTTTTAAACTTTGTTGGCGCTTTTACTGTAGATGCAAAAGCAACAGTGCATGTAACTGCTGGCATCTTACCATGAATCAAGGCAGTAGCTCCAGTTCATACAAGTAATCCCTGTATTCTTCATTACTTCACACACAAAGGGAAAAATGTAGATTCTCTTGGGAATATCTTTGAAAAATATTAAATATCATTAATTGTATGAAATCTCAAGCTTTGAGTACAAGTCTTATATCCTGTTAGACAAAAATGAGAAGCATTGCACTTCTGCCATATATGGGGGCACAATGGTTACCTCCAGGAAAAGAGCTTCTGTGACTGTTTGAGCTATACATGCTGAACTAGACAATTTTCATGCAACACCATTTTTTACTTAGAAGAGCTACTAGACAAACTATGGTTACTCAGGCTGAGATATGCAAAATATTAGGCAGATATTGTCTCAACAATGAGTAAAGGATTACTGATGCTTCAAGGAATACAAGTGACAGTATTGGTTGCCTATGATAAATATCAAACTTGCAAGAAAAATTTAGTACTTTGGGAAAGTTACGCTTGCCACTATAACTCTAACAGTTTCTCAGTACTTAAAGACTTTTTAAATGAACTTCGTGGTGATAGTAATGCATGTGATTTCTAGATGTTATACAATGAAATGTATCAACATTTGCATGATCTATATAAATTAATATTTTCCAATGACCAATAACTGATGTTACAAATGATCACTGCATGATAGATAAGTTATCTGTTCAGACTGAAAATTAAGCTGAGATACTATAAAGTAGCATAGTATAAAATCTTAATTTACATGGCTTCAGATTTCACATTGCAAGTAACATTTTAAAAACTACCACTTCTTGAAGTTTGATTTGTATTTAAGTAGAATATTCACAAACATCTGAAAGCCTGTTTAAAAATCACTCCCTTTTCCAAGTACATAATTGTGTAAAACTGGATTTTCTTATATACTTTACACAAATCAACATGTGAAAATGGATTGAATCAACAAGCATATATGATAATCCAGCTGTCATTTATGGAGCCAGATGTTAAAGAGATTTGCTAAGATGAATAATGTCAATCTTTTCAGTAATTTTTCTTTTGAAAAATACAGGTTTTTATCCCCCCAAATGCTATGTTTGTACACAATAGAAATATCATTATTACTTTGACATTAATTAATGAATAAAGAATTTAAAAGTTTTACTTTTAACTTCTATCTGATAGAGTTTGGCTCTGTGTCCCCACCCAAATCTCGTCTTGAAATATAATCCCCGTGTGTTGAGAAAGGAACCTGGTGGGAGGTTATTGCATCAAGGAGGCAGCTTCCCCCTTGCTGTTCTCATGATAATGAGTTCTCACAAGATCTGGTGTGAGGCACCTCCCTCCTCACTCTCTCTCTCTCTTTCCTGCCACCATGTAAGATGTGCCTTAATTCCCCTTTGCCTTTCACCACAACTAAATTTACTGAGGTCTCCCAACCATGTGGAACTGTGAGTCAATTAAACCTTTTTTCTTCATAAATTGCCCAGTCTCAGGTGGTTGTTTATAACAGTGTGAATATGAATTAACACAAAAAATTGATACTAAGCTAAGTGGGGCATTGCTATAAAGATACCTGAAAATGTGGAATTGACTTTAGAACTGGGTAATGAGTAGAGGTTGGAACAGTTTGGAGGACTCAGAAGAAGATAGAAAGATATGGGAAAGTTTGGAGCTTCCTAGAGACTTGTTGAATGATTGTAACCCAAATGCTGATAGTGATATGGACAATGAAGCCCAGTATGAGCTGTTCTCAGCTGGAGATGAGGAAGTTTTGGGAAGTAGAACAAAGGTCACCCTTGCTATGCCTTAGCAAAAACACTGGTGACATTTTGCCCCTGCCCTAGAAATTTGTACAACTTTGAACTTGAGAAAGATGATTTAGCATACCTAGCAGAAGAAATTTCTAAGCAGCAAAGCATTCAAAATGTGACCTAGCTTTTACTGAAAGTGTACAGTCATGTGAATTCACCAAGAGATGATTTGAAATTGGAACTTATGTTTAAAAGAGAAGCAAAGCATAAAAATTTGGAAAATGTGCAGCCTGACAATGAGGTAGAAAAGAAAAACCCATTTTCTGGGGGAGAAATTCAAGCCAGCTGCAAAAATTTTTATAAGTAACAAGGAGCTGAAAGTTAATAACAAAGACAATGGGGAAAATGTCTCCAGGGCATTTCAGAGACCTTCACAGCAGCCCCTCCCATCACAAGCCCATAGGCCTAGGAGGGAAAAATGGTTCTCTAGGCCAGCTCTTCTGCTCTGTGCAGCCTTGGGACATGGTGCCCTGTGTCCCAGCTGCTTCAGCTTCAGCCCCAGCCATGACTAAAAGGGGCCAAGGTACAGCTCTGGCCATTGCTTCAGAGGATGCAAACCCCAAGCCTTGGCAGCTTGCATGTGGTGTTGGGCCTGCCTCCATCTAGATTTCAGAGGATATATAGAAATACCTGGATGTCTAGGCAGAAGTCTCTGACAGGGGCGGAGCCCTTATGGAGAACCTCTGCTATGGCAGTGAGGAGGGGAAATGTGAGGTCAGAGCCCCCAAACAGAGTCCCCACTGGGGCACTGCCTAGGGGAGCTATGAGAAGAGGGCCACCATCCTCCAGTCCCCAGAATGGTAGATCCACTGACAGCTTGCACAGTGTGCCAGGGAAAGCTGCAGACACTCAACACCAGCCATGAAGACATCCTGGAAGGGGGCTGCACCCTGCAAAGCCACAGAGGCAGAGCTGCCCAAGGCTGTGGGAGCTCACCTCTTGCATAAGTCTGACTTAGATATGAGACATGGAGTCAAAGGAGATCGTTTCAGAGCTTTAAGGTTTAATGAGTGCTCTATTGGATTTCAGACTTGCATGGGGCCTGTGGCCCCTTCTTTTTGCCCAATTTCTCTCATTTGCAATGGGGATATTTACCCAATGCCTGTATCCCCATTGTATCTTGGAAGTAACTAACTTGCTTTTGATTTCACAAGCTCATTGGCAGAAGAGATTTGCCTTGTCTCCAATGAGACTTTTAACTTGGACTTTTGAGTTAATGCTAGAATGAGTTTAGACTTTGGGGAACTCTTCGGAAGGCATGATTGCATTTTGAAATGTGAGAAGGACATGAGATTTCAGAGGGTCCACAGTCAGAATAATATGATGTGGTCCTGTGTCCCCACCCAAATCTCATCTCAAATTACAGTTCCCATAATCCCCAAGTGTCAAGGGAGGGACCTGGTGGGAGGTGCTTGAATCATGGGGGCAGTTACCCCCATGCCGTTCTTGTGATAATGAGTGAGTTCTTACAAGATCTGATGGTTTTAAAGCGTGGCACTTCCCCACTTGCTCTCTCTCTCGCCACCATGTAACATATACCTTGTTTCCCCTTTACCTTCTGCCATGATTGTAAGTTTCCTGAGGCTTTCCCAGCCATGTAGAACTGTGAGTCAATTAAACTTTTTTTCTTCATAAATTACTCAGTCTTATGTAGTTCTTTATAGCAGTGTGAAAATGGATTAAAACACTACCTATAAATCTAACACACATAAATAGGAGCTTTTTTGTGTCCTCAATATTTTTTTACAGTATGAATGAATCCTGAGAGAAAAAAATAATAGGAAACATATATGGAAAAATATTCTAGCCCTGTACTATGGAAATGTGGAACATCACTGTTAGGGACTCACACTTTATTTTGGGACAATGACCAATATCTGAAGGTTCTGGGGCCAAAAAAAATTGCTTTTCTAATTATGCAGGTTGTAGAATATGGCACTGATTAGGACAAGTGGCAGAAGGCAGGAAGAGTAATTAGAAGGTCTCCTAAAATAAGGTTCTGCCAGTAGACTCTTAGAATAGAAAAATATATGAGTGTCATTTGAGCATTTGCAAGAATTAGAATTTACAGCTGATTAGATGTGGAAAGAGTGATTGCAAAACATTGAGATTCTTGGTGCAGCCACTTAGAGGAAAGAGGTGTTGCTCCTGAAACTCTGAATAAGCAGGATGCAGGTAGAGGTGGGGTTGAGGTTTTAGTTTAGGGTGTGTTGGAGTGTTGTTTCCAGAGACATGCAAGGTAGACTGGGTATAGTGGGGGAGAGGTTACCACATACACAGGTGAAAGGTGGGAATTCAGCTTGAGACACATATCAGGGCTTGTGGAATATGGTTAACCCCATCAAGATGGCAGGGGTTGTTAAAGCCTTGAAAATGGAAAATGTCACCAGTGAAAAGAATGGATATAGAAATGAAATGTGGAAAAACAGGGGAATGAGAAGAAATATAATTAGAAGTAGGAGGCTATAAAAGGTGCCAAATCAAAGAAGTCAAGATAGAAAGTTGTTGCAAAGGGCAGACTTTGCGGGAATTTTCATAGTGACACATAATTGTTAAATATACTGCAAATAGGTTTCTTTTTCCTCTTGTTGTGACATGTGCTCCAGTGAAAAATCTAAACTGAATTGTTTTCACTGAATTAAAATTGTTTTCACTGAAGTAAAACTAATTTTAATGGGTGTATTTTGTTGTGTTTGATATTTCAAACAATTTCAGTATCCATGTATCTCAGTGTCTTAATTTCCTACTGCTGCTGGGAAACGGCAGGGAAACAGATTATCCTACAGGCACATAGATGAGAAATCTGAGACAGGTCTCACTGGGCTAAAGTCAATATGTTGGGTGAGTACACTGTCTTCCACAGTCTCTGGAGAGAATCTCCTCCCGGCTTTTTTCAGATTCTAAAGGCTACTTCATCCCTTGGCTCAGGGCCCTCCTATCTTCAAAGCCAAAAGGAACCATTTGAGTCTTCTACGTCACATCCTCTGACACTGAATGTTCTGCCTCCATTTTCCAGATATTCTTTCTAAGTCAGAGAGGTGGTGATTAGCAGCCTGAGTTCCATCTGCAGCCTTCATTCCCCTTTGTTCCGTAACCTGACATATTCATCTTCCAGAGAATAGGAAAAGAACATCATGGGGGCCTGTTATCCTACCTAGTATAGCATCTTTGACAAAATATTAACAAGAGAATTTAAACATACATCTTTCCACTAGAGAACTTCCTCCTTCCACCATGCCATTTTGTTACAATACATAACTTAGAGTTAAAAGTTAAAGAATAATGTCAGGTCTGTTGATTACTTATTTTACTATATCGCCTAAGAGGCCCCACAGTTGTGGAAACTGACTCTATTCATGGGAGGCCCAAAATCAAAGCTGATTTCAGAAAATTTTATATACCAAATGGTGGAGAAAGATGGGCTTCTGCCTGTTCAAGGGTGGCATCTGTTGTTAGAAGCAGCACGAATAATCATAAGAAGCTGTAGTGAAAAACGAATGTACCTCCACTCTCCCCTCTCTTCATGAGAGAAAATATTCTGGCAAGAAGACAAAGGTAGGTGAGAGGAATGTAGGAATGTAGTTTTGTTCTTGTCAGGTTAAACACAGGGGCTGGAACCTGGGCAAGAGGAGGAACTTTCTTATCTTTGGAAACATTCTGAATAATACCAGGTTCATCTTGCCTTGAATTTTTCATGAAAGTATGCTGGTATTCTAAAAATCAACTTCAAAGTACATATTCATTAATTAATATATTTATTTCTTCATGTATTTTTAACTCTGTAGAGGACTTAGGGACGCAAGTGAAATGAGAGAAGCATGCCCAGCATCAAGCAGAAAGCCATTGCTGAGTGAATTTGTTGATGATAGCATATCATTAACCAGCTGATGGAGATCCTTCTCTTCAATATAAATCTAGTCTTGTGGCCACATTTATTCTTACCATCTCTCTCTCTCCATTTGTTTTTTTTTGTTTGTTTGTTTAACTTGACAGACACAGATGCTTAGGTTCTGAAGCAGAGCCTCGGGCTATGTCTTAATCACTTTCAAATTAGGAAACTGGAGGAAGATAAAGAATACTTTTTTTTAAGATACTTGCTTCTCAAATTATCCTTCAATACTGAAATCATGCCCAATGTAAGTCTTTAATTTTAGTACTTTATGGTCCCCTCAATGATCGAAACATTTTTCTCACTCAGAAAGCCATGGAGTTGGGTTGCCGCATCTGTACTCACTGATGAAATGCCATGAATGCACATGAATGCACACCTTGCTCTCCCCTAAGGTTAGTGACACAAAGGTAGGGGTGGGAGTTGAGAGCAGTAGAAAGACCTGAAGTGTTTGCCTTTGACAAAAATTTATAACTTTAGCCCCAGATTTCCATAAGTTTTATATCATATCACAGTACTTCATTTTCACATCACATAAAATAGAAAAGTCATACAGGAGGATGTAGCAAGAGTCGGGAACCTTTCCTTGTAAAGAGCCAGAACAAGTATTTCAGTCTTTGTGAGTCTCCTTCACAGCTACTGCAGCATGAAAGCAGCTGCAGGCAGCACACAAATAAATGGGACTGGTGGTGTCAGAATAAAATTTATTTCCAGTAACAATTGTTGGACCAGATTTCGTCCATGGGCTGTAAATTGGATGACCCAGGAGTTATATGCTGAGTACCACATGCAGTCTTACCTTGCAATAAAACTAAAAGCATATTTAAAGATGCTAAATAAGCACACTAGAAGCCAGGAGACTGGAATGCAGTGGAATAGTTTCCACTGGGGAAGACAATGTCTATTATTAGTTTTCCATAAGATATCTAGAATTAAAATTATTAACTCATCATCTTCCCAGTTCCTGAAAACATTAGCCAAAAACATCAAATTATTTCTTGAATTTTTCTTGTTCTTCACATTTACCTTGCATCCAGGCCATCAAAGTATTTTGTTGGTTCATCCTCTAAAATGCATCCTGTATCTGTCTATTGCCTTCCAGTTTCAATGCCAATAGCCTTTTTCAAGCCACCTGATTTCTTACATGAATCACTAATTTCTTCCTGAGAAATCTTCCTAATTTTATTCTTAGTATCTTATTATCCAGTAGCTAGAGGTATCTTCTCAAAATGATTGTCAGATGACATTACACCCCTGCTTAAAACCCTACAATGACTTCCTTTTGCACTCATAATAAAATCCAGGCAGAATTTCTTTTTTTGGTTTATTTTTTCCCCAGCAAGGAGATTTAGGGAAGTGATAAATTCATAAATAAAATAAAATGGGTGAGACCAATATTATATGGGGCTCAGAAATTTCCTTTCTGAGGAGATGTTTAAATTGAGAACTAAGTACCCATAAGAAGCCACAACTGAGAGCCACAGACAAAGGGGAGAGCAAAAGCAGTAGTCTCCATAGATAGCTGCCATGATTTCTCCACTCCTATAAATGCATGCTACTCTTCCTACCAAAGGGCAGAGCCCTGAATTCAGGCTGTCTCTGACCAATACGCCATAGTAGATGCAGTGGTGGATAAGCTCTGGCATTGCTTTTCAGCAGCACAGTACCTTCCATGTTCATTCTTCAAGGTCAGCCAGTATATAAGGTATCTGTCTACCTGAGTCCACCATGCTGTGAGGAAGCCCAAGCTATCCACATGGGGAAATGTGGCAGAGTGCCAACTAATAGATATGTAAGTGAAGACTGTTCAAACCTTGGACCTTCCAGCCCAGTCCAACCACTAAATGACTAAGCATAACAAATCATTGTTATATTAAGCCACTAAGCTTTTGAGTCACTGTTAAATAAAAAAAAAAAAATTGAAATAGTAAATGTAATATAGCATGACAGAAACAGCAATGGCATTTTCAAGAAAGATTACTTAGACCCCTTGGCTGAAACTTAGTGCACACTGGGGAGCTGGGAAAAGATGTAGTCAAAGGAGTGTATGAGATTCAGATTATGGGGGTTCTTATGAATAATGTGCATTATTCAGGGTTATTCACTTCAAATAATATAAACTAGCACTAGGCAGCTAGTAAGACAATGGATTCATAGGATGTTGGACAATGCCTAGCATCACTGGAATGGCTAGATGACCAGCTTATACAATGGGCAGGAATGAAGGGAGGCCATGTACCAGAAACAAAGTGACCTCTTGCTACAATCCCAAGTGCTCAGTTGGATGCTATATTCTACTTCCGGTCTGAACATTTGATGCACCTGGCACCTTGGTACAGAATTTCCTATACTCTACAGCTTTGAATCAGCCTTTAAAAAGTCAAAGCATCATGTTGGATTGCCCAACTGACAATGCCTAGATAAAGCTTCTTCCAAGGACTATAGCAAGGACAATTTGACCATTTCAGACTTAGCAGAAAAAGGGGATGAAACTCTCTTCTTCCAAGTACTGTAGCAGAGAAAATATGACCATTTCAGGCTAAATAGGAGAAGGGGATGGAGCCCTGATTTCACTCAATGTGCGCCTGTGAGAGAACCGCCCCCCCCCCCCATACCAAGAAGCAAAGCGTGCTCAAGTTGTCTCTACAACCTAAAAAATTATTAGATTGTTTTATGAAAGAAAGTCATTGTAGAATTTTAAGCAGGAGTGTAATGTCATCTGACAGTCACTTTGAGAAGATATCTCTCACAACTGGATAATAAGGGATTGAGAGTAAAATTAGGAAGATTTCTTAGGAAGCAATCGGGGATCCACATGAAAAATCATGGTGGCTTGAAATAGGCTTTGTCATTGAAGCTGGAAGGCAACAGACAGATACAGGATACATTTTGGAGGGTGAACCAAGAAGATATTTTGATGGCTTGGGTGTAGGGTAAATGTGAGGGATAATAAAAATTCAAGAAATAATCTGCTATTGTAGCTGATGTTTTGGTGAACTGGGAAAATGGTGAGCCATTTACTGCAACTGGAAAGTCTTGGAGAAGAACACTTTAGGTACCTTGTATAGAAAGAATTGAATCAAAATTTGGTTTTGAAAATGTGCTTCTTGAGTTTGAAGTGCCTTTTTTGAACTGTCATGGAGGTATTAAAGAAGCAGTATAGTAGCAGATCTGCATGCCATCAGAAAAAGCCAAAATAAGGACATGAAGCTGAACACAATTAGCATATTGACTATCTCAATTGTCATAGGACTGGATAGAAAATGGGTAGAAAATAGAAGCAATGGGCTGAAAGAGAGCTCTGGGACCATCCAGCCAAGAAAAAGAAAGAAAAGAAAAACAACAGTTAATGCTGACAAGAAGTGGCCCATAAGGTAAGGTGAGGTCAAGAACAGCTTGGTATTATGAGTTTCATAAAAAAAAGCAAACCAAACCAAACAAAGCAAGCTCTTTCAATTAAGCAAGGAAGGTCAAGTGTGTTGAGTATTCCTTCAAGGGCAATTAGGATGAAAGCAGAGGCATGCATTTTTAACTTCTCTTATGCCAACGGTATCCTGGAAAAGATGACTTTTATTAGTGTGGTGGGGATAGAAGGTATATTAGAAAATTGATCAAAAAGAAAAATTTGGAGAGGGGAACTACACGTATTCTAGATAATTTCTTCTGTAAATGGGGGAAGCAAAAATAGACAATGAAGCCAGCTGTGGTGGTGCATGCACAGCTGAGTCATTGTGACTCAGGAGGCTGAGGCAGGAGCATTGCTTCAGCCCAGGAGTTTGAGGTTGTCGTGCTCTATGATTCCACCTTTGAATAACTACTTTGTTTCAGTCTAGGCAACATAGCAGAATGGTGTCTCTAAAATAATAAAATTAAAAAATAAGAAAGTGAAGAGATGATGTGGAGGCTGAAGAGAGGAAAGGTGAGGAAGAGTGAAAACATTGGAGAGTCAATGGGTTGAAGAGCATTCAGGAGGCTCAATTCTCCAGGGAAATACTAGAGCAAATGGAGTGCAGGAACAAGGGATGGTGATCAGAGAGAGCAGGACTTGCAATGGATTTTAGAGGAGATGCAGGCATTGTTAATCAGAAGGTCTATGACATGAGGATGGAAGTGGAAGCTGGTGTCAGCTGGAGATGAGGATTGAGTAGAGGTGAGACAGATCATTTCTTATTTATTAATTGATTGAACATCTGTTATGCAAAGACACTGTGGGAATACTAAAAAATTATATTACAGCCCTGCATCCATTTGTTTGGTGGAGATGTAAGAATTGCACCTAAAAGCTTAAAACTAAGTCTTCAATGTTTGTCATCAAAGAACAAAGAACCTGAAGTTCTTGAGCTCATTTTCTCTTCTTGGCTATGTTGTGATGTAGAAATACATGATAATCCTTTAGTCTTCTCCACATAATGGAGGGCATTAGGCTATGTGCTCAATGTCTTGAAAGTATGAAAAATATCCAGAATATATTAGGTTGGTGCAAGTGTAATTACATTTTTTGCCATTGAAAGTAATGGTGAAAACTGCAATTACTTTTGCACCAACCTAACATTTTCGGCATCTACATTCCAATGTAATCAACAATTAGAACCATTAGGAATTTCACTTTCTGTGCACCTCCTTTATGGAAATGTACTTTGTTATGAGTGATAACGATCTTAGGGCCACATAGGCTGCCCCCTCTTCCCTGCCCTACATTTAATAATTGGAAAAAAAAATTCCTTGGAGATATGGGGAGGACTTCCACCAAGTAAGTGGCAGAGCCAGGACTGCAGCCTGTGCATGGACCTCAGCCTCACATTCCTGATCAACATTGCACCTAGGAAGGCAGACAACGCCCCTGAACTCCCTTCCCCTCTCCAGGCCTGAGTAGCTGTGATTTGGACCAGAAAGTTGTGTCAAAAAAAGTGGTTTTCGGATGATATCAGTTGCATTGTTTTGTGTAGGGACATAGTGAATATGACCATAGGCAGAAACATCAGTGATAAAATCACGTTTGTGTGTGTGTATGAAAGATGGAGTCTCACTCTGTTGCCCAGGCTGGAGTGCAGTGGCACCATCTTGGCTCACTGCAACCTCCGCCTCCCAGGTTCAAGCAATTCTCCTGCCTCAGCCTCCCGAATAGCTGGGACTACAGGTGTGTGCAGCACTATGCCCGGCTAATTTTTTGTATTTTTAGTAGAAACGGGATTTCACCATGTTGGCCAGGCTGGTCTCGATCTCCTAACCTCGTGATCCTCCTGCCTCGGCCTCCCAAAGTGCAGGGATTACAGGCATGAGCCACCGCGCCCAGCCGACAAAATCTTTTTTAATTTATGAATAATGACGTTCATTCTAACAAAACCTCACTAACAGTATGACTTTACAAATAAGCACTAATTCCTTTCCCTAGGCATCATTTTACAAGAAATCTAAACCCCATACTGCATCACTCAACATAAGACTCCCCTAAGGATCTCTAAAATGGTCTTATTTATGTTTTCTGTTTTGAAAAAAAAAGTTAATGAGCAAAAATCATGGTTAAAACAATAAATTTTAAAATATTCAGATCTGTCAAATGAGAGTGCTTGTGTTGTAAAAAATCTAAAGTACAGCATTCGAGGTAAAAGCTTTGTTACAGGGGAACCTGTGATTACCTGCAGCAGTGCTTCAATTTGCTAAGGCTTTAACCTCATGCCTAAGTCAAACTATAGGCAACCTTTAGTTATTTATGTGATGATGTATGTACGTATTGTGACAGAAAGCTGCATCCAATTATTTAAGCATAAGGTCAAAGCTTTCCATCTTAGATTCTGACAAAATATACTGACATCATAAACGAGCAAAATATTTTATATTTTTTAACAAAACAAGCAACGTATCTGTTAATTTATGTGAATGTGTGCACTTAGAAATTCTATGCACGTATGACACTAAATCAGTCTAGATGTTTTTCCCCAGTGCCATTTAAAACTAAAAGTAGAAGCTGACACATTGATCACATGAGTTCAGTTCAATGGACAGTCTGTCGTCCATGTGCCATGGTCACAATGTGCCCCCGAAATTCACATGTGGGGGGCTTAATCTTCAGTGCCGGGAGGTGGGACTTTTGAGGGTAATTAGGACATAAGGGCTCTGCCCTCCTGAGCGAATTAATGGCCTTAAAAAGACTTGAGGAAGGAGATGTGTCCACTTTTCTCCTTTTCCACATTCTGCCACGTGAGCATGCAGAAAGAAGGCCCTCAGGAGACGCCAGCACCTTGACCTTAGATTTTCCAGGATCCAGAACTATGAGAGATAAACACATTTCTCTTCTTTATAAATTAACTAATCTCGGGTGTTCTGCGATAGAGGCACAAGTGGAGAAAGAATGTAAAATATACTCTGTAGAAGAGGGTTTTTTTCTTGTCACATAAACATAGGTTTTTAAAAAACAGTGTTAATAGCTGCATAGGAAAGCCCTAGACATACATAAACAGACATATTCAAATACCAACAAGACAAACACTTTTCTTAGACCAAAGAGACAGATATTTCTCAGAGGGCTTTAAAATATCTCAGAGACAATGTATATGTATTATCATTCCTTTCATAAAATTACTTGTTGGCTTTCTGAGATATCATGTAATTAAAGATCTGAGATATCCATTTAAAAGGGAGAGCCTAATTCTGCAGAGCTAAAAGGACCGAGGAGACAGTATTGACAAGAAATGTGCAAGATCTTAGGATTACTTAGAAAATAATAAAAAAGGGGAATATAAAAGAGAAATAAATAAAGTTTTATAGGGCACGTTTCTTGTAAAGGAAATGGATGTTTCTCTATAAGCCTTGCTTAGAGAAGCATCTCTTGTTATTCAGTGACTGCCATGCAAGTGCTCTATGCTGAGCACTGCGATGAATATTGATTACCTACCGTCCAAAATAACTCTGTAACTTACTGCTCCTCGGTTTTACAGATAAGGATATGAAAACCCTGAGAGGTTAAGTCACTTGCCCAAGTGAAGACATTCCACAGTGAGTGCGTTCAGAGACAGGCTAGAAAACCTGGGTTTCAAGCGCAACAGATTTTACCTCTTCATCACACCTCAATGGAAGTCATATTCTTTTAGTGTCTCCACCAAAATTATAACAGTTTCTCAGTAAAAGATAACAGCTAGAATAAAGATCAACACTAAAATGCTCTGTGGTAAATAGAAACCAACTCTCAAGTAGTGGGGAGACATAAAACCTGGTACACCATGTCCTCACACCTCTGTCACCACCTCCCCAAACACAATGTACTACCGTGAAACGGCGAGAGGGTAACTGCAATAAACTCCCACCTAGAAAAGGGAAAAATGGAAGGTGAGCAGCAGGACCTGGTCCATGGCAAGATGAATTCTGGGAGGAGCCCCCACCTGGGAAGTGGGGACATCTTTGAGTGGGTGCTGACTCTTCTCTCTGAGCAGAACAATCTTTCCATTTTCTCGGTTGCTCCCGGCTGTCCTCAATGGGGGCTGTTTCTTGCTCATTATCCTTGTGGCCTCTTAGTGGATATTGAGGAATGCCTCCCCCTTAAGAGAGAACAGATTCCATAGCTGAGTTCATGCTGATGCCCGTTTGGACATCCGAACATTGTTTTAATGCCAGTCCATCAAAGGCTCCTGATTTTGTTAGCAGCACTGTTCTTCCAAAAAACTGGTAGACATCTGACATATTTTCTTTCAGTCAGTTTCTTGTGGCAGTAAGTGCATCAAATTCTTTGTTAGACATAATTCTCAAGCCTAATTTATTCCATTGCTTGCTTATCTCAACCTAGGGTAAAAGACACTAGAGAAAATAATCTCTAAATATGTTGCAAAGAGAAATAATCATTATAATCTGGAATGTATGGAATGGCAAGCCACCCATGCATTCAGTGAGGGAAGGAAAAAGGGGAAATTTATTTGCAAAAACGAAAAAGAAATTTACATAAACCAGTTAGAAAGAGATTTCATTGGTTCCAGAGGTTCCAAGCCCAAGTTGTTGTCAACTCATTGGTGGAGATGCCATTACTAGACAAGTGATCATCTGAGAATGTCTTATCTGAATCACTGTGGCACTAAAGAATGTCTAGTGATAAATTTATCAAAGCAGGAGGTGCATGAAGGGTTTTTAGAAAGTCATTGGAAAGAGTTCTTATCTTTGACATGTAAGCATGAGCCTCCTCTCCTTCAGCCTCTCCTTCCCAGCCCTGTTTTGTCTGGGTCTGACAAAAGTGCTTTCATCTTGGTATCTGCAACTTCAACACTTTTCCCCACATCTCTTTCACTCAGCTGAATGATGGTCAATTGAAATTATCAGGCCTAAAGCCCCCATGTGACCTTTCTATTGGGTGGAATTTTAATGGCCTTTTGCGTGTTTGCTGTTCTCAACTCTTTCCTAATCAAAATTTCTACCCTTTGAAGTCAACAAATAGAAACACAAATTTTTGAGGTACCAAATTACTCTCCCTTTTCTTTTCAGGTTTCCTTGCATGCTTTTTTCCCCCCCTGAGCTTATTCTTTTCCCTAAGATTTTGTTAGACACAGTCAATAATTGCCAAAAACCACGTAGCCTTGTCCTCCAACACCTCACCGCTAAAACTATAGGCTCCATTAGCACATAATTTGCCTTACAAATGGCATAAATAGTATTTTTACTAAATCTTTTGCTACTACATAACATGGACATCCATCTTTCCAGTTTCTGATAACAGTTCTTTGCTGACGACTTTTGGCCCATTAAGCTAAAGCTACATATTTTAAGTTATTGCTATGTCAGCACCTTCCATTTAGTGTTCTTTCTTTATTAATGTAACACCAGATGCCCATTGGAGGAGTCTTGCACCATGCAGAAATGACCAGGCCCTTATACCTTCTCCTTGTTCAGTCACTATGTGGCTGATGCCCCAAGAAGAGGGTCCCCTCAGTGACCAACCTCTTGATTATTATGTGGACAGGGGTACTCTGAGAAGATGATGGCTTTGGCTGGGAAGCTGAGGCAGACTCAGCTGGGGAACTGTCAGACAGTCATACTCCTCCAAGCTGGGTAGGGTGTCCTTTCATGAAGGGGGTCTGAGCAATCCATTGCTGTGTCTGCCATGGCTCTGTTCAGAGACCCATTGATGAGGAGGCTCTGCCATCTTCAACACTAGATCTCCAAGTTTCCCTCAAGCACTGACATCTAGCTATTGAAGATGAGAGAGAAGGGGAAGGTATTTGTGGCTAATGCAGAAATGGAGTACATCAGTTCTGTCAACGTCCATTTGTTCACATGGCTACAACTCACTGCAGGGGATGCTGAAAATAGAGTCTAACCATGAGCCCAGGATGAGTGTGGAAAAAGGAGCAAACAGCCAGCCAGTCTCGCTAAATGTTTGAAATCAGTCATTCAATTTACAATTGAGTTTCTCATAAATTGGCAGATGCCTGCATCATTCTTGAAGACTCTTCATTAATATTTTAAGATCTCTTTTCCTTTCTTTGAAGGGAGTCTAGATGTTCTGTTAGAATTTATTTTTCAATGTGAGTTTATTTTGTCTATTATTAGAAATCAAGTATACCAAGTTTTATTGACTAAACATCATGTCTTAATATGTTGATAAAAATAATATATGCTTATGACTAAATATGAGAAACAAAATATTTTCAATAACAAATACTATCCCTCTGCTCCCTGATCTAACCCTCTTTTCCCAAACCCTAAATAGAGCCCATTTTTGCTCTTTTAGTTCTTTCGTTTTTTGCCTTACATCGCTAGACAATATTATTATTTTAAATTACCACATGTAAACGTCATCTCCTTACCTCTTTTCATGCTTTCCTTGGTTGCTTTTCCCATATCTCCTGGCCATCTTTCCAGTGCAGTTATATTTATTTCTCTTTATCCATGCAAGTCACTGCTCAAGGTACTTTATATTTTTAATTTTTAAGTTGTCACAACCTGCCAATGTGATGATATTACTGCCCATTTTAGTGACCTGGACTGGTTTCTCCAGAGCCTGGTTCCTTTCCTAGAGACTCTGCTTTGATCCTTCTCTTCAAGTAGGGTTTGCTCTTCCCTTAGACTTCTCCCCAAACTCTTATTCTGAAAATTCTTTGGACTGCTCTCCACAGGCAGACCTAGGACTGCCCTAGTCCTAGGTCCAGGGTTGGTTTCTTGCTTATAAAGGTATAAAGGTATATATTTTCTTCATTTTTGCATTTCCAATAAGGTTTGTATTCTGCCATCAGATTTGATTTATAATTGGCTGATAGTCAAATCTAGAATATCCATGATTCTGTGCTTTATTGACCTTCAGTATCTGGTGTGAAATGGTTAAGTACAGTGTCCTTCAGCCTCTCATTTCTATGTGAGAGAACTATTTTCATTGGGAGGATTTTATTTCTTTTTTCCAGTCTTTAAGATCCTTTTTTTATCTTCAAAGTTTTGAAGAAAAAAAATGTCATAATTTCTATTTGGGTTGTATTTGGAGAGGCTTTTTAATAAAATATTTGTGTCCTTTTGATAGTTTCTCCATTTCCTATTTTTTTTTTCTGGAACTCTTGTTAATCAGATGGTGAACATCTTGATTAATCCTCTCTGTATTAGTTTCACAGAGTTTGAGGTATATGGTTATGGCAGCCCCAATAAACTGGGTGGAAGAAAACAATAAAAAATATATTTCTGACTTCTACCCTCCAGGACTAGGAGAAAATAAAACTTCTTCTAGCTTCTGTTATTTACTGGCGGTCCTCATAGTTCCTTGGCTTGCAGACTGATCATTCCAAATTATGCCTCCATTGCCACATGACCTTGGTTCATTTGCACATCAGTGTTTCTGTGTCTCTTCTCTTCTAATAAGAATAATAGTCATATTAGTTTAAAAACCCACCCTACGCCAGTATGACCTCACTTTAATTACATCTGCAACAACCCTATTTCGAAAAAAAGTCACATTCTGAGGTTCTTGGAGTTGGGGTTAGGCCCTCCAGATATCTTTTTAGAGAACACAGTCCACCCCATAACATTCTCTTTCTATATTCTATTTTATTTTTATTCTTGTCATATTTCTGTTACTTCCTTTTTTAATTCTATCTTGTGTGATTTTTTTTTTTCTTCACTCTGTTTTCACACCTTTTCTGGTATTTTTACTTGAGCAATCAGATGCTTAATTTGTAGCAGCTCTTTTCCCATTTTTAATTGCTCCCTTTCCTGGATTTTTTTCACTCAAATATTCCAAATACTCTCTTGAGAAAAATATAAAAATTTTATTTCTGCTTTGTTGAGTTATTTTTGTTTCGTTTTGTTTATCTTCTATCCTTTTTTATTCTTAGAAGTTCTCCTCAAATCTTGGGTGATTATTAGACTCTTCATTTTTAAGTACCAGATCTTAGAAGGTTGTCACCAGCCTATGTGCATGGGAGAAACTTGTGCCAGTTGTATTTTCTGGTTGGTATATTTACTTTCCCACTCTTTTCACCATTGTGTTTTATTTATGTATTTATTTATGTATTTATTTATTTATTTTGCTATGTTGCTATCATTAGACTGGGATCTCAGGCTGGGAAAGAGTCTAACAAAATTGTGATGGATTGGTTGTGTGGTCTCCATCTACAATAACTGTTCTATACATATTTCTGAGGATTCTGAAAAGAAAAAAGATACTGAGAGAAATACCCTAGTCCAAGCATACAATTTAAGTTAATCTCCAATACTTCTTGCTTATTCTCAGTGGAAAAAATAGGACATCACAACCTTGAAATTGTTGACTGGTTGTTTTACAAAACTCTACTATGGGCCGGGCACGGTGGCTCACGCCTGTAATCCCAGCACTTTGGGAGGCCGAGGCAGGCGGATCACGAAGTCAGGAGATCGAGACCATCCTGGCTAACACAGTGAAACCCCGTCTCTACTAAAAATACAAAAAAATTAGCCGGGCGCGGTGGCGGGCGCCTGTAGTCCCAGCTACTCGGGAGGCTGAGGCAGGAGAATGGCGTGAACCCGGGAGGCGGAGCCTGCAGTGAGCCGAGATCGCGCCACTGCACTCCAGCCTGGGCGACAGAGCGAGACTCCGTCTCAAAAAAAAAAAAAAAAAGATCTACTATGAATCCATGTTGGCTTCCTAATTTTCACATATTATCAAGTGTTAATCAATTCAGTGTTTGACACTCAACAAAATGTTTTGAAAAACACAACTAGAAAATTAAGATTTGATTCAAAAGAGATTCTTATTACTG
Organism: Homo sapiens; assembly: GCF_000001405.40. Taxonomy (NCBI): domain Eukaryota; kingdom Metazoa; phylum Chordata; class Mammalia; order Primates; family Hominidae; genus Homo; species Homo sapiens. The sequence continues at coordinate 4,772,422 of NC_000002.12, read as the reverse complement.
GAGTTCCCTCATCAGATGGACCAAGTTTATTTTACCCATCAAGGTAAATGATTGCTTTAATAGAGGGATCCTCTTCAGACATTTAAAGAGAAATGCTACCACATGGAGATTTTAGTTATGTTTTTCTGCAGTTCTACTCAGGTAATGATGTTATAAACCCTCAAGTGCTTTCTGCCTTATGATAGGAATGAAGGAAGATCAAGCTAACATAGTCTCATCTGCAGACTCTTCTGTTAATTGAAGATGGGGACTTCCATTTTACTCCCAACAAGGAAATACTATTTTGAGGGTCAGTTATGTATGGTTTCACAAACAATTTGCCAAGCTTACTTTGATTAACGATGTTAATATTATCCACACAGGTTACTTAAAAACATTCTCGGTTATCTTGAAATTAGAGGAGACATAGCATGAGTGAAATTATCACAGACTTTGGGCCTGATGTGAAAACAAAGTTGAAATTAATTAATTGCTAATTGCAAAGATAAAAGATGCCAGGCATGGTGGCTCACATCTATAATCCAAGCACTTTGAGAGACCAAGGCGAGTAGATTGCTTGAGCTCAAGAGTTGAAGACCAGCTTGGGCAACATAGCAAGACCCCATCTCTACAAAGAAACAAAAATTAGCCAGGTGTGGTGGAGTGGGCCTGTAGTCTCAGCTACTTGGGAGACTGAGGTGGGAGGATCACCTGAGCCTGGGAGGTCCAGGCTGCAGGGAGCCCTAATTGCACCACTGTATTCCAGCCTGGGTGACAGAGCAAGACCTCCCAAAAAAAAGAAAGATAAAAAGTATTTATTTGCATATAACCTGCTGCTTTTTAGACATGGCTTCCTGCCTGTTTAGCAATATCATAATGAAATCCAATACTTCCACCAGATCTGGGATCTGATTAGATCAATCTGTAAAACAAAATTTAATCATTAAGTAATTTAAAGAGGTTATAATTTCTACCAGGCAAGTCTGGACAACAGTCTTAAGAAAGTATCCCTTGTGCCAACTGAAACTCAAAGCTCCTGAACTGTCGTTGTTGTGCCGGGCAGTAAGGAACACAGTGTAAGCCAGTTTTTCAGACATGAAATATACACTCCAGTTTGTGTTTGCAAAATTATAGTCCTAATTCTCATTTACTATTCTCTGGACTTTGTCAGAAAAATGCTAACGGTTTGATTTAAATTTACACCCACTCTTTTCGGGAAAGTATTGTTGAAGTACTCTTTCTATATCTGTTCCACAATTGTAACCTTTTCTATGAAATTAATGTATAACCAGCATGGGTGACTGTCTAAATAATTTGCAGGCCTTGTCTCAGATGAAATTGCAAGAAAAAGCTCTTTAATCTGGATGCTCACCAGTCAGTGATACCATTATTTTACATGCCAAACAAGTGACATATGAAGTGTGCTTCAGTGGGATCAGCTCCAGCCACCAATGTCCTCTCTGAGCACTAAGTGCCTCCAAGTCGGCCTCGCAGAAAGGGTGGAGGAGTGTCTGTGGGAGATTAGCAATCCCAGGACAGAGGACACACCACAGGTTTCAAAAGACATTTGTTAAATTCATTATTTGGGCTCATGCTTGTGATCCCAGCACTTTGGGAGGCCAAGGCAGGCAGATCATGAGGTAAATAAACTCTTTGCTAATTGCTGGTACAGACTCTTGGAAATTAACATTTACTGCTGTCTACATTGAGGGATACTTTGGTAACAATACTTTAAAAGCTTTGTAGGTGATTGAAAAAAGAATAATCTCATTGAATTGACAGTATAATAAAAAAAGTTTGTGTTTTTAACTTTATAATTTCCAGGTTGATTTCAGCAGGACCGCACCACAAGTCTTCTCATCTTGTTCTTACTTCATAAATTGAAAATTTACTTGGTTACTTCTCCACTTCTATTCCTAGTCTCACTGAAGAAAAGTTTACACCCTAGAATCCCTGACAATTGTCAAATTGTAATCAGAATCTTTAAATGCCATTTGTTTCAGAGAATGACTAAGGGAAGGAAATGAGCGCATTTTGGAAATCATTCCTACCGAGAAGTAGATGGACCTCAGGTCAAGTAATTCAGAACTTGGAGGGTTTTAAACAGAGGGTGGGCTCATAAAGAGTTAGTAGTTTTTAGAAAAAATGTGAGCCATTGTAAATAGGACATCAAAGTGAAGGTGCACAGGGGATTATGGGCAATTATTCTAAGAAACTGAACCCTGGGAGGCTGCTGAATTGGGGTATGAGAGGCAGTTAAGATTTTCTTACAATTCTTCACTATAAATGATCAGCCCCATCCTGAGCCCATATATAATTATATAGATATATTAATACTTTATAATTATATGACATAATTATATCATATGTAATATGATATTAAATATTAATCCTCATATTTACATATTGATATATAAATGCTTATTATATATAAGTATATAATACATTAATACTCAGCATATATAATATATAATGCTCAAGATGGTCCTATGCATTTATAATGAAGAATTGTAAGGAAAGCTTAACTGCCTCTCGTACCCCAATTCAGCAGCCTCCCAGGGTTTAGTTTCTTAGAATAATTGGCTATAATGCCCTGTGCACCTTCACTTAGATGTCCTGTTTACAATGGCTCAGAATTTTTCTAGAAGCTTCTAACTCTTTATAAGTATATACATTGTATAATCCCCAAATTTTGAAGAACTAGTGAAAAGGTGTTATCAAAAATATAATTTTACTAAACTCAAAAAGATAGAAATAAACAAAATATATTTCCCAACCATAATGACAGAAAATTAGAGATTAATAATGCAAAAAATATAAAAAACTCACAAATATTTGAACACCAAATAGCCAAGAAAGTCAAGCTGAAATCAAAAGGAAAATAAAAAAAACCTAGAAATAAATGAAAATAAAGACATGCCATACCAAAACCTATGAGTTGCAGCAAAAGCAGTGCTTAGAGGGAAATTTATAGCTGTAAAAGCTTATATTAAGAAAGAAGAAAACCCTCAAAGCAATACGTTAAAATTGCACCTTAAAACGCTGGAAAAAGGAGGATAAATTAATCCTAAAGAAAGCAGAAGAAAGCAAATAATAACAATAGATCAGACATCAATAAAACAGAAGATAGGAAAACGAGAGACAAATCAATGAAGCCAAAATCTGATTCTTTGAAAAGATTAACAATATTGGGAAATCTTTAGCTAGAATGATAAAAAGAAAGAGAGAGAGAGAGAGAAAGCAAAAGACAGAGAGAGAAGACTCCAACTGTAGAGTCAGCAAGGAATGAAGAGAGATTACCACTGACCTTACAGGAATGAAAAAAAAATAGAGGTGAATAGTATAGATAATTGTATGTCAAAATATTAGATACCTTATATTAAACTGACAAATTCCTAGAAAGGCACAAACTACCAAAATTGATTCAAGAAGAAGCAAACATATTGAATAGATCTGTCACAAATGAAGATATAAATTAGTAATGAAAAAAAAATCAGTAGAAAAGAAAAGTCCAGCTCCAGATGGCTTCATTGCTAAATTGTAACAAACATTTAAAATTTTAATACTAAACCTTTTTAAACTCTTCCAAAAAATAGAAGAGAAGGGTACACTTCCCAATGTCACAGTCTTCTGAAGACAATGGAAAACCAAATCTTCCTAAAGAGGCCTCAGGCCTCTTCAGGTCTTGCTACCTCTCCCCTTGAGATGGTATTATTTATGAATAAGATGAAATATAATTGATTAATTTTTTTTCAATAGTTTATGAGACATTCTTATACTAAAATACTATGCATTGTTTATCTGGAATTCAAATTTAACTGGGTACCTGGCATTTTTTCTGGCAACTGTATTTTGTAAACTAGTTATGGACTATGTGGGAAAGAGAAAGATACATTGTCCTGACTGTGGACAAGGAGACCTCAACAGAAACAGGCTGAAGACACACGGCTGCAAGGCCAGGAGCAGAGAAAGGAGAGAAGGGGCCCCGTGGAGGTGACTTGCATTCTCTAGTCAAAGGAACAGCCTTTTTGTACTGCAGAGGAATCGTGAAGAGGCCATCAAGTGATCCTGAGGGAAGGAGTCAATTATAACCAGAATCTGTATTCAAACTCTTTAACAACCAGTGCACCGTGTGCCCCAACCTGTCAGAGTAGAAGCTGGCTCCAGGGCCCTGGATGCACTCTGCTGTGCCAGACTTGACTGTTTACTTGCCTGATTGTGAGGACAAGACAGCTTGTGATTTTGAGAGAGGGCCAGAGGTGTGGGGAGCGGAGTGAGACCCTGTTGGCAGTGGGAAGGGAGGAGGTTGAGGCAGTGGATAGGAACAGTCTGGCCATATGGAATAGTTCCGTATCTTAACAACTGCTCCAGCTGCAAATAAGCCCTGAATTTAACCATTTCCTGGGCTCAGAGTGCACAAGGAATCCCAGGGAGGGAAGAACTGCCCTGTGGCATCACCTCTTTTCCCCATTACTTGCAACACAATGATGCTGAAACCTCAGAAATCCTCCAACAAATGAAGCAATGGAAAAGTGCTAGGAGGTAGAGCACTGAGCAAGGAGAAAGTATCAAATAGGATGACCACTCCCAGGTTCTTTCTTGGAGTTGTATAGATGAGGGAAGAGCAGAAGTTTTGACATGCAGCAGGTTTAGGAGTTTAGTTTGAATCCTGGCCTAAATATTCTATTTTCTGAAGTGAGGAAGAGTTTTTGATTAAAGTCTAGGAACATTTTTATTCAGAAAGCGCACACAAAAGTTTTAGCTCTTCTTGTATATTCATTGGCAAGATGGTATTAAAGGTGGAATAATTGCCTTTGTATATATGAAAAGAACCCATAATAATTTAATACTAGTAATATTATGTTTTTACTTGTATATTATGTGCTAAGTACAATCTTATTGTTAACCAAAACATGAGTTAGTTTAAGGTTCACGCTGTCTATTTTTTGGGTAAGGAATGTGGGTTCAATGGTTAAGAGGGTTCCCTCAAAACACACAGCTAATAAATAAAAGGGCCAGGCTCTGTCTTCATGGGGAAAGGCAGTTCCCAGACGACCCTAATGGATCCCAATGACCATGAATAGGATGCATCAAGGGAGGATATCTGGGTAATCTCAGCTAAAAAGTGCATTCTCACAACCTGTTTTTACATAGGAATAAGAATGACCTCTGGCCAAACATGGAGGACTGAGAGTGTAACACTGTTTCCTGACATAGGAGATTGTTCTGATCAAACAATGCAACATATATCTCTTTGAGATTCAAAACAATGCAACAATTGAGCAATTGTGCTGGGCTCTGATTATGTCCACACTTTGTTTATTGGTAAAATATGTAATACATTGACCTAAATACCATAATACGTGGTGTCCCGATTCCTCACCTGTACCTTGCTTGGATCCTTCTGGGAGAAGCACGCTCATGTATTGGTGTGTGGAGGTTTGAACCCTTGCGAGCTGAGCATTTTGAAGGCCAGCACTGGCTGATAGGAGAGAGATTAATATGAACAATGAAGCAACCATGTAGCAGGATGTTTGCAAATGCGTTGAGGAGCAAAAACATCAGAGGAAGAATGAGGGTGAAAGAAGAGATTCTATCAAGGCATGAAGTTTTCTCACAGTAAGGAGGGTCTGGGAAAACCAAACCAGCAAAATCTGGGAATTGCTGGGCGAGGTCTTTCAGCTTCAGTCTAGAAACAAGGATAACTGGGTATTCAAGCCTTCATAAGAACGGCTTACAATGAAGGCCAGGCAAGACACAATTCAGAAGAAACCTAAGAGGGAGAGAAGCTGCAGTGTGCAGCCGCTTACCTAATCACCCTGTTTTCAGTATATCTTCAAATACAATCTTAACGTAGTGCTACACATTTAACATTCATTCATTATGTCATGGTCATGAAGAATTTCTTAGGTTCTTAGATGGGAAGCTAAGAGCATATGCTGTAATCTCTGCTTAAAATTACTAGGGGAAAAACATCTCAGTTTCACACATACACATAAAAACTGGGATTGTTCCTTCTTAGTCTTTGCTCTGTTTGGGCTCATTTGATGAGTGCTGAAGGCCATCTCAATTCTAGAACCACAGCACGTGGGCTTGGCAGTCGATTTTATGACAGCATGCATCCACGCTGGAGCTACAGCAAGAACGCCGCGGCCAACAGTCTGCACGTGAAAATAATGATCGTAGCTGACTGTCCCCCGAGTGTGCTTCCCCTTCTGGGAGTTAAGGGACAGTCTGTTGAAAGTCAGCCTATATGTTCAAAGGTCATGATTCTATGACTTAGGCTCACATTTATCACAGGGATAAGATAAGACCCACTTTCTGTGAAAAGGTCAGCTTCAGCAAGAGCATCAGAATCATTGTGTCGGCTGGTCTCCGGTGACTTTATTATGTGCTGCACATTCTTTATAGCCTGCCTTTGAAACCACCTGTCTAGTGTACTTCCTGCTTGTGACAATAACTGTTCCACCGTCCCATCGACACCACTCTAATTAGGATTAAACTTCACCCGCTGAGATTACCTGACTCTTTGGCACATTGCCGTCTAGCAGGCAGCAGGGGCTGCATTGCCATTTTAATAAGGAAAGGGGAAAAAAATTCAAATGGCTAATTGCTAGCAGCGGAAGAAGGGTTAATGGAACATCTGCCATGTGAATAGAGTTAATTCAAATGCAAAAGGAAATATTAAGAAAATCCTGTGCTCTGATTGATGAAGTTACAGAATGGAAAGTGTCCAAATATAATGCTGCAGCCATCCTCCTTCAGAAATATTTTGGAAATAAAACAACCCTATTTCTTTTGTTTTTGTTTTTGAAACGGAGTCTCGCTCTGTCGCCCAGGCTGGAGTGCAGTGGTGCGATCTCAGCTCACTGCAACCTCTGCCTCCCAGATTCAAGCGATTCTCCTGCCTCAGCCTCCCGAGTAGCTGGGACTACAGGAGCCCACCACCACGCCCGGCTAATTTTTGTATTTTTAGTGGAGATGGGGTTTCACCATGTTAGCCAGGATGGCCTCAATCTCCTGACCTCATGATCTGCCCACTTCGGCCTCCCAAAGTGCTGGGATTACAGGCGTGAGCCACCGCACCTGGCCCAAAACAACCCTATTTTAATCTAGTCTTAAAAGAAAATAGCTTTTCCAGTGGGCTGTACTTTTGGAGTCAGGCTACTTTGTAGCATTGGATGAGAAAGTTTCAGAGAAATAGCAGAAATAATCAAATCTACAGTTTTTTAGACTACAGTCCTTTAATAGTGAAGATCTTTTTTTTTCTAGCAATTGATAGTGGAAATAAAGTTCATTTTCCATTTCGTTAATATACAGTATTGGCAGACACTGATGATGACCTTTTATTTCTTTAAAAATACTAAAACTAAAATTTCACTTGAAGTAAAAAATTAAAACATAAATCATTGGAACATCTCTATAATAAAACAAAAACAATTTTTTAAAAAATCCCTAAAACTGCTCAACTGCTAGTGTAACTATTAACCTCTCTACTGATGCTAACACAATATCGGCCCTCATTTGGGAAACCTCAGAATTCCAAATGTGAACAAGAGACTTTAATTTTTTTTTAATTTTACTTTAAGTTCTTGTATATGTGTGCTGAACGTTCAGGTTTGTTACATAGGTACACATGTGCCATGGTGGTTTGCTGCACCCATCAACCAGTCATTTAGGTTTTAAGCCCCACATGCATTAGATATTTATTCTAATGCTCTCCCTCCCCTTTCCCCCCACCCCCCAACTGCCCCTGGTGTGTGATGTTCCCCTCCCTGTGTCCATGTGTTCTCATTGTTCAGCTCCCACTTATGAGTGAGAACGTGGTGCTTGATTTTCTGTTCCTGTGTCAGTTTGCTGAGGACGATGGTTTCCAGCTTCATCCATGTCCTACTAAGCATGCTTTTAATTTAAACTAAAATAATAGCTTATTTTGCACATTCTATGTTCCAAATTTTATTAATTTCTTTATAAATTCAATTTTCAAGGTTTCATTCAAGTTGAAAAAAATGTACAAACTATGATCAAGTAGAAGAAATTGAAGTTTTTTCAGAAAATCGCCTACTTTATTCACTCTGTAGGCATACAGCTATCAGGAAATACACATACACTTAAAGACCACTCAAGTTAGAGACTCAAAGGGAAGAATCTTGTGATGTTGCTTTGTGTCATGTCAATGGAGAAAGAGCAGATAATTTTTTCAACTTTTGAGAGCTTGACTAGTCATACGAAATTATATCCAGAAAAATGTGATGCTTGTATGAAAAAATGTTTTTGTTAATGAATCAACTCATGAATAACTCCCTGGAATATGCCAATTCAATTCAGTATTTGTTCTTGCTTACTTGTCAGAGTATGTCCAAATTAAATGTACTCTTACACAAAGTTACACAGAAGATGAAAATAATTCCTTAGGCCAGACATTTTTCAGTTATTTTTTTCTTAAGAGTTTTTATATCTCTATTTACTCTATGTTTGTTAGTGAATATTCATATACATGTCAATCCTCCTGAATAACATCTTTTTATTTTACTACATATCACTCATAGATCTAAAATTTTTATTTAATTACTCTGTTACAGTTTTTGGAAGAGTCTAACCTGAAAGAAACTTTTCTCTAAGACGTCTATACTGAAAAGAACACACATTTAAAATAGCAACAACCAAACAATGAACTTGTGCTATATTTTGCTTAAGTATTAGAAATTAATTACTGACTTTACCTTTTTTAAAACTGTTAACCATCTTTTCCAGTCCTCTTTTCAAAAAAAAACAAAAAAAAAAGATGTATGGTGAAAGTCTAGAACTGAGCTTGTATTTAAGAAAAAAAGTGCGGAATAACAGAAATGTACTGATGCCAAAAGAGAATTTCAAATAACTAAATAGCAAATTAAAATCTAGTGGATTTCAGAAGAGATCTATAGAGTTGCAAAGAATAGCCATAAATAGGCTATTTTGCCATTCTTCGTTTATACAGGACAATATTGAAAACTGCATTTTAAATTTGAACATGCCATTCAAGTGTTCTTTAACTCTCTTATATCATTTTATTTTAAAATGCATATTTTAACTGAGACCAAGTTGGGGATTTGACATTTTATCACTAAGCCCAAAGCAAGAGTCTTTTGCTTGCTCACACTCCATTAGGGGGCGGTCTCCCCTCATGGGACTGCCTGTTAAGTAGCCCGAGTGAGACACAAAGCTCAGAATTCTGGTCTCTGCAATATATCGTCCATGAAACAATTCTTTTATCCTGTTCCCAGATCTCATTATGTTTCACTAGTTGAATAGAGATAAGTCTGGACAATGTTTAAGCTAGATATCGAGGTTGCTTCAGGAACTGCTTGAAGTACATACAGACACATCATTTGTCAGCAAGAGACACCTTTTCTCCTTGAGAAAAAAAGATGAGGGCAGATGAAATATGCTATAAACCAGCTGCACTTGATTAAGTTTTTGCTGGGTGTGTGTGTGTGTGTGGATAGAGAGAGAGGAGAGAGAGAGAAAAAAAAAGAAAGAAGAGAAAGATGAGTTTGCATGCTTGTCAATTTGATTTAAGTTCCTGACTATTTGTTGCCATTAACACACACACACACACACACACACACACACACACACACACACATCATTTCACAATGAGTTACATTGGAGTTTTCAGCTCTGCTATTCTGGCCAAATTCCAAATTAAGTAATTATATTTCCCCAGTTCTAATCCCTTTCCTCGTGTTCACTTAAGTTAAAATCACAGTCTTAACTCATGTCATGCAACTACCCACCTGTTCTTCATTAGACTGTAGCACTAATATACTAACATATTAATTCCAATTTAATATATCCATTGGTGCTTGTAGGAGAGACATGTTGGAGAAACTATATTTATATAAGTATAACCTCAAATGACATATGTTGACATTTTGATCTGTCTGGTTTAATGCTGTTTAAGGAATATGAACAATACCTGATCTTCAGATACTTTGACTTGTGATTGTATCAGAGATTGCTAGAAGCACTCACCAAAATTGAATATCTGTTCTTATTCCTGAACACACAGCTAGGCTACAGTTCTGAGCCTCCCTTGAAGTTAACTGTGCCCACGTGACTATACAATAGATAAAGGTAAACAAAAGTGGTGTATGGTGCTTCTGGACCCAGCTCCTAAGAACTCACCCTACATGCTTATCTACAATTTTATTCCTAAAAAGAATAGAAACTGTCTCATGGTGAACAGGGATGTCCTATCTTGTCCTATCTTGAAGACGCAGAGCTTTACTGCCCTGAGCCCTGCCAACCTGTCAGCTACTCACTGACCACTGATTGTTAAATCCCCAAATGCCTACCCACCCTCACAGGCAGGCCATCTCTGCCTCCATGCTCAGGTTTGCACTCAGAGCCAGCAGTCCCCCTCCTGGGTGGGCCCCTTTGAAGTGGGCTCTGCCCAGTCTCCATCTCTGAGCTCTCTCAAGGCCAAGGCCCATGGTGGCTGCAGTTCCCCACGTTTCACAAGAGGTTGACTTCAGAGGACAACCAGTCAACTGGGGACAGCTAGTTTCAAGGGACGAGATAGACACTGAGAATGTGCATGCTGGTTTGCCAGAAAAAATTTAGGGACACCACCCGCCCCCATCAGAACTATGGAATGAGGATTTGCATACGAGCTGCAGAGGCTTCCTGTGGGGATCAGGTGTGCTCTCCAGAACTCCTCCAGCCCACAGGAGCACACATTGTGTGGGTTGCCCTGTGGGTTCTGGGGTACATGTACAGAACATGCAGGTTTGTTACATAGGTATACACGTGCCATGGTGGTTTGCTGCACCCATCAACCCGTCATCTACATTAGGCATTTCTCCTAATGTTATCCCTCCCCAACTCCCCCTACCCTGCAACAGACCCCGGTGTTTGATGTTCCCCTCCCTCTGTCCATGTGTTCTCATTGTTCAACTTCCACTTTATCAGTGAGAACATGTGGTGTTTGGTTTTCTGTTCTTGTGGTAATTTGTTGAGAATGATGGTTTCCAGCTTCATCCATGTCCCTGCAAAGGACATGAACTCATCCTTTTTTATGGCTGCGTAGTATTCCATGGTGTATATGTGCCACATTTTCTTTATCCTGTCTATCATTGATGGGCATTTAAACACGTGATGCAAAATGCTGCTGAGTAGAACAACTGTTGGGTCACATTTACCACTCTGTTAGACTCTAAAGCTCATCAGAATATGAACTTGAGAGGAGTAAGCAGCTTTAAGCAACAGATTTCTTATCATAACCCTGAAGTTAGCCTTGAAGAGGGGCCTTGGCTGTGAAAAACCATGACCTCAATTTCTTCTCAGCCTTTCAGTCCTAATCATGGAGCTTAGTCATCAGGTGAGTGGCCTAGAGAAGAACCTTTAGAAAGGGGTGGGAAAGGCTCATCCATGGCTAACCCCTCTGCCAAGAAGAGCGAAGACCTCAATAGCTATCAACAGAACCTGGCTGTGTAGACTGCATGTGCCACAGAGCCCTGCAGGGTCCTAATAATCAGTAGAGTAACAAAAATAGGTTTACAATCGTAAATGAACTCTGTAAACAGCAGAGAGCCTCTGGACCCAATGAAAGGCATTCTTGTGAGAAAAATTGATTATTTGCCTCCTCTCCATGGTATTTCACCTCTGGATGTTGATTTCCTCATGTCTCTAATTGTATCAAAAGTGTCTCACCCTGAACATATCCAAAATTGAGCTCAGTATTTCCCCACCAAACAATATATTCTTCCACAGTTTTTTTTTTTTATCAGCTGTTAAAGTGAGAAATACCAGCATTAGATGTGATTTTTTTCTTCTTCCTAACTGTTCATTTCAAATCATTTATCAGGTCCTGAATTTCTCTCAAGATGATCCATTGTTTAGTTTTCTCCAAAATAGCATCTCTAATCTGGCCTGTCATCGCCTCTTACCCAAACTATTGTAGTAGCTTCTGAGGCAGTCTCAAAACATCTCCTTTGCTTCCCTTTCCTTTAACCTACTTACTACGCATCAGTCATAATGAGGTTTTAAAATGTCCACCCATAGAAGACTATATAAAAATTTTCTATAACATAGCACTGAAAAAAATGGATTATACCTGCATGCAGTAGCATGGATGAATCTCACAGATATAATGATAAGCAAAAGAAGACCCCCAAGAAACTCAAATCAATCTATGACAGTGGAGGTAGAAAGGGTGATTACCTTTCGAGGCATATGACTTAGCGGGGGCATAAGGAAACTTTCTATGGTTGCTGGAATGGTCTGTAATTTCATGTGGGTAATGGTTTACATGGATGTGCATATTTATGAAGTTTAGTGAGCTGTGCCAATAAAATCTGTGCATATTATTTTATGTAATCTATACTTCAACATAAAAGTTATAATTCCGTATACAAATGAAGCAAAATAAAAGAATAAAATAATACCAACTAAATGTCACCATGCTTAACATCTTTAAGAGGCTTCTCATTGCTCTAGAGTAGAGGCAAATATCCCTACTGGCTTGCTAGGCCTTTGGCTTCTGCTCCCATAATTTGTTTAAAGCCTCACCTCTTGATATCTTAGAAATGCCGCGTGTCCTGTAGCTCCTCTCACAATATTATCCTCCAAATCTATGAAAGAACAAGGACTAGGATGAGTCTTACTCAAATTATACCCTAAGTTCCCATGCATGATGAGAACTATGGCTACATGGAACTTAACTGAACCTTGGCAGAGAAGGCAGATTCTGCAAACTGGCTGATACAGTTCCAATATAAAGTTAAAGTGAAGGAAGAAAAAAGAAAATATGGAGTTATGCAGAAGTTGAAGCTAATTATTTATACAGAAAGGCAATATGGAACGTCCATAGCTGATACTCAACATGAATAAAAATGGCATATTTCTATCATTGGAAAAGGATGAAAAGTTCAAAGGAAGCTAATCAGTAAGGTTATTTCAGTCAGTGAACAGTGGTTGAGTCGTATTTGCATTTTCCATCAGATAGTTCACTATTCTTGCCACACTCCACAACTTACTGAAATAATGATTGCCTGGTAGCAACAATGAAGTATGTGAATGAAGGACATTGTATTGTAAAGCGGCCACCTACTGAAGTAACGTTCTATTTTCTTGATAGAGCAAAACAAAAAGCTGTATATTTTATATCACAGCATGCAACTTTCCACATAATAGAGTGAGTGTAAGGTATGAATGATACTGTGTTGATATTCCTATCAATATTTTATAACTACTCTTACTTTACAAAATTGACAACATTATATTCACTGCACAACAAGAGGGAAAAGGAAAGTAAAGTTAGGTGGATAAATATTGAAATATTGAGTATTCATACCATATGCTGAAAATGTTTGCAGTGAGCAGCAAATAATATTCAATTCACATGTCATGACTGCACAATTAATTTCCAAGCTTCATTGGAAAACTACCCTACATTGACTTTCAATATGGTTCAGCTGATGTTCTTTGTTTTTGTCAGGTACTCAACAAACCATTGATGCTGGGTTTGAAAATGTTTGCCTTGAAAGAGGCAAGAAAGATAATATCATTTATTTATTTTATATAATTTATGCATATTATTATCTATTATACTTATAAAAATTGTTGTTATTATTTATAACAACCCTGTGTGCTGGGCTTCATAGGTGCAACTGTACAGGTTTGAAAGTTGAGTCTCCTGGTGTATACACAACAGGATGCAGGCAATGTCACCCACACTGTCCACGCTAAGATTGGAACATAAATTATTCTCAATACAAAGACAGTCTTACATTGTGGCTGGAATAATGTGTCCCATTGATATGGTTTGGCTGTGTCCCCACCCAAATCTCACCTTGAATTGTAGCTCCCATAATTCCCTTGTATTGTGGGAGGGACCTGGTGGGAGATAATTGAATCATGGTGGTGGTTTCCCCCATACTGTTCTCGTGTTAGTGAATAAGTCTCACAAGATATGATGGTTTTATAAAGGGTTTTCCCTTTCACTTGACTCTCATTCTCTCTTGTCTGCCACCATGTAAGATGTGCCTTTCACCCTCTGCCATGATTGTGAGGCCGCCCCTGTCATGTGGAACAGTGAGTTCATTAAGCCTCTTTTCCTTGTAAATTACCTAGTCTTGGATATGTTTTTATCAGCGTTGTGAGAACAGACTAATTCGCCCTTCTTCACTGTCAATGTACTACTGCTGTCAGGTCACCACGTGGGCTGTATTGTTTTGTGATGAAGATCATCCACTGGAATCCAAACAAGAAGGACCACTGTAGACATTCCATCGAGTGGAGCATGTGCATGGGGAGTTAGCTTGAGGAGAAAGAGTGACAGCATGATGCTTATGGGAAAAACCCAACAAACAAAAGCAACCTATGCCTGGAAAGCAGAGACCTGGTTCTAGTCCTAATGTCTAACCAGCTCTGCAATCTAGCACATCAGCCTTAAACTTGTGATCATAAAACTGAGACAAACAGGTCAATTTTTCTAGATTCACTTTTAGCTTTCCAATTCTTCAAGTTTATATCAACAATCTAAAGGATCAGATTTTAAGAATGATTTTAAAATTTAGGAGACCACAGCCTGAATCCTGACTCAGCTATGTATTAGCTATGACACTTTGGACAGGTTGCACTAACTTTTAAGCATCAATTTGCTCACCTAGAAAGTTAAAAACAAGTGTTGTATGGATATACTGAAAGGACTGGAGATAGTACGGACAGGCTGCTGAGCCAAGTGTCTACTGTTAGAAGACAAACAACATTGGGGTGGTTGTTATTAATTTCTTATTTAATTCAATTATTTATCTAAAAAGCTAATTCTCCAATTCCTATGTATTCTTATCTATGCAGGGACTTAACATTCACTAAACAGCTGGATTTTTACTTATCCTTTCAGCTACTTAACAATCCTAAGCAGAACTGTCCTTTTGCGTTATAAAAAATCAACTTTTTACTCCTAATTACACAGTATTAGCTGTATCTCTCCAAGACATCAAAGTTTTTTGGGCTTAAGAAGTCCTCCGTTGATAATGCAAGTAGCCCAGAGATTGGGCACCCTCAATTTCTTAATTTCTAGGCTGTGCATCTGATGAGAGGAAACAAAGTTTTGGAGAAGTGGGAGGAGTGAGAACGTCAGAGGAAGAGGGAAGAAGGTTGGAGTTCTGTAGCTTCTCTCATCTGTAAGAGAGTTCTCTTTCATACTGCCTCTCATAACTCTGTGTACTCATTACCCGGAAACAGGTGAAATGAGCATCAGCTTTGCAGATTTGGGTCAGGACTTCAAGTTGTGATTGTGCCAGGAAGCTATTCCTTGACCTTGGTGATAACCCTTAACTTCTAGGACACAGTTTTTTCTGGTAAGGTCGATGTCATCTCTGATCTACTTATCTAAAAAGCTTCAGATGGGGGAGCAATTGGGAATGTTTTTCAAATAGAAATCCTTATGCAATGGGGAGTTATGATTTTTAGTATTTTTACACATATTCTATACTTTTTGCTAACTTCCTGCATTAATCAGTTTCTTAAAATAGTTATACTTCTTTTATAGGCCATAAGATTATATTTTATAGTCCATCGAGTTAGATGTACTTCTTATGTAAAATTAATAGGAGTATGTGGAAATGCAAATTTATGTAAATATCATGCAAATAGAAACTCAATGCATTGTGTTGAGCTCTCTATAGAATACAAAAAAACAGGCATGGATCCTTTTACAGAGTCAAACATAAGCTTGAACATACAAATTTTATGGCATAATTAATCATATGCAATATTATAACAGTGGTAAGCCAAATTTTCAGTAAATAAAAATGAATTATGAGGCACGTACACTTTTAATTTGATGCATTGTATTAGGGTTTATGAAGCATGGGTTTACTCTAGCAGTTGCTGGGAAGCAGGGCATGATTCTCTTGTTTCCTCTTAGGAGGTGTTGGAATTAGGACACAGAGTGGGGCATCATGAGTGATAGAACTAGACTATAAAGGGGTCCCAAGTAAGAGTAGGACTCTTTAGGGTAAGGGCTATAAGTTGTTCTTATTTTTATTTATTTATATTTTGCAGAATTGTGGTCTATTACATTGTCTGGGTCATAATAGGTCTTCCATTAACACTTGCTGATATTTAGTATTCTGTAATAAATCACTCGGAACATATTTATTTAGTAAAGGTTTAATGATTACTTAATATGCACAAAATTGGACGCTAAGTACAAAGGAAAGATCTTAGCTCTGAGGAAGTACTTGGATAACAAGGAATATAAGACAAGAACTAAATTCATTAGAATTCATGGCAGAAGACCAGAATAGGTAAAAGAAGGCTCTGGGCAGGGGACAGGGTTGGATTGGGGTATTGAAAGACAAACAGAATTTATCAGTTTGATACATGTTTAGAATTCTGTTAGAACCTCTTTTCTGAAAGAATTATTTTTCAGACTAATTTGATTATTATTATGAAATTTCTACAGATTTGGCTTTCTCTTTAGAAATACTTTTCATTATTCTCAAACATATTCCCATTGTCTTTTCTAGGTGATCTTTAAGTACTGTATTTATTAGACAAATAGTTTTAAATACCTACTATATATCAGGCATTAGGTACCAGGCATTTCAAATAACAGCATTCATAAGGTAGAGAAATTGCTGGCCGTCTTGGAGTATTTCACTTAGTAGGAAAGAAAGGTATTGAGTAATTGAATAGACAATGATAGTCATTGTGACAAACGCTATGAAGGGTAATTGTAAGATCCTGGAATGGTCATATTCACTGCATGACCAAACAATAATTAGGAGACGATCAAATAAGGTAAAAAGTGGGATGCTCAGGTATATCAGGAAGAGGACAGTGTGGCTAGAGAATACTAATCAAGGGATAGGATGCCCAGAGCTGTGGACAGGTACCAGCTCATAATGATGTTTTGGAGACCTGGTTACCCTGAGCACTAGGAGTGTTTCGAAAATTTTAATCAAATATAGAGCATGATTACTTTTACTTTTTTCAAAATGGAATTCCTATGAATTCTGTGATTAAAAAAAAAAGAACTAGGAGGAGGCAAGAGTGACTGTAAAGAGAACGTTTGGAATATTTTGGAGTATGGTGAGAAAGAAATAATGGTAATTTAAACTAAAGTGGTGGCAATAAAGGTTGATGTAAGTGGACATACGTGAATAAAACTTAGGTAGAATTGCCTGGATTTGGTGGCTGTCCCAATGTATCAACAGAGAGGAAAATATAGAAGATAATTTGTGATATTTTGTCATAAACCGTTAGGTGAATAACAAGTCCTTTGTTGAGAAGAACACTAGATAGAAGAGGCACATATTTTTTGGTACGTTAAATTTAGATTGCAGTTTGTCCAACTAATGATAACACAGATAACAAGAGATAATCTTTCTTTCTCTTTCTGTCACAAATTTGATAGTCATGGACTTCTTAGTGATGGGAAAGGCAGTGGAGAAGAGGGTTTCCCTTGGGATATAGTGCAGAGAAAGTCGTGGGCACGGGACAGAGCACTGGTGAACATGGAAGGTCAGGCAGGGCAAAGGATGCCCGTGAAATAAGGATTAAAATAAATATAGGAAAAGAAGACATTAAATCCAGGAGATGCCCAGAAAATAGAAATGAAACAAAATATATAGGGAAATTCAAGAAGAAGGCAGAGGTCCACATGTGGAATGTAACCGAAGTAGGGTAGTTGATAACTTAGCTGTCTCCTAACTCAGTCTTCTCAGTTTCTCCCTCCCCTGCCCAAACTGGAAGAAAAGAAAGGGGGAAATGAACACATTGTCAAAAAAGCGAGCAGACCCGAGCACTGTGACGGACTAGATGGACGACACTGGGCTGATGCCTAGTCCTCACGTCTGTCATTGTATACTAAGGATAAAACATACTCCCTTAGAACATTCGGCTTCAGTGCGCTAATGTGTACTAAGTTCACGGCACAATGGAAGTAGGCAAAAGACCCTGTGATCCCAGACTCTAAGCTCTCCCTCTTGGCTCGACCCTTCCCCCCTCAACCCCCACAAATACATACAGCCTTGGCTTCTGTTTCCTTTTTTCCATCTCAAGAGAACGTTTAAAACATCCTGGAATATACATGGAATACATAGGTCTTAATGATGCTTCATTCCTCATGGACACACGCAGACAAATGCATTCAGATACAAAATCATAAAAGGCTACAATTAAAAAATAGAGACATTTTACAAGCTCAGAAGCAAGTGCTGTCAGTTCGTGCTATAGAATTCTAAGCTGAAAACCAAAGAATGAAAAAATAAACACATATAACCACTGCATTTGTAAGTTTTATATTTATTACTGAGTTCAAAGAACTCAAAACAAGAAGAGATTATTAGAAAATAACAAACACTACATAAAAAGGAACTGAAAGTATGTGCTGTTTTTGTCTAAACAAACATTAAAAATCAAACTAAACAGTCAGCCCACAAGTGAAGAAAAACAAAAACCAAAAGTAAAAAGTAGCTGTGCTGGTCCTTCATGCTGACCACCACATATCTCTCGGTCTCCTCCCAGGTATGTGAGAGAGGCACTCTGTAGCCTTCAGAATTGGGTGTGGCCACATGACTTTTGCTATACAAGTGATGTATGTCACTGCACATTTGAAGCTCTAAGGACCAGGGTGTCATCAATCATGCTGTCTTTATAACAGAGCTATGGAGACGCCAGTATTCCAGGCTGTATTTCCAGAGTAAAGACCACTCAGCGAGGCGCTCCTGCCAACCTGCCATGCATACAAGAAAGGAGAGAGAAATAGAATGTTGATGCTTTAGGCACTGAGATTTTGCAATTGCTTGTTGCAAGACAGTTCTCCCGATGGTCTTGGACTAACCCAGATATCCACACTTTCTTACTAGTAATTCTTAAGAACCACTGTAGAATGTGCTTGGGATGGAATATCCTGAGATAGGGCCCACCTGCGCTCCGTTTCTGTCTCCCCTGGAAGCAGGATGTCCTTAAAGCTTTGTGCAGTGGGTTGCACAGTCCCTGGGGTACATCCAGCGAAGGCTGTCTTCCAGGGTCCCTCAGCTGGAATGCAAGTGGCATATGCCCAGGTGAGGCTCTGTCCACCCTGAGTCCTGGGGGATGAGCTTGCATTGAGTCCTACCTGGGCTTGAGTTGTCTCTTGCTGCCTGTCTGTAAGGAATACATCTGCTTTAGGTAACTCCTTGTATCTGAGTGCGTTCCGTCTCAACAGACTCAGACAAATTGGTAACCAGTGCACAGGGAACCTGCTTCACATATGTTACCTCAGAACACCTGTCCTGGCAGACATGCCTAGGAAATAAATTCAAATTAAGAAAAACATCAAAAACAACAGTGAAAATTAACAAAGTGGAATGGCTCATGCCACACAAAAGATCAATTTGAGACAGTGACAAATTTTCTACTTATTAAATAAAAATAATTGGGAAAACACACAGATAAGGGAGTTTGACAAGTAACAGGATAAAAATCACAATTCTAGAGGAAACACATTTTTAAGAAAATTTCATAAATGTTATGTGCCATATAAATTTTATGTTAATATATTTGAAAGTGCCCTGAAAATATTTTTACTAGGAGAACGTAAATAATCATAAAGATAAAGAAGAATTCTACAATAAAAAAGGTCTGGTCCATATATTTCAGGAGTTTTCTACATTCTTCAAAGAATTTTGAGTTTCAAAGCATAAGAAAAGATCAATAATCTTAAGAAGACTATTATGGACAGGATGTTTATGCCCCTCCACAAGCCCCAAATTCATAAGTTGCATCCCTAACTCCCAGTGTGATGATATATGGAGGTAAGTTCTTCGGGAAGTATCAGGTCATGAGAGCAGAGCCTTCATGATGGGGTTCATTCCCTAAGAGCCTTGAGAGAGCCTGCTTCCTCTGTCTGTCTCTCTCTGTCATGGGACAGCATTGTGAGCAGGCCTCATCTGCAAGCCAGGAAGGAACCCTCACCAAGAACCAAATCTGCCGACAGCCTGATCTCAGACTTCCAGCCTCCAGAACTGTGAAAAATAAATGTCCTTGCCACTTAGTCTATGGTAATTTGTTAAAACAGGCAGAGCTGACAGAGACTTATATAACCTTTATATCTATACCTGCATGGATGCAAATACACACACACACACACACACACACATACACACAATTTCAAGATTACAAAGATGCCCCAATACTACAAAGATATTGTTGCATATTTCCCAATTATTGTGCATAATCCATCTAAGTAATAGAAGAGGAAATCCATCTTTTTGAGTGGTATTAAATTAATTTTAAAATATAAAATATTTTCCTGATTAAAGGAGATGTCAGTAAACTTGACATGCAGGAGAGATATCTTACTATGAAAAATGGAATATATCCCAAACTGGTTTCAAGTATGCTAATTAATGTGAGACACAAAGGAATTCCTATTAAAATCATCCACAATCAGGCACACGATCACCATTTAATTCAACATTGCTCCTCAAGTTCCAGCCAATGCGCCAGGCAAGAAATATCGGTATGTAGTAAAACATGGCAAGAGTACCATTGTACTCAAAAGTTGTGATCATCTAAAAGTTTAATAGTATGAGAGGAAGAATTGTTCAAATTTTTAAAAATAATTAAATTCTATTTTGTAAAGAATACACTTATACTTTGTGGGGCAGGAATTCACATACAGTTTGCAATCATTGAATAAAAGCTACTACAAGCAATGGAAAAAGAGAACATGCATTAATTCTATTCCAACAAAAAATAGTAAAAATATTACTTTAAAACTATTATAACTTTGACAGTTTGTGCTGTCACAAAGAGTAAGCTCTTCAAAAGGGCTCAGTCCTAGTTCTAGAAACACGTCCATGTTAATTTATCTCCATGATTATTTTGTTTAAGACAAAGATATGTCGGAAAATTGCATTGTCTTTTATTGAAGTATTTGTATGAGTTACTCTCTTTTTCCACACATGGCTAGCCAAAGGTGTTTTCAAACTCTGCAGGAAATAAAAACAAAGTCCTTTGCTATTTTAAAACATGTCATTACCAGCCTGCCTGACACACAGCATTTTTTCACTGCAGGCGCTGAGCAATAATCCCCTCACCTCTACCACTGCCTCCTTCTTTCAACTTTTGAGTTGGAGAAATAATCTCAGATGTCATAGCAAAACTCAACACTACTTATTTCCTTTCTATCACCGAAGCAAAGTATGAGTTTGTGCCTTGTTAGAGAATTCTAACGTAAAAAAAAAAATATTTTTCACCTCTGAAACCCTGATCACGTTCGTTATTGGCAAGTTGATGGGTTAGTTGTTCAGATCACAAATATTCCTCTCAAGTGGATCTACTGGAGAAACTCGCTATGAGACTAGGATCAAAAACAGCTGCGCTTTTGAGAAACTTGTTTGCTCCACTCTTATGAAGAGTTAATTAATGTAATTGTCATATTTTGTCTTTCCTTTGGCTGCTAGGGAACTTTATGTAGTACAAAATTCTGCGCTAAGTATTTTTCTGTGCTGGATTAACACTAGCTGCAAGCTATTCTACCTTCTTATGTTCTTTCACCCTTAATTCCACCTCTATTTTAAATTCTCTTTTATTGATGTTCTCAATGTATGATACCCTAGTATTTTTACAGTGAAGTAAGCAATATACATAAGCAATATACATGTACAAATATTGCTTACATTTCACAATTTTCATTGCATATAATATTTCATATTCTCCCTGCTTACTTCCCTCCCATTCTCAACAATTTGTATTTATCTCTTGCTTGTATGTCTATTATTCTTCAAGTCAGAATACTTTTTGATGAAAAGAATAAGCCTTAACTAAGCTGTAAACAGGTTCCATTCTTGAAAGATAAGATAGTGATTACTTTTCCTGTTATGGATCAGGGATTTTTTGCTTGCTATTATTTTTTATTGATAGCTCAGTCACGTACATAAAGAAAGGGAAAGAGGAGAAATTTCATAAGGGACAAAGGCAGGCAGGTCCTTGGGGACACCCAAGTACCAGTAAGATCTTGTGAGCTCCTAATTGCTTTAAATACCACTCTTGAAAGTGGTGCAGGGACGGTGAGTCCGTACACTGTGTCTGTGCAGGGTCTTATTATCTGAATCAATATCAATGCTTTAAAAATTGGCAAGAACATGAAGACCTTGAAGCTTCTCTTGTTGCAAGGAAACCAAAATGGAATATTAAATATTTAAAAAGTAGGTCAGACTTAATAAATGCATTTTCAAGTAATCCAGCCTTTAAATTAAGCCACAGTGTAGGATAGATGGATTTGAAATGATGTGCCAGCAGCAACGCCAGTCCTTGCTGGTGCTCCTATTATGTCAAAATTCTATTTACACAGAAATAGCTTAATGCAAATTTACATCCAAAAAACGACAATAAGGATCTAGAAAATAAAACGCCTAATTCTCAGTTGAAACAAATGTTCAGGGAGGGTGGGGATTATGCCAAGACCTGGTGTCATGAAGTCTGGGAAACACAGTTACAGAGAAATGAGGTTGTAACAAACACACACACACAGACACACACGGCCACTGGAGATGTCAAAATTCACATCTTGCTTCCACCACAAAATGACAGGATTTTCCCCACTGTGTTGAGAATGATGTTTCCTAGTTGCTGCTAACAGGCTCTGGGAATGGGGTAGTTTTAATGAAATCCATTCTGGCTTCTGCAGTCCTTCAGTACACTGAGTAAGTGAATGCATCTCATAACCTTTTCTCTGTCACAGTTACTGGGGCAGTGTTGCTGGCACTGTTCTATGAAGATCATCTTCCTGGGGAAGTTGGGAGGCCCAGAACTGTCAGTCTCTGTCTCTATTTGAGGCAGAGACCAGAGGACTTCGCTTTGACTTGTCTCCTGAATAGAGCAGTAATGATCAAAGCACAAATCCACCCTCTATTAAAAATCTATCAATCAATGCCAGTGTTTTGCATTAGGACTGCTTTGCCGTGTGGACAGCCCAGATTGATACCCAACTATGTTCAATTGTTTTAACCTAGATTCATGCAAGTGCCCACAAAAAACCCCAGATTCATCCAATGAGAAACAGTTCTAGAAATCAACTAACGTAGGTGTGCTCAATCTTGAGTGCACATTAGAATGACCTGGGAAGCTTATTCTAATCATTGTTTAGAACTAAACACAGTGAGGCCCTAACCCGGAGCAGGAGAATCTGAATCTTTGCGGCTGGGAGCAAGGCATCCTTAAACTAGATTGAGAACACTTTAAATCGTAGCCCTGCCTGATATATGGACCCAGAATTGGATGCCCTTTGTAAGAGCTGGGAGCTGGTCTGCTCTCCAAGAGTTGTAACACCTTGTAACTTACCACTGCAACCATCTAATTCAATTTCGGAAAACTGTCCTTTTTTCTAAAGTAATTCTTTACATTAAAAGAATGTTTTCTAACATTCACCCTTTGAAATCCTAGAGAACACATTTTATCTTCTCTATATTTGAAGACCATTCTCATTACTATGGTCTCATGTTTCTTCCTGCAGCCATCTTAATTTTCTCTTTCTGGATCTAGACTACGTCTACACATGCACAAACAAATGCTTCCTAGTCATCAGTTTAAGTAAACATATAAAACAGGAAACATCCCCTTGAATATGAAGGTTAAATGTCATCATTGCCTTTGAAGCTACGTCTTAGAAGGGTAGTGGATACAAGAGAAAAGTCTTAGAAAAACCCTCAAAAGTACTAAAGTCAAACTTCCACAGAGGTGCTCCTGTGGAGCATTGCTTGAACTTAAATTTTCACATTGTGTGAGCTAGCCATTTGTATGTTGTGGCCCTGAACCAAAATAAATTTGTTTATCCTGCAAGTTAATTATCCTTGTCCCTCACAAACTCTTGTAAACTATTGATGCATTTGGAAAACACCAAGATTGGGAATGTATTAAAAGCTCTAATGTCCACAATGTTCAGACTTCTCTGCATCCACTGATCTTCTCCTCTGTATTGTAACATTTGACTTAAAAACATTATAGACATTTTTTAAATAGCTTCACCTTGGGGAAATTGTAATAAAATATACATTGAGGAAAACAGCTCTTAATTTTAATTCCAATACGTCTTTCTTTAACTGTGTAATGACAGGAACATTACATGATTTGAAGACAAAAATGAATTATGTTTAGTGTTTAATAACATACCGAGTGCTCAAATCAGCTTATGTAATCCTAAAAGCGTCTCTATAAATAGGCATTATTGTTGTTACCATTTTACAGATGTGAATATAAAGTTTTAGCAAGGACAAAAATTTAAGCAATCTAATAAATTGTGGATCAGTGGTTGGCTGTAATTATTTTGATTCCAAATAAATTAGTCTTTCCATATTTTTCCATATTTTCCCATAAGCTAAAAGAAAAAAAAAAAAAGGCCAGGCGTGGTGGCTCAGGCCTGTAATCCCAGCACTTTGGGAGGCCGAGGCGGGTGGATCACCTGGGGTCAGAGTTCGAGACCAGCCTGACCAACACGGTGAAACCCTGTGTCTACAAAAATTACAAAAATTAGCTGGGCATGGTGGAGGGCACCTGTAATCCCAGCTACTTGGGAGGCTGGGGCAGGAGAATCATTGCTTGGACCTGGGAAGCAGAGATTGCAGTGAACCAAGATCGTGCCATTTCAGCCCGGGTAACAAGAGCAAAACTCCATCTAAAAAAAAAGAAAAGAAAAACATTTCTATTTTTTTTTCTTTTTTTTTTTTGAGATGGAGTCTCGCTCTGTCACCTAGGTTGCAGTGCAGTGGCATGATCTTGGCTCACTGCAACCTCTGCCTCCCAAGTTCAAGTTATTCTCCTGCCTCAGGCTCCCGAGTAGCTGGGACTACAGGCATGCACCGCCACGCCTGGCTAATTTTTGTATGTTTTAGTGAAGACAGGGATTCACCATATTGGCCAGGCTGGCCTTGAACTCCTGACCTCGAGTGATCCACTCTCCTTGGCCTCCCAAAGTGCTGGGATTACAGGCATGAGCCACAGCACCCAGCCAAAGAAAAACATTTCTAATGGGAAAGGTATTATTCTCTCCTCCCCAATCTCAATTCCCTCTTACATATTCATCCTAAAAAATGAGAAAAATAGAGAACTAACTACTAAATCACCATGGTGGGAGTAAAAAAGAATATTTACATAAAATATGTCATAACTTCTTAGAAACTGGACCAACAATACCCCCTTAGTAGATTTTGCTTTCTATCAATACATACCCATCTAATTTCCTACACCAGATCACTGATATATACCACTGACTTATAGAAAAAGAGTAGAATTATTTTCATTAGTAAATCATGTATTTGTGCGTGTTCTTTGCTACCCAGAATCTCAAATTTGATTGCAGAGAAACAGATGCTCTGCAAGGTCATGGGAGTGAAGGTCTTCCATGAACAGCTTCTGGGAGGAGGCAGGCGGCTCCACCCCAGCCTTCCACACCTACCTCTCTGACCAACACTTAATTTCTCATACTTCAGATTAGACATTCCTCTGCCCTAACACCTTCAAACCATAATGAGCTTTTCAATATCTTTGATTAGATGCAAAGTCCCAGAACACCAGAGGCCTACCCTGCTCACCTGTGCCCACCTGTGTAGCCAGTATCCCAGCACTGTGACTTCCACGCTGTTGGGACCCTTAGCCTTCCAGGAAGTGAATAAATGAATTCAGACACAAACTGGGGCTTGTTATAGGGCAAGAGAACTAGTGTCTGGGTAAAAACTCCTTTTAATATTCCATTATTTGAAGGCAAGGTTCATATCTCGGTGAGTGGATGAACAGGGATTCAGTGAAGAAGTCACAGACCAAGCGACAAGCATGCTTTCTGAACTTGCAAGTGATTCTGGTAACTCCCAGCCAGAAATGAAACAGCCACATTCATAACGAGATAGCCACATTCACAAGGAGATAGTCACCTTCCTTCTTTCGTTCACTCATCCAATGGCTGTGGAACACTCTCACGTGCAGGCGTTCTTTCACTGGGAATACCATAGGGAATTCGAACATGACGTCCACCTCGTACACATCATATCTTAGTGTTTATGTTCCCACCCCAAACAAGCATTGACAGACTCCTTTCTAGAATGGAAATAAAGGTCATTGTTCTTCTCATAACTCCAAACACTATCAGGTAGCAGGACTTTGGGACAAGGGTGTTTGCCTACCTTAAATATGAAAACAAACAAGTCAACACAATATTTTGATTTTTGAGAAAAAATATATCTATTGAAAAAGATATTTTTCAAAACAGAGTAAATGAAAATTAAAAATAAAAATAAATTTTAAAAAGGGTGACATTCGAACCTAACATAATCGCTTATAGCACAACAAAGAATTCATGGCTTGCGTGAGTCCATGGTGAGAAGATGGCTGAGCTCCCTTGCCCCGAGGGGAGAGGGGAGAGGTCCTCAGAGGCACCCAGTTACTACCACAGTTTATTTCATCCCAGTGATATTGTCCTGAGAACATGCAGTGTGGAGAGGTGAGCACCAGGGGCCCCTGTGTGTGTATAGGTATGCAGGTGGGTGGGGTGACGGCAGCTGGCATGTTCCTGAAGTCACAGGCTGTCCTTGCCAGGACCATGAGCAGGAGCCCAGGACAGCAGCAGCTCTGACATTGCAGGCGCGGCAGGGTGAGGTGTCACGCGGAGCTCTGAGACCATGGCTGTCACTCAAGGAATCATTAGCACTGAAAGGAAGGCGGTGAAGCTTGTTGTGTTGTCATCACACTGCGAGAAGGTTGGCTGCCGACCAAATTAGCTTGCTTAGGGAGTGTGAATCAAAATGACATGTAATCTGAATGGTAATGAAAATTTTCTCTTGCTTCAGGCTTCAAGTTTCATCCAGAAAGCCGTCATCTGGAAGACATTATCTTCTCTCTCTCTTGCTCTCTCTCACTCTCTCTCTCATTTTGGCTTAAATTTTCAAGTTTACATACAATGTAAAAATAATTTTTAACCAACAGTGCTTGGACAACTGATGTTTAGTGAATTATATGGCTGAGTCAATGGTGGGAGACTTTCCCTGGGGAAGAAAAAGATTTCATGATAGCGATATAGTTGTTTCTTAGATTTGTCTATGAAATATGAAAGCTCTAATCCCAAGCGAAAATACTGAAACCAAAAAAGATCCAGTCACACACTGTTAGCAAGAATACACATTATAAAACAAAGTGAATAACATCAAATGGGATGAGCAGTTCCAGTTTTGAATGGGCTGCCATATGTAACCACTTACCACCCTATTTACTTACTACAAAGACCTGTTACATTGTGTAACGTCAAGCCTAGTTGTTTTGCTATAAAATGTTTTAAGATTTGTGTTTAAAAGGTTGTGAAATCAGTTAACCAGAGTTATGCAGATACAGAAAAAGGCATATAATATAATTCATGCACTCTGATCTGTTAGTGTTGATGAATGGTGATTATAAGTCAATATTGCTAAAATGTTAAAAATTTACAAAAACCCCTCCTTGATTGGTGATATTTCTGTTCCATTGGACATGGAGTTTATCAGAAAAGGGGCTTTGCGGAGCCAGATGTATTCACATCTCTTTCTCTCATTTATTATTTTGTGAATATAGTAAAGTTGAGATTGCAGGAAACTAATTCCAAAATGTACGTAAAGAAGAAACCATATGTGTGGTTTCTTCATCATTACTGAGATAACATAATTTCTGAGCTCTTTATAAAAAGCAACATGAAGATATAAAAAAGAAATAATGTTGGTTCTGTCTACATTTGTTCTACCAATATTTTGGAAACATAAATAATTATATTTTTTTAATAGATCACCTGTCTGAAAGAAAGAAAACCTGTGTCCAGTTCTAGTTTCATAATTATTATCTACTTTAGAAATTTTTTTAAAAATCATACCACAGCCCTTCACTTTAGTTAACATATTTGTACTATATAATAATTTTATATTTTTGTAATTGTAAAATATTTAATGGAAAAATACGATCTGTAAGCTAACATAAGAATAATAATAATAGCATATTATGGCTTTACCATGTGCCAAGGACCGTGCTAACTGCCTAATGAGCACTACTGCATTTACTTTTCACAAAATGCTGCAAAAATTATCTTTGTTTTAAGATTTTAAAAAATCCCTGAGGCTTAGAGAAGATAAATAACTTAGTCAAAAAGCACAAGATGCTAAGAAACATAGTTTTATTTGAATTCAGATCTTCCCAACTCCAAAATATATGTTATTAATACGTCTCATGTAGTGGTTTAGATTCCTGTCAATGTTTCCAAGGCAGTTGTTTTAAAATACATTGATTCATTTTAATTGTGGCAAATTTAGTATTTGAAAATAATAAAAATAAATTAACATGTAAATCAAATTAATATATGATCATGCTTTTCAAGTACCATTTGGTTCAAATCTTGATCTTAGCGTAATTTATGAAACTGATTTTTTCTATATGGCTCTGATGGCAATTCTAACACCACAACTCTAAAATGTTTTTAGCCATGGAAGCGTAGAAATAATTATTGGCCTTCTACTTTGTGCCAGGAACTGCACTGTGAGATTTTAATCCTCCCAACAGCCCTATGAAATAATTATTGAAGTTTAAAAGTAAAGAAAACTGAGACATAGTTGGAATAAATGAGACAGTGGTGAAATAAGCTGCCATATAAAGTCCTTTAGCATGGCTATTTTGTGATTGTTTCTTAGTAGGTTTTATTTTTAGAAAAGTTTAGATTTACAGAAAAACTGAGAGGGTAGTACAGAGAGTTCTCATGTAGTCAAACACAGAGTGTCTCCTTTATTAACATCTTGCATTATGGTACATTTCCTATAATTAATGAAATACTATTGTTAGATTGTTATTAACTAAAGTCCAGAGCCTATTTGGATCTCTTCAGTCTTCACCTAATGTCCTTTTTCTGTTCCAGGGTTCCATTAAGCATAATACAATGCATCTAGTCAGGATGTCTCCTTATGTTCCTTCTGGCTGTGATAGTTTCTCACGCTTTTTCTTGTTTTCATGTCCTTCACAGTTGTGAGAAATATAGGTCAGAGACAGCGTAGAATTTCTTTCCATTGGGATTTGTCTGCTATTTTACTCGTGGTTAGACTGGGGTTATGAGGCTTGGGTAGGAAGATTACAGAGAGTGTCATTTTCATCACATGAAGGACACATAATACCAGTATGATTCATGACTGTTGATGTTGACTTTGAACACTTGGCTAATGTAGTGCCTGTCAGGCTTTCTCATTGTAAAATTACTAATTCTCCTCTCCACTCTATTTTCCACATTGAACTTTGGAAGGAAGACTCCATGTGTCCTCTGCACTTGAAAAGTGAAGAGTTATGTTCTCCCTCGTGGACGACAGACTATATCAATTATTTGTAATTCTTCTCCATGGGAAACTCATCTCTTTTTCCCACTTATCTATTAAGTCCCACTGATATCAGTATGGATTATGATATTTATTTTGTACTTTGAGTTATAATTCAGTACTTCGCTTTTTGCGCAAATGGTTCTAGTTTTGTCTCATGGGAGCACTTTCAGGGGGTTCCCGTGCTCCTTTGACTGACTTACATCAAAGTGGTTGCTGCTGTTCTTTTTGAACACGCCATATTTCTGGAACTATTACATGCTTCAGGCTCATCTTACATATTTTTTTTCTCAGTCTTAGAATCAGGCATTTTTTCAAACGCCTCTTTTTTTGTTGTTGTTGTTATTGGAGAATGGTATTAGAAGCCAAGATCTGGGTACTAGGTGTGCTCATTGCTAATGAAGTGTTGTTTTGTTTAGTTTGTCAGGGTGGGCAAAGAAAGAAATATATATACTAACCTGTACATACACACACACACACACACACACACACACACACACACACACACATTTCCATAGATAAACATCTGTAACTATATTAATCTAAACACCAGTTATTACTGGTGTCTCCATCTTTAATCCATTATCACATGTATCTTTCTAGTCTCCTCCCTTTGTGTATCTATAAATTCCCACTCCAACAGTGAGAAATCTAGCTCTTACCATCTGCCATCCATTTACTGAATTGTTCAATAAGTGTACAGTAATAGCAGTATGGGAATTGTTATCCAGTACCCCTGTGGGAAACAATTCAATCAACTAGAATACAGTGCTGACGTGTCATTCCTTTTGCTATTACTGTTATAAACTCCACTCATTTCCAAAGTCATGTAGGCCAGCACCTTTCCCCAATACCTCCTTCACTGAGATTGTTTTATGTGTTTGTAATAGCATTAGATTCTCTTATCACAATCTGCATTTCTTCCTGGAATGTCTCAAACCTTTATTGTTATTCTAATTTGTATACAATAAGGTTCACTCTTTGTACCATATAAAGTTCTATATATTTTGACAAATGTATAATATTATGTATCCACAATTACACAATCATATAAAATAGTTCTCCCTCTTGAAAAATCCCTGATGTTCCACCTATTTATTATCCCTCTCTTCTTACCTTGAACATCTGACTACCACTCATGAGTTTACTGTGTCTATAGTCTTTTCTTCTTTAGAATGTCATAGAATTGGTACCATAGATTATGTAACCTTTTCAAACTGGCTTCTTTCATTGACAATATGAAGTTCAAGGATAAATATGTCAATTTTGATTTTTCCTTGATAGTTTCTTTCTATCAGTGAATAATATTCCATTGTATGAATGTAATAAGTTTGCTTGCTCATTAACTTAATGGAGGACACTTTGATTGCTTCTTGTTTTGGGCAATCAGGAATACAGCACCATAAACATTTGTGTTCAGATTTTTTGTGAACATAAGTTTTCAAATCAATTGGTAAATACCTAAAAGCAAAATTTTGAATAAAATGGTAAACACCATGTTTAGCTTGGTAAGAAATTGCTCAAGAATCTTCCAAATTGGATATACCATTTTGCATTTCTACCAGTAAACCCTCATTCAAGAAGTCATGTTGTTCTACATCCTCATCAGGATTTTTTTTTATTTTAGTCACTCTAATAGTTTAGGAGCTCTATCTCGATTTAGTTTTAACTTTGATTCACTAATGATAAATATTTTGAGCATATTTTTATATGCTTAGTTGACATGTGTATGTATTTTGGTGAGGTACATGTTGACATATTTTGTCTATTTTTAATTACATTGTTGTTTTCTTACTGTTGAAATAGTTATTTGAGTACAGTTGATCCTTGAACATAACTGGGATGGAGTGCCAACTCCCTGCATTGTCAAAAATTCATGTATAACTTTTGGCTCCCCCAAAACTTTACTACTAATAGCCTTGTCAAGAAAATAAATCTTCAATTAACATATTTGCATATGTGTCATACATTGCATTCTTCCAATAAGGTAAGCTAGAGAAAAGAAAATGTTATAAAGAAAATCATAAGGAAGAGACAATACATTTACAGTACTGTACAGTGTTTATTGATACTGTAACTTTCTGTCTCTGCACCTGCAGTCTTCAATCTATGGTACATATCAAGCAATTCAATTTTTTCTTGTAAAGTCATGACTTTTCTCTGCTCTCTGAAAGCACTTTCAGCATCACCAGTGGCACTTCATATGGGTCTCACGGTGTTATTTTAGGTTTAAGATGTTGCATTAAACATGATGAAAAATATGTAAGAACTGCAAGCGATCACTTTTTACTTGCATATGCAATTTAGTGGAGAGAAGAATTGCTCATGAGCAGAATATGAGCTTCGCAAGATGTTTTAAGCAGATGCATGCAATACGCACTCATTGTGATACCAACAGGAAGTGACTATGAATTGATGAGAGCAATACAGTGTGTACTATACTTTTATGCAGTTAACATTTAATATTGCATCTTTACATTTGTTTACATTTCTTTCAATGGTTAATGGTATCATATGCAATCTGTGTTTATATGTGTACATTTTGATAAATTTTAACTCTGAATAACTGATTTATGTACATTTTATAGTAGTAAATGATAAAATAGACTAGTATTTATATATATTTTTATGTATTCATTACATGTTTAAATTTGTCTTAATTTTTTCAGTATTTCTATGTTATATTGTTCATCTAGTAGTTTATTTCAAATTGTCACAAATCTCTAACGAATTTTCCAAAATACTTTTTGAAAAAAATTTTTATATAAGTGAAACTGTATAGCTGAAATCTGAGTTGTTCAAGGGTCAGCTGTATTTTGGGTATAAATCATTTGTCACACATAGTTTTTGCAAATATTCTTTCCCAGTCTGTGACTTATTTTTATTTTTTTCACAACACTTTTTTTGACAGAGCTGAAGTGTTTTCTTTTTTAAAAAGATTTTAGTGAAGTCAGATGTATCAGTATTTTCTTTTATGGATTATGTTGTGCTCTTGGTATTGTATCTTAAAGTTATTGCCAAATTTAAGATTGTCTTTTTTTTTTAATCCAAGAAGTTTCATAGTTTTATATTTTACATACAGGTGTATGATTCAGTTGATTTTTGTGAAAGGTGTAAGGTCTGGATCTAGTTTTGTGGGGTGGCAGGATGCTTACAGGCACCCAATTATTCTAGCGCCATTTGTTGTAAAGATCCATTTCCTTGAAGTGATCAAAATTGTTTTCATAGAGTTAGTCATAATATTATGTTATTATCTTCTTAACGTCCAAGAAATCATTAGTGATAGCTCCTTTTTACTTTTCTGATATTAACAATTTGCAGTATCTTTTTTTTTTTTTTTTTTTTTTTTTTTTTATTATACTCTAAGTTTTAGGGTACATGTGCACATTGTGCAGGTTAGTTACATATGTATACATGTGCCATGCTGGTGCGCTGCACCCACTAATGTGTCATCTAGCATTAGGTATATCTCCCAATGCTATCCCTCCCCCCTCCCCCGACCCCACCACAGTCCCCAGAGTGTGATATTCCCCTTCCTGTGTCCATGTGATCTCATTGTTCAATTCCCACCTATGAGTGAGAATATGCGGTGTTTGGTTTTTTGTTCTTGCGATAGTTTACTGAGAATGATGGTTTCCAATTTCATCCATGTCCCTACAAAGGATATGAACTCATCATTTTTTATGGCTGCATAGTATTCCATGGTGTATATGTGCCACATTTTCTTAATCCAGTCTATCATTGTTGGACATTTGGGTTGGTTCCAAGTCTTTGCTATTGTGAATAGTGCCGCAATAAACATACGTGTGCATGTGTCTTTATAGCAGCATGATTTATACTCATTTGGGTATATACCCAGTAATGGGATGGCTGGGTCAAATGGTATTTCTAGTTCTAGATCCCTGAGGAATCGCCACACTGACTTCCACAATGGTTGAACTAGTTTACATTCCCACCAACAGTGTAAAAGTGTTCCTATTTCTCCACATCCTCTCCAGCACCTGTTGTTTCCTGACTTTTTAATGATTGCCATTCTAAATGGTGTGAGATGATATCTCATAGTGGTTTTGATTTGCATTTCTCTGATGGCCAGTGATGATGAGCATTTCTTCATGTGTTTTTTGGCTGCATAAATGTCTTCTTTTGAGAAGTGTCTGTTCATGTCCTTCGCCCACTTTTTGATGGGGTTGTTTGTTTTTTTCTTGTAAATTTGTTTGAGTTCATTGTAGATTCTGGATATTAGCCCTTTGTCAGATGAGTAGGTTGCAAAAATTTTCTCCCATGTTGTAGGTTGCCTGTTCACTCTGATGGTAGTTTCTTTTGCTGTGCAGAAGCTCTTTAGTTTAATTAGATCCCATTTGTCAATTTTGTCTTTTGTTGCCATTGCTTTTGGTGTTTTGGACATGAAGTCCTTGCCCACGCCTATGTCCTGAATGGTAATGCCTAGGTTTTCTTCTAGGGTTTTTATGGTTTTAGGTTTAACGTTTAAATCTTTAATCCATCTTGAATTGATTTTTGTATAAGGTGTAAGGAAGGGATCCAGTTTCAGCTTTCTACATATGGCTAGCCAGTTTTCCCAGCACCATTTATTAAATAGGGAATCCTTTCCCCATTGCTTGTTTTTCTCAGGTTTGTCAAAGATCAGATAGTTGTAGATATGCGGCATTATTTCTGAGGGCTCTGTTCTGTTCCATTGATCTATATCTCTGTTTTGGTACCAGTACCATGCTGTTTTGGTTACTGTAGCCTTGTAGTATAGTTTGAAGTCAGGTAGTGTGATGCCTCCAGCTTTGTTCTTTTGGCTTAGGATTGACTTGGCAATGCGGGCTCTTTTTTGGTTCCATATGAACTTTAAAGTAGTTTTTTCCAATTCTGTGAAGAAAGTCATTGGTAGCTTGATGGGGATGGCATTGAATCTGTAAATTACCTTGGGCAGTATGGCCATTTTCACGATATTGATTCTTCCTACCCATGAGCATGGAATGTTCTTCCATTTGTTTGTCTCCTCTTTTATTTCCTTGAGCAGTGGTTTGTAGTTCTCCTTGAAGAGGTCCTTCACATCCCTTGTAAGTTGGATTCCTAGGTATTTTATTCTCTTTGAAGCAATTGTGAATGGGAGTTCACCCATGATTTGGCTCTCTGTTTGTCTGTTGTTGGTGTATAAGAATGCTTGTGATTTTTGTACATTGATTTTGTATCCTGAGACTTTGCTGAAGTTGCTTATCAGCTTAAGGAGATTTTGGGCTGAGACGATGGGGTTTTCTAGATAAACAATCATGTCGTCTGCAAACAGGGACAATTTGACTTCCTCTTTTCCTAATTGAATACCCTTTATTTCCTTCTCCTGCCTGATTGCCCTGGCCAGAACTTCCAACACTATGTTGAATAGGAGCGGTGAGAGAGGGCATCCCTGTCTTGTGCCGGTTTTCAAAGGGAATGCTTCCAGTTTTTGCCCATTCAGTATGATATTGGCTGTGGGTTTGTCATAGATAGCTCTTATTATTTTGAAATACGTCCCATCAATACCTAATTTATTGAGAGTTTTTAGCATGAAGGGTTGTTGAATTTTGTCAAAGGCTTTTTCTGCATCTATTGAGATAATCATGTGGTTTTTGTCTTTGGCTCTGTTTATATGCTGGATTACATTTATTGATTTGCGTATATTGAACCAGCCTTGCATCCCAGGGATGAAGCCCACTTGATCATGGTGGATAAGCTTTTTGATGTGCTGCTGGATTCGGTTTGCCAGTATTTTATTGAGGATTTTTGCATCAATGTTCATCAAGGATATTGGTCTAAAATTCTCTTTTTTGGTTGTGTCTCTGCCCGGCTTTGGTATCAGAATGATGCTGGCCTCATAAAATGAGTTAGGGAGGATTCCCTCTTTTTCTATTGATTGGAATAGTTTCAGAAGGAATGGTACCAGTTCCTCCTTGTACCTCTGGTAGAATTCGGCTGTGAATCCATCTGGTCCTGGACTCTTTTTGGTTGGTAAACTATTGATTATTGCCACAATTTCAGAGCCTGTTATTGGTCGATTCAGAGATTCAACTTCTTCCTGGTTTAGTCTTGGGAGAGTGTATGTGTCGAGGAATGTATCCATTTCTTCTAGATTTTCTAGTTTATTTGCGTAGAGGTGTTTGTAGTATTCTCTGATGGTAGTTTGTATTTCTGTGGGATCGGTGGTGATATCCCCTTTATCATTTTTTATTGTGTCTATTTGATTCTTCTCTCTTTTTTTCTTTATTAGTCTTGCTAGCGGTCTATCAATTTTGTTGATCCTTTCAAAAAACCAGCTCCTGGATTCATTGATTTTTTGAAGGGTTTTTTGTGTCTCTATTTCCTTCAGTTCTGCTCTGATTTTAGTTATTTCTTGCCTTCTGCTAGCTTTTGAATGTGTTTGCTCTTGCTTTTCTAGTTCTTTTAATTGTGATGTTAGGGTGTCAATTTTGGATCTTTCCTGCTTTCTCTTGTAGGCATTTAGTGCTATAAATTTCCCTCTACACACTGCTTTGAATGCGTCCCAGAGATTCTGGTATGTTGTGTCTTTGTTCTCGTTGGTTTCAAAGAACATCTTTATTTCTGCCTTCATTTCGTTATGTACCCAGTAGTCATTCAGGAGCAGGTTGTTCAGTTTCCATGTAGTTGAGCGGCTTTGAGTGAGATTCTTAATCCTGAGTTCTAGTTTGATTGCACTGTGGTCTGAGAGATAGTTTGTTATAATTTCTGTTCTTTTACATTTGCTGAGGAGAGCTTTACTTCCAACTATGTGGTCAATTTTGGAATAGGTGTGGTGTGGTGCTGAAAAAAATGTATATTCTGTTGATTTGGGGTGGAGAGTTCTGTAGATGTCTATTAGGTCTGCTTGGTGCAGAGCTGAGTTCAATTCCTGGGTATCCTTGTTGACTTTCTGTCTCGTTGATCTGTCTAATGTTGACAGTGGGGTGTTAAAGTCTCCCATTATTAATGTGTGGGAGTCTAAGTCTCTTTGTAGGTCACTGAGGACTTGCTTTATGAATCTGGGTGCTCCTGTATTGGGTGCATAAATATTTAGGATAGTTAGCTCCTCTTGTTGAATTGATCCCTTTACCATTATGTAATGGCCTTCTTTGTCTCTTTTGATCTTTGTTGGTTTAAAGTCTGTTTTATCAGAGACTAGGATTGCAACCCCTGCCTTTTTTTGTTTTCCATTGGCTTGGTAGATCTTCCTCCATCCTTTTATTTTGAGCCTATGTGTGTCTCTGCACGTGAGATGGGTTTCCTGAATACAGCACACTGATGGGTCTTGACTCTTTATCCAACTTGCCAGTCTGTGTCTTTTAATTGCAGAATTTAGTCCATTTATATTTAAAGTTAATATTGTTATGTGTGAATTTGATCCTGTCATTATGATGTTAGCTGGTGATTTTGCTCATTAGTTGATGCAGTTTCTTCCTAGTCTCGATGGTCTTTACATTTTGGCATGATTTTGCAGCGGCTGGTACCGGTTGTTCCTTTCCATGTTTAGCGCTTCCTTCAGGAGCTCTTTTAGGGCAGGCCTGGTGGTGACAAAATCTCTCAACATTTGCTTGTCTATAAAGTATTTTATTTCTCCTTCACTTATGAAGCTTAGTTTGGCTGGATATGAAATTCTGGGTTGAAAATTCTTTTCTTTAAGAATGTTGAATATTGGCCCCCACTCTCTTCTGGCTTGTAGGGTTTCTGCCGAGAGATCCGCTGTTAGTCTGATGGGCTTCCCTTTGAGGGTAACCCGACCTTTCTCTCTGGCTGCCCTTAACATTTTTTCCTTCATTTCAACTTTGGTGAATCTGACAATTATGTGTCTTGGAGTTGCTCTTCTCGAGGAGTATCTTTGTGGCGTTCTCTGTATTTCCTGAATCTGAACGTTGGCCTGCCTTGCTAGATTGGGGAAGTTCTCCTGGATAATATCCTGCAGAGTGTTTTCCAACTTGGTTCCATTCTCCACATCACTTTCAGGTACACCAATCAGACGTAGATTTGGTCTTTTCACATAGTCCCATATTTCTTGGAGGCTTTGCTCATTTCTTTTTATTCTTTTTTCTCTAAACTTCCCTTCTCGCTTCATTTCATTCATTTCATCTTCCATTGCTGATACCCTTTCTTCCAGTTGATCGCATCGGCTCCTGAGGCTTCTGCATTCTTCACGTAGTTCTCGAGCCTTGGTTTTCAGCTCCATCAGCTCCTTTAAGCACTTCTCTGTATTGGTTATTCTAGTTATACATTCTTCTAAATTTTTTTCAAAGTTTTCAACTTCTTTGCCTTTGGTTTGAATGTCCTCCCGTAGCTCAGAGTAATTTGATCGTCTGAAGCCTTCTTCTCTCAGCTCGTCAAAATCATTCTCCATCCAGCTTTGTTCTGTTGCTGGTGAGGAACTGCGTTCCTTTGGAGGAGGAGAGGCGCTCTGCGTTTTAGAGTTTCCAGTTTTTCTGTTCTGTTTTTTCCCTATCTTTGTGGTTTTATCTACTTTTGGTCTTTGATGATGGTGATGTACAGATGGGTTTTCGGTGTAGATGTCCTTTCTGGTTGTTAGTTTTCCTTCTAACAGACAGGACCCTCAGCTGCAGGTCTGTTGGAATACCCTGCCGTGTGAGGTGTCAGTGTGCCCCTGCTGGGGGGTGCCTCCCAGTTAGGCTGCTCGGG
This sequence comes from Homo sapiens, assembly GCF_000001405.40. Lineage (NCBI taxonomy): Eukaryota > Metazoa > Chordata > Mammalia > Primates > Hominidae > Homo > Homo sapiens. The sequence continues at coordinate 4,734,440 of NC_000002.12, read as the reverse complement.
GGTCAGGAGTCAGGGACCCACTTGAGAAGGCAGTCTGCCCGTTCTCAGATCTCCAGCTGCGTGCTGGGAGAACCACTGCTCTCTTCAAAGCTGTCAGACAGGGACACTTAAGTCTGCAGAGGTTACTGCTGTCTTTTTGTTTGTCTGTGCCCTGCCCCCAGAGGTGGAGCCTACAGAGGCAGGCAGGCCTCCTTGAGCTGTGGTGGGCTCCACCCAGTTCGAGCTTCCCGGCTGCTTTGTTTACCTAAGCAAGCCTGGCCAATGGCGGGCGCCCCTCCCCCAGCCTCGTTGCCGCCTTGCAGTTTGATCTCAGACTGCTGTGCTAGCAATCAGCGAGATTCCGTGGGCGTAGGACCCTCCGAGCCAGGTGTGGGATATAGTCTCGTGGTGCGCCGTTTCTTAAGCCGGTCTGAAAAGCGCAATATTCGGGTGGGAGTGACCCGATTTTCCAGGTGCGTCCGTCACCCCTTTCTTTGACTCGGAAAGGGAACTCCCTGACCCCTTGCGCTTCCCAGGTGAGGCAATGCCTCGCCCTGCTTCGGCTCGCGCACGGTGCGCACACACACTGGCCTGCGCCCACTGTCTGGCACTCCCTAGTGAGATGAACCCGGTACCTCAGATGGAAATGCAGAAATCACCGTCTTCTGCGTCGCTCACGCTGGGAGCTGTAGACCGGAGCTGTTCCTATTCGGCCATCTTGGCTCCTCCCTCGGTGCTCTCTGCAGTATCTTTTTTTTTTCTTGTTTTGCTTGACTGGAGGTCTATCTATCTGATTGATTTTTAAAAAGAACAAGTTTTTGGTTTCATTGATTTTTCTCCATTTCCCGTTCTTAGTTCTATTGATTTCTTCTCTAAATTTTATTATTGCTTTTTTTCCACTTGCTTTAGTCTTTAATTGGTCTTCTTCCTCTAGCTTCCCAAAATGGAAGCTAAGATCATTAATTATGGCCGGGCGTGGTGGCTCACGCTGTAATTCCAGCACTTTGGGAGGCTGAGGCGAGCAGGATCACGAGGTCAGCAGATCGAGACCATCCTGGCTAACACGGTGAAACCCCGTCTCTTCTAAAAAATAGAAAAAAATTAGCCGGGCGTAGTGGCGGGCGCCTGTAGTCTGAGCTACTCAGGAGGCTGAGGCAGGAGAATGGCGTGAACCCGAGAGGCGGAGCTTGCAGTGAGCCGAGATCGCGCCACTGCACTCCAGCCTGGGTGACAGAGCGAGACTCCGTCTCAAAAAAAAAAAAAAAAAAAAAAAAGAGTATTAATTATTTGATATTTTTCTTTTCTAATATATATATTCAGTGCTATAAATTTTACTGTAATCACGACTTTCACTGCATACAACAAATTTTTGTGTTATTTTATTTTTATTGTGGTTCAATTAAACAATTCTAGAGACTTTTTCTTTCAATTCTAGAGACTTTTTCTTTGACATATGTGTTATTTAGAAGTCATTTTGTTTAACCATTTAGTATTTGGGATTTTCCAGTTATCTTTTTGTTGGTGATTTCCAGGCTAATTACAAAAAATTATTATTTTGTATGATTTCTATTCCTATAAATTTGTTAGGGTGTGTTTTATGGCCCAGTGTTAGTGCTGCTGGTAAATGTTCCATGTGAGCTTGAGCAGAAAGTGCATTCTGCTCTTCTTGACTGAAATGTTTTATATGTCAAGTACGTCAAGTTGATTAAGAATGTTGTCAGTTCAACTAAAACCTTATGGATTTTCTGCCCGCTGCAGGTATCAATTACTGAAAAACAGTGTTGAAGTCTTCAAATATAAAAATGAATTCACTCATTTCCTCTAGCAGCTATGATTTTTGTCTCACACACTTTGACTGTCTTTTTTTAGGTGTGTATAAACTAAGGATTGAAATATCTTATTGGAGAATTGACCTTTTTGTCATTATTTAAAGTTCTTTATTCCTGTAATTTTTGTTGTTATACAATCTATTTTATCTCAACTTAGTATGGTCACTCCAGTATTCTTATGATTAGATTTGGCATAACATATATATTTTCCACTCTTTCCCTTTAATCTACCTGTGTCTTTATATTTAAAATTGATTTCGCACAGATAATATAGAGCTGGATCAAGTATTTATAGCTACTCTGATCATCTCTGTTTTTAATTGGTATATTTAGACCATTTCTACTTAAAATGGTTATTGATATACAGTAGTTGGAGTAACAGCTACCATTTTGTAATTGTATTCAATTTATTGCAACTGTTCTTTTTTCTTTTCTTTTAATCTTCCCCCCATTTTATGCCTTCTCTCATTGTAATTGAACATTTTATATGATTTAATTATTTCTCCTCTCTCAGTATATCAATAATACTTTCTTATAAAACTATGTTAGTGTTTCCCTTGATAGATGATATAGATAGATGATATAGATAGATAGATAGATAGATAGATAGATAGATAGATAGATAGATAGATAGGTTAGATAGATAGATAGATAAATTTCTAACTAAACAATATATACATCCAGTTAACACTATTCCAGTTCATGTCTTATGCAGGTGTCTTGCCTGTCTGTTCTTTGATGTTGTCTATTTTTTTGCATTAGCTCTTAAAATATTTATCATAGTGATTTTCACATTCCCTAGAGATTACTCAGAGTTGGCCAAACTGTTCAGTTAAGGGCATAGTCTTCCACAAAGCCAGCACTAGCCAATACTTCTAACCCCAGCTGCAAGGAGTGAGGGTCCAACTTCCAACTGAGAGGGAAGAGTCCACAGGAGACTACTCTCACTTTGAACACCAGCTGCAATGTTAGAGGTTTCCCCAAATCATCTTCCACTGCAATGGTTTATTAGAAAGACTCACAGAATTGATTGAAAGCTATTACATTCACAGACAAAGTTTAATACAGGGCAGAGACACAAATTTAAACAAGACAAAGGAAGGAATGCATAGAGTAGAGTCTAGGAGGGTCCCTAGTGCAAAGCTTTCATTGTCTTCAGGACATACTCTCTCCCTCCCTGCCATCTTTGTGTGACACTACACATAGGCATGGAGCATTGCCAACCTGGCTTTTCACCCACCCTCTCCCAAAGGTCAAACTCATACTACATGATCTGACAGACCCAGCATGAGTCTCAACATTGGTATTGTCTATCAGGTGTGCTCTGAGGGGCCTCCCATGAAAAACAATGACAATCCCCTCACTTAGAATTTGCAGTGATTTAGAAGTTCCGAAAGCTCCCAGCTACTGGAGAAAAAGGTCAGCTCTCTTTGGACAAGGCCAGTTTCTTCACTACACACAGACAATTCCCAAATCTCTGTTATATCTGAGTCTGATTTTGATGCTTGCTTTGTCTCTTTAGACTGTGTTTTTTCTTGCCTTTTAACGTACATTCAGTTTGTGTTTGTTTGATTGTTTTTCTGTTGAAATCCAGATATGTGATGTATCTGGTGATAGGAACTAAGGTAAACAGGACTTTAGAGTGAACTTTTAGGGTAATCTGCTAGAAGCTGAGATGTGTTTAATGCTCATGACAGCTATAGGTGCTAAGGTATCAGTTTCCTCTACTTTCCTTGTTTTTGTCACCACTCTGGCCTCAAGTTTCTCTAAGAATTATTTCTTAAATAGTGTCCATGATACACTTGATTTTATTGGTGACTTGTTGACTTGGTATTATGGTATGTGTGCGTGGAGGGGCAGAAGTAGGTGTGGTTGAAGCATGACGCTACCTTACAGTTAAATCTGTCTGTTAGCTGCCCATGTCCCTGGGCTGTGAACTTGAGAAGTTTTCTTAACCTCTCCAACATCTGCTTTGCTGAGACAGAAAGGCTGGAGTTGGATAACTGCACTTCCCTAAGTTTGTAAGTATCTGGAAATGCCTTTTCTTTAGAGAGTGTGCCTTCATTACAGATAATGCTCTAGGAGCATTTCAGAAAGTTGACTTTTCTCCTCTTGCCAGAAACAGGAGAGGATTCTTCTTATGCTTTTACCAGGAGAACTTGGTGGGGTTCCTGGAAATAAAGCCCATGAAAATGTGCATGGTCTTCTAAGACAAGAGCCTCCACTCTCAAGGTAGTCCACACTCAGCCTCCAGAAAGTTCACAATTACCAAGGCGATGTTCCCACCAGTTTATGGCTTCAGCAACTCCTGCATCTGATCGGCTACTCTCGGCTGGGATTCTCTGTATTCACATCTGTCCAGATTTCAGGGTTACTGTTTTATATGGTAGGGCCATGTCCCCTCCCAAAATCTCTTCTTGAAATATAACCTCCATCATCCCTGTAATCCTCATGTGTCAAGGAGAGACCAGGTGGAAGTAATTGAATCATGTGGGTGGTTTCCCCTAGCTGTTCTTGTGATAGTGAGTTCTCACAAGGTCTGATGGTTTTATGTGATTGGTAGTTCCTCCTGCATTCATTCTCCCTCCTGCCGCTTTGTGAAGAAGGCACCTTGCTTCCCCTTCACCTTCCACCATGATTGTAAGTTTCCTGAGACCCCCCCGCCACCCCGCCATGTGAAACTGTAAATCAAACACCTTTCCTTTCTAAATTACCCAGTCTCAGGCAATTCTTTATAGCAGTGTAAAAATGGACTAATACACTGTCTGCTCTAATCTCATTTCTCTCATGAGTCCAAGAAAACCTATCAGTTTTCAGTTCGTTCAGTGTTTTTTCTTCTTATAATAGAGTGATTACTTCCAAGCCCTTTATATGTTGAAGCTAACTATGCCTTAATTTTTTTAAAGGCTGTTTAAAAATTAAGTCAAAGCAAAGTCATTTTATTACAAATTGCTCTACATTTAAACTGGGCAATGAATGCCAACCTTTATTTAGCTAAATAGTTCATACATTTAATCCTTCGTTAGGTCTTCTTTAACAACTATTTTGCCTTTTATACTTATGTGGATCACGTCATTACACTTACATATTTTAATTATCAAATCTTAGTGAAGTGTACTCTTTTAATGACGCTGTATAGCTGTTGTATGTCTGAATGGCCTGCATAGTCCAATAGACCTGGATGAGAGTCCTAGTTCTACCAATCATGGACCATTTGATTTTAAACAGATAATTAGGGTTATCTTCAAGAAAGAGATTTTTACTTTTTTCCCTTTCAATCTGTATTCCTTTTCTTTTTCTTGCTTTATTGTTCTTACTACATACAACCTCCAGTACAATGTTTTGAATAGAAGTGGCGATACAGAATATTCTTGGTTTGTTCCTGATCTTGGGGAAAACATTCAGCTTTAGAACATTAAATATCTGGTTAGCTATAAGATTTTAATAAGTGCCGACTATCAAGTTGAAGAAGTTCCCAACTATTCCCAGTGCTGAGAGTTTATCTGGAACAGATATTGGATTTTATTACTTTATTTGTTCTGTGTCTAAATAGAGCATTATGGATATTTTTTTCTCTTTTAGTTTGTGAATGTAATAGATTTTATTTAATGATTTAAGAATGGGAAACCGACTATGCATTCTAGGAATAAATCTCACTTGGTAATTATGTTTTATTCTTTTATTTATTATTTTGTGATTTATAAAATTGTTATTTGCTATTTATAAACTTGATTTCCTCAAGTTTAGTTTATAATTATTGCACTTTTGTCCATGAGGTATTTTGATTTCCAATTTTATTTTGTTTGTTACCTTCCTTGTACTTTTTCTTTGGCTGTTTTGGCATTAGGGTAATGCTAACCTTATAGAATGTATGGAGAAGTATTCCTACTTCTTTAATTTTCTGGAAGTATTTGTGTAGATTGGTATTATTTCTTCCTGAAGTATTGACAAAATTTACATTGATGTCATGTGTGCATGTAGTTTTCTTCGTAGGAAGGTTTAAAAGTACACATTCAAATCAATGTATTTAATAGATATGGGTTAATCATTTTTTCTATTTCTTAAGCAAATTTCAGTAGTATTTTTTAGTTGTTCATTTCATTCAAGTTATTACATTGAAAAAAGTTCTTAATATCACTTATTTTTTCTTTATTTATATAATAGGCATTGACATCATTTCTTCACTTCCTGATATTGGCAATGTGTGTTTTTCTTCCTTTATTCATATCAGTCTTGCTACAAGTTTTTTTCATTACCATGATCACTTCAATGAGTCAATGTTTTTCATCGATTTTCTCTTTTGCTTTCCTGTTTTCAATCTTATTGATTTCTGCTGTAACTTTTATTATTATATTTTCTTTATTTCACTTGCTTCTGGTTTACCTCGAGTTTTTTTTTTCTAGCTTCTTCAGATGGAGCATGAGCTTTGCTACGTTTCTTATATTCTAAAGTAACCATTTGCTGTTATATGTATCCCTCTAAATACTGCCTTAGCAGCGTGCCACAAATGGTGATACATTGTGTTTTCACTGTTATTCAATTCAGAATACTTTCTAATAGTCCCTTTGATTTGTTGTTGTTGTTGTTGTTGTTGTTGTTAACCCATAGGGTCATTTATCAGTGTGTTATTTATTTTCTAAACTTTGAGGAAAACGCGATAACATTCTGGTATTGAATTCAAATTTAATCAAATGTGCTCAGAGAATATATTTTGTATAAATTGGATCCTTTTAAATAAATTGAGATTTTTTTAATAGCTCAGGAAATAATCTAGCTTCATAAATGTCTCACGTGAACATGAAAAGGATGTTTATATTTTGATATTGTTAAGTGGGATGCCTTATGACATTAGATCAAGTTAGTTGACAGAGTTATTTTAGCCATCTATATTTTTACTGATTTTCTGACTAAATGTTCTATCAGTAGTTGAGAGAAGGTATGGAAATCTTTGATGATAAGTTTGAACTTATCTATTTCTTCTTGTAGTTGCACTGGTTTCTGCTTCATGGATTTTGAAAGTCTGTTACTAGGTTTGTAAATGTTTAGGAATATTATTTTCTATAAATGAACTGACATGTTTATCATTATGAAATGAGATTCTATACCTCTGAAAAATGCATTTGCTCTGAAAACAATTTTGTCAAATATTTAGATAGCCATTTTGGCTTTCTCTTATAAGGGATGTTAGTGTTTTGCATCTTTTTCATCTGGTTTGTTTAACCTATTTGTATGTTGTTGGAGTAGTGCATTTCCGTTGAGGACCATGCAGGTGAGTCTGTCTTTATTATCCAAGTAACGATCTCTTTTAGCTGAGGTATTTATTCCCATTACATCTGTATAATAGTCAATGGTTAAATTTAAATCCACCATATTTCTATTATTAATTATATCTTCCATCTGTACTTTTTTCGTTTTTCTTCCTTTTGGTAATCTTTTAGATTTTTTTATTTTATTGTTTTGTTGTTTTTTTAATCTATATTTGTGTTGTTTGTGATTTCACATGCTCTTTTGGGCTTCTTCTTGCAATTTTCTTGCTCTAGGACTCCTGCATGACACCAGATATCAGATATTGAAGAAAATCTGAGTGACACACAGAAAACTACATTCAAATGCTCCTGTGTTTTTTGCCAAAGGTCTGAGATCTAAGAACAAACATGTGCATATGAATAGTCTATTTCCTGCAGGTTATATGACCACACGGTAGCCAGATTGTTCTTCCCACGGTTTTCCAGACTTGTTCTGAAACATGCAGATTGTTGTTTTAATGAAACTTTGACTCATACTATATAGAAGAACTCCTGGTAAGAGGAGTTTACCAGGTACAGTATGTTGTCTTAGATTGTCTCCTCATCAATTATTTTGCAGAATACATGTCCTATATGTCCTAAATGCATTAGATGACATAAAATACCTAGAAATAATAATAATATTTAGAATTGTCAGGCTCATGTGTCCACCTAACATTCTAATTAACTATGTGATTGTATTTCTGAATAGCATAATGAACTACAGCTTATAGGAGTTTAGATGAGCTGGAAGCAGGCTGGTTTGATCTAATTCACAGGGATAATGATTCATAAAGTAGCCATGGGAATGTATAAGGAAATGCCAAAATTTTTAGAAATGTCTTCCATTTCAATATTTCTGTATAGTTTGCCTGCTTTATTCTCTTTACAAATAATAAACATTGTCTACCTTTGTAAAAAGCTTCAGCAACAAAACACTCACTTTAAAATTCAATTCTGTGCAGGTGTGGTTTGAAAAAAAAATCTCTGAGGAGTAGGTATGCATAAAATTTGACATGCTAATATTTCTGTGGGAAAGCAGTTTCAATATTTTTTCATAAAGAAACTGTCTCTACTTTCTAACAACTAGTATGTGAGGTGATAACTTTGGAATAGAAAACTAGGTAATTTTTAAAATAATTTGATCCTTAAATCCTTAAATCCTTAAATCCACAGCAAGGGCTGTGGAAGACAAATTATCTAGATTTGCTGTCATGGAAACCGCTGATCAATTTAGACAGCAGCATCTCCACTGATAAAGGAAGTCTATGGAGTGGACCAACTGTCTACACCATTTCAGCAACCCCAGTCCCTCCCACCAACCTCACACACAGCACACACACCTACATTCCCAATTCCCTCCCTAGTTCTCATAAATGGTCTCTATATTTAAGGAAATGATAGGAATAGAAGCTGGCATTTTAGAGATTGACTGCTTTTGCTTGCCATCAGAGACTTCGCTGGAGAACAGGTTAAAAATGTAAATAATTGATTATCAAATTTCCACTGCAGGTTGCTTAAACTGGACTTTGCTCTTAAAAATAAAAGTGGAAATGCATCGTTGTACCGGGCAGAAATTTAGCAAATAAGACCCAGAGAGGAAAAGTAAACATAATCAGAACAGAGTTGGGGTAGCCAACCTGTGAGAATGCAATTCATTTTGATATAATATTTATTTAAACACCCTGCTCGTGCTGATCCCCTGATTATAATGCAAATAACTCATCTGTGTTCACTTTAAAATAGTATTGAAAAATATGTAACACTTTATTAGGATTCTGTTAAATGGTACCTGTGAGATTAAATTTCTATACTTTTGTTTATTCTAATGATTCTCTAGGGGACTAATTAGGAGATCTTTGGATTTTTTCTATGCTTTTCCAAAATTGTATGCGTATTCTCTAGGAGACTACACGACTATATGAATTGTGAGAGCTCTGTATTTCAGCTTTTAGATAAACAAGCAGTGTGATAAAAAGTATAATGAAGGTTGGGTGCAGTGGCTCACATCTGTAATCTCAGCTCTTTGAGAAGCGGAGGTGGGAGGATTGCTTGGAGCCAGGAGTTTGAGACCAGCTTGGGGAACATAGTGATACTCTGGTCGCTACAAAAAATAAAAAGGCAAGCATGCTGCCTTGGGCCTGTACTCCCAGCTACTCAGGGAGGCAGGAGGAGCACCCAAGACCAGAAATTCAAGGTTTTATAGTGAGCCATAATTGCACCACTGCACTTCAGCCTGAGTAACAGAGTGAGAACCTGTCTCAAGAAAAGAAAGTATAGGCTGGGCGCGGTGGCTCACGCCTGTAATCCCAGCACTTTGGGAGGCTGAGGCAAGCGGATCACAAGGAGAGGAGATCGAGACCACCCTGGCTAACATGGTGAAACCCCGTCTCTACTAAAAATACAAAAAAATTAGCCAGGTGTGGCGACGGGCACCTCTAGTTCCAGCTACTAGGGAGGCTGAGGCAGAAGGATGGCGCGTGAACCCGGGAGGCAGAGCTTGCAGTGAGCTGAGATCGCGCCACTGCCCTCCAGGCTTGGTGACAGAGTGAGACTCTCTCAAAAAAAAAAAAAAAAGAAAAAAGAAAGTGTAATGGGTTTAGATGTTAATATATACAAAATTTGAAACTAAATGAAAAATATAGATAAAAATGTTGAATTGAAATTTTCATGAGAAAAGAAAGTATAAGTAAATATAATGCAATGTCTGCATTTGAATGGATCTTTTTTGGTTCATTGTACAGTTGTGTGTAAAAATTGGAAAAATGGAAATTTCCTAGCAGCTTTATTTTTATCTATATCTTACTGTGTATATTTAGTAGAACTTTTAAAAAGACTTAGGAAAAATTAAATTTACATACATTTGCATATAACAATGTAAATTTAATTATATCAATTTACATTATATAAGTGGAGGGTGTAAATACTAAAATCATGGGTAATATTAGGTTATTATGTGTTTTAAGTTAGTTCTAACTTCAGCAATATATTTCCTGGAAGTCCAGAAAAAAGTGACAATATTTATGCAGTTTCTATTTTCTAACTAAAGGAAGAAAGCAGATACTGTAGAAAATGGAAATATTTTCATGGAACCAAGATCTCTAAAGTATTTATCATGTATGATTTCATATGAAGAGATAATAAGATATACAAGTATGAACAAATAATGTAGAAAATTTAAAAAGTGTCACTAAGTAAAACTAAGAATATGATTTAAACATCTCTGTTAATGGCGTTATTTTTATGAGAATTTGAACTAAGTAGACCATTTACCTTTCTCATTTCTAGTGACAGAAATAAGCCTTGACTTAGAATGTCCCACAGTATGCCAATGTGAGCAAAATGCTGCGGAATAATGCTTTTGACTTTGTAGCTATAGGAAAATTTTTACAGGTTAGTTGCGGTCACTCTAACTTGCTAGATTTGTGTTTGACACAGGACATACATACTTAGCATTCACAATTTAGAAAATACTTCTCCAAAGTGATATTTAGAATTCTGCTTCTGGGAAAAAGGAATAGGTCCACTTCACCCAGACTTTTCCACCGAATTTACATATAAACTTGGAAGGAATTCCTGAAACAGTTATGTGAGGAATCTGTAATAGCAGCAGGTGGATTGAAGAATAACAGGATGCAAAATACTGCCAAGCTGGGTATAGGTTTAATGCTCTGCTTTTCTTCCTGGTTTTCTAGCCTGGAGTCAAAGCATCTTGAAATCCGGAAGTAAGCATCCTTGGAGAGACACAGGAGGAGCCTCATGGGTATGGGGAGTAGGGAAGTGGCCTTTTGGCAAGGAACCCTGCCGTGGTGTGCATGGCATGGGAAAGTCTCCAGTCAGAGGATGTGGGGTTCAGGAGAATGGGGGTGACCTCTGCTGCTTACCTTGCCTCTGTTTTTCCACTGTGTGGAGCTATGTTGAGTGTGGTTGCAGGGAGTGTGGCAGAGCAGGATAACTGAAACCTCAGTTTTGGGGCTGAAAGAGCAGAAAGGGGAGCCACGGGAAGTCAGAGAGTACTTGGACATCAGAGAGATGGAGGAGCTTGTGATTGCAACCCTGTGAAGTCGTTTATGAGCTACTGGGCTCATCCCTGAACAGCTCATGCAGGAGTTTGCACATGTAGTTAGCATGCCAAAGACTGAGAACTGAGCTAAATGGTAGACATCCTACAATGTCCCAGATGGAACACTGGGTGATGCACCCATGGAAAAGATCTGAATTGCACAGAAAAGTCTTTGAAAACTGAGCTCAATGTTGGAATCATAACCTGCAGATACCGGGTTAAAAATTATTGCTGAAACTAAGTCATTTTGTTGCTTACCAAATAAAAAATACTAATACTAAACAAGACCCATAGTTTTATAATGTAATATCCAAAATATACAGGATAAAATTTAAAGGTGCTCAGCATAGAAAGAATTATAGAAAATGATTCTCAACTTGTATAAATATCATCAAGTGTCAATCCCCAATGAAATGGCAAAAATGTTGGAATTATCAATCAAAGACTTCAGAACAACAATTACAAAAGTGCTCCAATGAGTGAAACAATACTAATTAGAATGTATCCACAAAAACAAAAATGCTTTTAAAAGAAGCTGTTAAGAGGAACCGACTGAAATTTTTAAGAATAGAAAAATGCAGTATTATAATGAAAACGCACTGAATGTAGTTGATAGATTAATGGACACGTCAGAGAAAAAGAATTTCAAAGATAAAACCAGCTCTAAGAATCTGTGTGTAACATAAGGACAGGAAATTAAACACCGCATGTTCTCACTCATAGGTGGGAATTGAACAATGAGAACACTTGGACACACGGTGGGGAACATCACACACCAGGGCCTGTCGCGGGGTGGGGGGTTGGTGGAGGGAGAGCACTAGGAGAAATACCTAATGTAAATGATGAGTTGATAGGTGCAGCAAACCAACATGGCACATGTATACCTATGTATCAAACCTGCACATTGTGCACATGTACCCTAGAACTTAAAGTATAATAATAATATAAAAAATCTTTGTGACAATAGCAAAAGATTTGACTTTTATGTAATTGGGGTTTCAGAAGGGGAGGGGAAAGGGAGAAATGAAATTATTTTTTTAAAAAAATAATAAATGAAAGTCTCCTCATATTTGGCAATAATGACAGCAGATTATTGTAAGAATTTCTGAAGACTGTTGTCAGTCAGAAAAAATAATAAGAATAGAAAATTAAGACAGCAAGCATAAGGAAAGAGTAATGAAAATAGTAGCTCTTGGGAAATATAATACATTATTATTCTATTTGATTCTCCAAAGTATGTTTGGTGATTGAAAGCAAAACTAAGAAGAAAATAACATTGATATGATTGTCAGTGTATGTACATTTAATATATATGAGACAGCTAAAAAGTATGTGATATATAGGGTAATGGGACCCATATGATGGCAAGATTTCTACATTGTACTTTAAATTGTAAAATATTGATTCTAAGTAGGTTGTGAAAAGGTATGTATGTGTATTGTAACCAGTAGACAAAACACTAACAAAATACAAGGATAAATAGCAAAAAAACACAGTAGAAAAAGTGGAATGGAATTTTAAAACAAAAAAGTTAAAACAATTCAAAAAAGGGAGAGAAAAAACCCATATAAATGAAAAGCAAAAGTTTTAAAAAATGAATATAAAAATGATGGACCTAAATGAACATGTATCAGTATATATTTATTAAATGTAAGTCATCTGGTCACAATGATTATGATGTTATAATCCAACTACTTGCTACCCATAAGAAATTACCTTCAAATAATCTGATAAGGTAGGACAAAAGTCAAACTATTAAAAATATTATGCAGAAAGCAAATTAAACTAAGGTAAGAGTGGCTATATTAATATGAGACAAATTAGACATCAAAGTAAGGAAAATTACTAAAGATACATAAGTAAATTACACTATCATAAACAGTAAATTTCCCTAAAAGAAATACAGTTTAAAGTTTATATACACACAACCACAGTATAATAGAAACCTAAAATGCATCAAAAGAAAAAAATGATAGAATTTAAGAGAGAAACAAACACATGCACAGTGACATTTGAGATTTTTAACATTTCACCTTCAGTATAAGAAACAGGCAAAAAGCAGCAAGGATATGGAAGAACTAAACTAAATCAATAAACTGGATTTAATTGACGGTTATAGGACAATCTACTCAACAAAAAGATAACACAAACTGTTTTCAAGTGAACATGAAATATTCATCAAGAAAGGCCATATCTGCATCACAAAACAAATCAAACAAATTTCAAAGAATTGAAATCATACAAAGTATGTTTTATGACCACAAGGTAACTCAAAACCTTCACACATTTGGACATAAAATAATAGGCTTCTACAAAATCAATGAGTAAGAAAGAAAATCTCAAGGAACGTAATTTTTTTATTTCTTTTACTTTTTTTAAATGTTTTTATTGATACACATATTTTGGGGGCTACATATAATATATATATATATATTTTTTTGAGACAGAGTCTCGCTCTGTCGCCCAGGCTGGAGTGCAGTGGTGAGATCTCAGCTCACTGCAAGCTCCGCCTCCCAGGTTCATACCATTCTCCTGCCTCAGCCTCCCGAGTAGCTGGGACTACAGGCATCCACCACCATGCCCAGCTAATTTGTTTGTATTTTCAGTAGAGACAGGGTTTCACTGTGTTAGCCAGGATGGTCTTGATCTCCTGACCTCCTGATCCTCCCACCTTGGCCTCCCAAAGTGCTGGGATTACAGATCTGAGCCACCACGCCCAGTGGTAATATTCTGATACACTCGTGTAAACATCAAATCAGGGTAATTGCAATATCCATCACCATAGGTATTTATCTTTTCTTTATTCTAGAAACATTTGAATTATTCTCTACTTAGTAATGTACAAAAGATTTTGTTAACAATACTCACCCTCTTGATCTATTGAACACTAGGTCTTATTTCTTCTAACTGTATATTTGCAACCATTAATCAACCTCTTTTTATCCCCTCTCCTGCCTGCCCTTCCTGACCCTTGACAAACACCAATCTACTCTATTTTCATGAGATCCACCTTTTTAGCTCCCACACATGAGTAAGAACATGTGACATTTGTCTTTCTGTGCTTGGCTTATTTCACTTCACATAAGGACCTCCAGTTCCATCCATGTTGCTGTAAATAGCAGGATTTTAAAACATTTTATGGCTGAATAATATTCCATATGTATATATACCACATTTTCTTTATCCATTCATCCGTTGATTACATATTACATGTACATAGATTGACAATCATGATCCATGGGCAGTTGGGTTGACTCCATATTTTGGCTATTGTGAATAATGCTGTAACAAACATGGGAATGCCAATATCTCCTCGATGTATTAATTTCCTTTCTTTTGGATATATACCCAGTAGTGGAATTGCTAGATCATATGGTAGTTTAGTTTTTGTGTTTATGAGGAGCCTGCATACTGTTTTCCATAGTGCCTGTACCAATTGACATCCCGACCAACGGTGTACAAGTGTTCCTTTTCTTCACATCTTCACCAACATCCACTCTTTTCTTTTTGATAAAAGCCATTTAAACTGGGGTGAGATGATTTCTAATTGAAGTTTTGATTTGCATTTCTCTGATGATTAGTGATGTTGAAAATTTTTATGTAGCTGTTGGGCATTTATATATCTTCCTCTGATAAATGTGAATTCAGATATTTTGCCACGCTTAAATTATATTATTTGAATTTTTGCTGTTGAGTTTTTTAAGCTTCTAATTCTACATTCTAATATATTCTATGTATTTCTATGTATTATTCTGTATTCTATCTATTCTAATTCTTAAGCCCTTATCATATGGGTAGTTTGCAAATATTTTCTCTCATTGTGTGGGTTGTCTCTTCACTTTGTTAATTGTTTCCTTTACTGTGTGAAAGATTTATAGCTTGACGTAATCCTATGACTATGTTTGCTTTGGTGGCCTGCGCTTTTGATGTTTTACTCCAGAACTATTTGCCCAGATCAATATCCTCACACACTTCCCCAATGTTTTCTTATGGTAATTTCTTAGTTTTAGGTCTTGGGTTTAAGACTTTAACTCATTTTGATTTGATTTATTATATGGTGAGAAATAGGGGTGTGGTTTCATTCTTGTGCATACAGTTATCCAGTTTTCCTGGCACCATTTATTGAATAGACTGTTTCTTCCCCAATGTGTGTTCTTGGTGACTTGTCAAAAATGAGTTGAGATTAATATCTGGGTTACCTATTCTGTTGCGTTGGTCTATGTTTGTGTTTATGCCAGTACAATGCTGATTTCATTATTAAAGCTCCGTAGCATATTTTTTATTTTTTATATTATTTTATTTTATTATTTTATTTTATTTTATTTTATTTTATTTTATTTTATTTTATTTTATTTTATTTTAGAGACAGAGTCTTGCTGTTGGCCAGGCTGGAGTGCAGTGGCATGATCCCCACTCACTGCAACCTCTGCCTTTCAGGTTCAAGAGATTCTCATGCCTCCCAAGTAGCTGGGACTACAGGTGCGTGCCACCATGCCCGGCTAATTTTTTGTATTTTTACTAGAGATGGGGTTTCACCATGTTAGCCAGGATGGTCTTGATCTCCTGACCTCGTGATCTGCCTGCCTCGGCCTCCGAAAGTGCTGGGATTACAGGCATGAGCCACCACACCTGGCCGCCGTAGTGTATTTTTAAGACAGACTGTGTGATGCCTCCTGGTTTGTTTATTTCCTCAGGATTGCTTTAGCTATTCAGAACTTTTTGTGATTCCATATACATTTTAGAATATTTTTTCCTATTTTTGTGAATAGTATCATTAATATTTTTTATAAAAATTCCATTGAATCTGTAAATTGCTTTGGGTAATATTCAATTTAACAATATTAATTCTTCCAATTCACCAGCATGAAATACATTTTCAAGTTTGGGTTCTCTTTAAATTGTTTCATCAGTGTTTTATAGTTATTTTGTATAGATCTTTCACTTCTTTGGTTAAATTAATTTCTGGGTATTTTATATTCTTTGTAGCTATTGTAAACGGCATTGGTTTCTTGATTTTTTTTCTGATTGCTTGCTGTTAGTTTATATAAATGCTACTCATTGTTTAATGCTCATTTTGTATTCTGCAATTTTACTCAATTCATGTTTCAGTTTTAAAAGTTTTTCAGCAGAGTCATTAGGGTTTTCTAAATAAAAAATGTTGCTGTCTGTGAATAAAGCTAATATGACTCCTTCCTTTCCAATTTGGAGGTAATTTATTTCTTTTTATTTTCTGATTGCTCTAGCTAGGACTTCCAGTATTAGTTTTTATTATGTTGAATATGAGCATCCTCATCTTGTTAAGATCTTAGAGGAACATCTCTAATTTTATTCACGTTCACATTCAGTGTGATGTTAGCTGTGAGTCTGTCATATATGAAGTTGATTATTTTCAAGTATGTTCTTCTATACCCAGTGTGTTGAGGATTTCTATAATAAGGATATGTCAAATTTTATATAATGCTTTCACGTCATTTAGTGAAATGATCATATATATTTTGTTCATTACTGAGAGGAAGGTGTTGAAGTTCTCAACTATTTTTGTATTGCAGTTTCTCTCTCCCTTTAGGTCTATTAATGTTTGCTCTATATACATGGGTACTCTGGTGTTGGGTGAATAGATGTTTATAATTGTTATATCCTCTTCATGAATTGACATGTTTATTATCATGTAGTGACCTTCTTTGTCACTTTTTGAAGTCTTTGACTTGTAATCTATTTTATCTGATATAACTATAGCTACACTTAGTCTTCATTGGTTTCCATTTTCATGATTTTTTTGTCACTTCACTTTAGTTTATGTGTCTTTATAGATGAAGTGGGTTTATTGTAGGTAGCATATAGTTGGCTCTTGTCTCCATTCAGCTACTCAATGTCTTTTAACTGAATAATTTAGTCCATTTACATTTAGTGTTATTATAGATAAATGATAACACAATGCCATTTTGTTGCTTCTTTGCTGATTGCTGTAAATCTTTTCTACTTTCTTAGTGTTTTCCTTTGTGGTTATGTTATTTTAGTATGTTTTAATATGTTGCTTTTTATTTTCAGTGTATCTATTTTAGGTTTCTGCATTGTGGTTACCATGAGGCTTACAGAAAACATTTTATACCAATAACAAGTTATTTTTAAAAGATGATGTATTAGTCAGGGTTCCCGAGAGGGACAGAATTAATAGAATAGTTATATATATAAAGGGGAGTTTATTAAGTATTAACTCACTTGATCACAAGTTTCCACAATAGGCCATCTGCAGACTGAGGAGTAAGGAGAGCCAGCCTGAGTTCGAAAACTGAAGAACTTGGAGTCTGATGTTAGAGGGCAGGAACCATCCAGCATGGGAGAAAGATGTAGGCTGGAAGGTTAGGCCAGTCTCTCTTTTCACATTTTTCTGCCTGCTTATATTCTAGTCATGTTGGCAGCCGATTAGATTGTGCCCACCCAAAGTAAGGGTGGGTCCGCCTTTGCCTGCCCACTGACTCAAATGCTAATCTCCTTTGGCAACACCCTCACAGACACACTCAGGATCAATACCTTATATCCTCCAATTCAATCAAGTTGACACTCAGTATTAACCATCACAGATGATAAATTATCTAAGATCAAAAGAAAAGCAATAAAAACAAATTAAAAACTTAAAAATATAAACCTCTACCCTTTAACTGCATCCCCCACACTTTAAGCTTTAGGTTTCTCAGTTTACTTATTTATATTGATTATCTCTTATCAGGTTGCTATAGCTGTTACTTTTATAGATTTGTTTTCCAGACTTTATCCTAGAGTTATGAACAGACTTCACACCACCATTACAATATTAGAGTTTTCTGGGTTTGTCTATGTATGTACATTTACCAATGAATTTTATATCTTTGGATATTTTGTTTCTGCCTGTTTTGTTTGTTTGTTTGTTTTTCTTGATGAAGAACTTCCTTTAGTATTTATTGTAAGAAAAGTCTGGTCATGGTGAATTATCACATTTGTTGTTGTTGTTGTTTGAAAAGACTTTATCTCTCTTTTATGTTTGAAGAATGGCTTTGCTGACCACAATATACTTTGATGGTAGTTTCTTTCTTTTAGAACTTCAAATATGTCTTCCTACTGTCTCTTGGTCTGTATGGTTTTATTTTGTAAAGCTGAGGCTAGATAAACTGGAGCTTCTTTGAGTGTTATTTGTTTCTTTTCCCTGCTGCTTTTATGTTCCTCTCTTTGTCCTTGACTTTCAAGAGTTTGATTATTATATGCCTTGAGGGTAGTGTTCTTAGGGTTGAATCTTTTTAGTGTTCTCTGACCTCCCTGCACATATATACTTAGATCTTTCTCTCATTTTGGAAAGTTTACTATTATTATTTCTCTATATAAGATTTCTAACCCTTGCTTTTGCTCAAGTACCTCTTGAAGACTAATAATATTTAGATTTATTTTTTATGAGGTAATTTTTATATCTTGTAGGTTATCTTCATTCTTTTCCATTCTTTTGTTCTTTTTCCTCTCTGTTTCTTTTCAAATAGTTTGTCTTTTTGTTCACTAATTCTTTCCTCTGCTTGATCCATTCTGCTGTTGAGAGCCTCTAATGAAATTTTTGGTTCAGTAAATGTATTTCTCAGTTCCAAGATCTCTCTTTGATTGTTAAAAATATTTCAATCTCTTTCTCAATTTTCTCAGATACATTTCTGAACTACTTATCTGTGTTATCTTGGAGATCACTGAGTTTCCTTAAAACTGCTATTTTGAATTCTTGCTCAGAGAGCTCACATATCATTATCTTCTTAGTTTCAGTCATCTGTTCCCTGCTTTGTCTGAGGTGGTCATGGTTCTCTGTTTGCTGTTGTTTCCTGTGAGTATACTTCTATATATTTCATTGAAGTATCAATTTTTTATTCTAGTCTTCTTTGTCCACCTGGTCTTTGGTTTGGATTGGATGTATTTGTTGAGAGATTCCCTGTAATTTACCAGTTAATTTTTCCCCCATTAGGTTCTTGCCTTCTTTTCAGCACTAGGTGGTGTCTTATTCCCAGGTTTGTCTTGTCTCTAGTCAATCATCAGAGAGCTGACTGTTATTGGGTCCCCGAAGGGATATCCTGGAAGGATAGGAAGCTGGAGATTTGTGCTCAGCGGAGCTGTGGAACATTTCTCCTGCAGTGTGATGCTATTAAAAAGTCACTCTAATTTGGCCTCTCCTTTTACTGAGTTAGAGAACAAACTTTTCAGGAGTGGGAATGGTAGTTCTGTCTTTCCCCTTTGTCTGTTCCTGTCCTCAGAGATGTTTTCCCCTTCAGGCACTCACAATACCTTTGGTGCATTGAGGCAGAGACAGGTCTCCTGCTAGGAAATCCAAGATTCTGGGGAAGCTGGTTGTCCACCTCAATCTTACATTTCCAGTGTAAAAATCATGACTTGGTGGGTGAGAGTTTTCTCACACTTGATGCAGGGAAAATCAGGGAGGAGGGCATTGCAGACAGGGAAGTCCTATATTCTTTTAATCTACTCAGAATATTTAACTTCTTTGTGGTCCTGGGAACTGTCTCATCCTCATGTAACTTCTGGGATATTTCTGGTGATACTATCAGAGCTGGTTATTTATTTATTTTCTGTGTCAGGGAGTGAAGCCAGCTTGCTTCCATGTTATTAAAACTGGAAATTATGTAAAAATACTTTAAAATGAACACACATAAAAATAAAATATATAATTTATAAAGTGAAATTAAAACAGTACTTAGAGCAACTTCACAATATATGCTCATTGAGAAGACTCAAATCAACTATCTATGCTTCTACCTTAGAAAACTAGGGAAATATTAGCAAAATAAAACTAAGTAATTTAGATGGAAGAAAATAATAGAGATCAGAGAAGAAAAAATAGAGAAAATTAAACAAACCAAAAGCTGATCCTTTGAAAAGAATTATTAAGTTTATAAAACTATAGCAAGAGTAACGAAAAAAGAGAGAGAAAAAAATAAGCAAATTACCAATACAAAAATTAAAAAAGGAAATAACTAGTGTACCTTAAAAATACACTAAAAGAAGCTGTAAAAAAAGTCTATGAATGTGGATTGTACCATGTAGAAGAAATTGACCGATTTCTCAAAAACATAAGTTATCAAAACTTACCCAAGAAAAATTAGATAACCAAAATAGGTTTGTACTACCCTCCAATTATCTAGGCCAAAATTGTCTCAATGGTGAATTCTACCAAATGTTTTAAGAAGAAATAATGTCAATTCTACACAATCTATTTGAAAGATAAGATGAAGAAAACATCCTCAGACATTTTATACTAGTATTACCCTTCTACCGAAACCATACAAAGACAGTACAAGAAAAGAAAAACAATATTGAAATGAATAGACCTTCAATATAAAATTAGGAAATCAATTCTAATTCTAATAATATATAAAGCAAATACTGTACCATGACCAAATGGACTTTATCCTGACAATTCAAAGCTACTTCAATATTTTTAAATCAGTGTACTCTGCCATAAAAACAACTTAAAAAAGAAAAATCACATGATTATATGAATTGGTATAGAAAAAGCACTAAGGAAAGTTCAACATCAAGTCATAAAAACCTATTCTAAGTAGGGATAGAAGAAAACTTCCTCAGCCTGATAAAAGGTATTATACAAAAATCATAGAGCTAATATTATACTTAATATCAAGCTTGAATGCTTTTCCCCTATGTCTAAGAACTAGGCAAGTATTTTCACTCTCACTGCTCCTATTCAGCATTTTAATGAAAATGCTAGGCAATGCAACAAGGCAAGAAAAAATACACAACTGTGAAAAGGAGGATATAAACTTATTCCTATTTAAAGACAACATGACTCTATGTGGAATTTCAACTAACATGTGATGGCGATGAGGAAGAAGAAGAAGGAGGAGGAGGAGAAAAGTAATTCTAGCAAAATTGTAGAATACAATGGAAACATAAATATCAAGTGGATTTCTGTATGTAAACAATGAACGATGGAGATAAAAAACAGCATTTTAAAAATAGCTTCAAAATACAACATTCTTAGAAATTTGACATCATAAAACATATAAAGAATGTGCATGTTAAAAACTGGACAAACTGCTGGCTAAATATGTCAATTAAGACCTAAATAAATGAAAATACATACTGTGTGAATTAGAAGACTCAATACTGGAAAGCTGCCAATTTTATAGACATTTCGAAGTCCTTTAATTATTAAATGTTACTGTAAATAACACTGATTTCAGATTCATTTTCTATCTTGTAGTTGACAAAAACCTGGCCTAACTTAGCAGTAGAATTATTTTTAAATTCAGTAACTTCACCAGTAGAAGCTTTAGTATTGATTATTATTTGTCAAAATTTTCTGAGACATGATATATTCTTTTGTTTTCAGATATGGGTATTATTTTACTTCAGAAATTATTTTCTGTGTTATATGTCTATACAGATTTCTCTTTAAAATTTGCTGTGCATCTCTTTCAGAATGGAAGTATGTATATAGTAAGTATTATTTATCTGTATTTTATAACTACCATCTTATTTCAACAACTTTAACTCCTTTTTTTATTTTATTTCCTTTGGTTATTTTGTGCATCTCCAGCATTTCACTCTTTTCCATTTTAATCCTAACTTTTAACACAAAAATATATTTAATTCAGGAAAAAAATTTTTTTTTGATTCAATTGTCTGCTCACTCTTCATTTACTTTTGTTGTCCAAAAATTTCTTTTATATTCCATATACCTCTTCTGTGACAGTTGAAAAACATTTATATTTTGTTTATTTGTCAAGCATGTAAAGATTTTAAAAATTAATTATTCTATTGTTATTTATACATTATCTATATTCTTTTCTTTTTTAACTTTAAATGTGTGTTTCTGGTGACCCGAGTGTATTTTTTTATGTTATTTATTTCTCTTTAGCAGGTTGTGATTGGCTACTGGAAATTCTTCTAACAGTCCCTTTTCTTCATTTTCTGTTTTTCTAATTATTATTATAAGTGTGCCACTGAAGTCTCCAATCATTATTGTTTACTTTTTCCTTTAATTCGGTCAGTTTTTTGCTTCATTTATGTTGCGGCTCTATTATTAGGTGTATACGTGTTTATAATTGTTGCATATATGTTTATAATTATTATTTTTGTATGTTTGTGTAGCTTATATAGTTGAAATGATGAAGGGCAATAAATATAAATTGCAATGTCTGGAATATAGCAGATGCCCTATAAATGCTAATATCTTCTCTTAATATTATCAATACTTTATAAGCACACTTCTTTTTTTGGCACCAGTATTTCTCAGTCATATTAGAAAATTTTAACCAATGATAGCTGATTTAATGTTTAAACAATTTTTAGTACCACTGGACCAATATAGTTTATATTACATACAGATTTATTCTTTTTGTAATAGTTGTAACATTATATACTTATACAGCAGTCAAACTGTTACATATGTAAGAAAAAAGGTATTGAAATTAAGCGAAGGAAATATTAAAATTATATTCAGTAAAATGATTGGTTTAATTTAGAGGCATCTCAGTCAGACTTAGAAAGCCTTCCTCAAAAACTCTACTTTTCTTCTTCTCTTCTGTCATTTGCCCAGTTTGAAACAAGTTCTCTAAACTGGAGTTGACGGTAAATTAGACCCTGACTTCTGACTATGTAGATGTTTGCTAATTTATTCCTCCTAGTGTATATTTAATGAATGCATTCAGAAAAACAAGATAAAATGACTCCTTGGACAATCTGTTAAGAAATGCTAATACTCTTCACTTGGCGTTTTCCTAAAATTATCTATGGCATTTACTAGGTTGGTGCAAAAGTACTTGGAGTTTTTGCCATTGAAAGTAATTTTGCACCAATCTAATATCACACTGTGGTAGTTTCATGATGACAAATACCTTGGGATATTGAAAAGATTAATCACACTATACTCACCCTCAGAAATAGACATATATGAGCCAAACCATATGACTGTAAGAGTCAGATTTGTTAGGGTGGAACATGAGGGGCCCTGGGAGTCCCATTATGCTGTACTTCTCTATGAGGCATTGGTTACATTGATATCCACACCATGGTACTCACAGAGCCACCTGGCATTCTTTTCTGCATTTCTATGGGCATGTTAAGGTTTACAGTTTAGAGAATGCTATGCTTGTGTCAACCAGGTTCTGCGGGAAAAGGCAGTTTTCCCTCCTGATACATAATAGCTTCTCTAAACAGAAACACTAATGTTTGATAGTCAAAATAATATTGACCTGCACATAGAGAGAAACCCTCCATTTGGAATAGTGGACCCTCTTCACTTTGGGTTCCGAATGCAGCAGGCTATCCTTGCTTCTGCTTCACCAGCTCCCTGGCCTCACCTTCAGAGTAAGCTGCAGCCTTCAGTGAAGTTGCACCAAATTCATGACAGGGATGGGCTTTCTCCGCTCACCAAAGTTGATGCTGGCAGTGACGACTTTCATTTCAAAATAGGTTGAAAACAGGTCGGAAATGCTGTTCTTAGTAGTGGGCCCGTGTCTGTTTCTCAGTGTTGGCCAACGTACCTGGGTCATGTGAAATGCTGGCAAGGGAGGACCCCTGTGTGAGGAGGACACAGAGTCTGTCTCCACTACCGCCCAAACTTTTCTGCACATCTTAAATTATTCCAAGACATAAAGTTTATCTTCTTAATAAAGGGATAGAAACTAGCTATGAGGGTGCATCATATCTGGTCTCTTATCCTCAAGAACTCTTAACAAAGAAGATAATGACAGAGTATTGGTGAAATAACCATTACTCTTTAAATTCAATAAAAGAGACGGAACTGCAAGGCTCCTGAAGACGGAAACATGAGACATTTAATTCTGGTGTCTCTTCCAATGTCCTCTCTCATTCAATCTTGTAGTGAGAGGGAGTGACTGAGTCGGGGTAAGATGGGAAGAAGAGTTTGCGTGTGCGTGGCTTGGGTGTGTGGGTTTAGTTTCTTCTCACGCACACCTTCTCCTCCTGGGACACAGCTGGCCCTACTGAGGAGGTCTCCAGGTTGTCAGTTCATACTGTGATTGAGGGAATAAGGATATTTTCAGGGGAAGGGGCAGCACTGAAATATGTGAAATTCCATTTGGCCTAGATATAAGCCACGTCCTTCAATTCAGCTTGGAAAATAAAGTTAATATTTTGATCTCCATCTGTTTCATTTCTATATTTACTTTTCTTTTGATGATGAACTTGGAAGTGAGTTCTGCTTTACTGGAAAGAATTTAATCTCAGTGCAGTGATCATATAAGATTTTTAAACTACTTTACTCATCTCTGATTCCCTTAATCAATTCTAATTTACTAAGATCTGGACAGAGATGAAAAACCAGCTGTATATATTTTCATAGAGTCCAGATGCAAAAGAAACAGAAAAAAAATTCATGATATCTTTTTTAATTAAAGAAATTAATAGTCAAATTAAAGTTGTATACTTTTATTGAGTTCTATATGATGTTTTAAATATGGATGCATTGTGAAATGGTTAAATCAAGCTAGTTAACATATATACTACCTCACATATTTTTTGGGGAGAGAATAAAAAGTCCACTATCTTAGCAATTATCAAGTATACAATAGTTGGTTATTATTAGTTATAGACACCATGTTTTACAATGGATCTTTTGAACTTATCCCTCCTGTGTAACAAAAAGGTTGTGTTTTTTCACAGATATCTCCCCAATATCACCTTATCCCAACCCTCTACTCTCTGCTTCTGAGTTCTGCTCTTATAGATTCCATGTATAAATAAGATCATGGAATATTTTTCTTTCAGTGCCTGGCTTATTTCACTTCAGTTTTTTTTAAGGCTAAATAATATTCCACTGTGTATAAATATCATACTTTATCAACTGAGAAACCCTTAGGCTGATTTATATATTGGCTATTTTGAATAATGCTGCAATGCATGTGGGCGTGCAGACATCCCTTAAACATACTTACCCAATTTCCTTTGGATATCCACCACAGGGATGGGATTACTGGGTCATAAGGTAATTGTATTTTTAGGTTTTTAAGAAACCTCCATACTGTTTCTCATAAGGGTTTCACTAATTTACATTTTCATCAACTGTGTATAAGAGTTTCATTTTCCCCACATCCTCACCAACACTTGATATCTTTTGTTTTTCTAAGTGCCATTCTAACAGGTGTTAGGTGATATCTTATTGTAGTTTTTTTTTTTTTCATTTTTTTTATTATTATACTTTAAGTTCTAGGGTACATGTGCACAGTGTGCAGATTTGTTACATATGTATACATGTGCCATGTTGGTGTGCTGCACCCATTAACTCGTCATTTACATTAGGTATATCTCCTAATGCTATCCCTCCCCTCTACCCCCACCCCACAACAGTCCCCAGTGTGTGATGTTCCCCACCCGATGTCCAAGTGTTCTCATTGTTCAATTCCCACCTGTGAGTGAGAACATGTGGTGTTTGGTTTTCTGTCCTTGCGATAGTTTCCTCAGAATGATGGTTTCCAGCTTCATTCATGTCCCTACAAAAGACATGAACTCATCCTTTTCTGTGGCTGCATAGTATTCCATGGTGCATATGTGCCACATTTTCTTAATCCAGTCTATCATTGTGGACATTTGGGCTGGCTCCAAGTCTTTGCTATTCATGCACATGTATCTTATTGTAGCTTTAATTTTCATTTCCCTGACAATTAGTGATAATGAGCATGCAAGCAAGAGCATGGTAGGCCTGCACTGCATTGAAGGCAGCAGTGTTTGAATCCAGATTTTATACACCTCTATTTACCATTTGCCTGGAGAGGCTTCCATGTCCAAAAATGTATAACATAAAAGCCACTCCAGCTTGACTTTCACCAGCTGCTTTCTCTCCTGTTCATCTCCACTCACATACTGAGGGGAAGAGGAGGGGGCAGGAGGGTGCCATTCTCTTCTCTGAAAGGGAGGTGGGAATGAAAACTAGGGTCTTGGGTTAATGGGCCCCACATCTCTAAATCTGGGGAGAGATATCCTGAAAACAAAGTTTATTTCCACCTTTTTCCCTGCATGTCTGTAGCAGCGAAGCCAGTACATACCCTGAGCAGAAGCAGAGACTCAGGAGAGAGCTGCTCAACACACATCCACGTGTCTTTTAATTAATGTTAGTTTGTATCTAATTCTTGCAGTAGAGCTTTCGGGTTTTTACTATTTTATATTTTCCGTATTGCCTTTCTATGATATGTTAGTGAGAAGCTGGGTACAGATACAGTGCAAACTGCTAGTGAAATACCATATACTGACTCTAATGCTTAAATGTGAAGAAATGAGCAACCTTAGCTTGATCACAAATTAATAACTAGGCCTTATTTGATAAAGTTACAAAATGTACTGAACTTTAGTGAGAAATATTTCTACTGTAGATGCACAATGCAAGATTTTTTATTCAAATACCGTCATCACACCTCTAGGGCGCTAATCACATTTTCTGCATATCTTTTGGGCCCTTAATCTCTTAATCAATACTAGTTTGCGGCTAGCATGATGAATTCAGCACTAATTGAAGGGATGCATATTATTAACATCAGACATTTATCCTAATTGCACAGTCAGTGTTCATTTTTGAGATGAGTAAATTAAAGATTAATTTCTATGGTAGTGAAAGAGCCAGCATGCTGCTGTATCTGTGCTTCATTGTGTGAATAGCGCAGACAGTCAGTGGTGGGAGTTTCTGGTCAATAAACTTTTCCCATCAGTTATTTGCAACAGTCTAACCATTCCATGGATTCAGTGTGTTAAAAAAATATTGTGCATTTCGGGAAGGAAATATAACGTAGCATCCCTTCATCCTGGCAAAATACAAAGACATAAATGTGGTTCCCATTTCTTTCTTTATTCTCCCTACCTGATGCCAGGCAGGCCTGGGTGCTAGCAGTGCAGCACTGATCTTGGGCTAAGGACAGGGTGGTCTAGGCCTGGAGGCTGGTTCTTCTCTTTTAGGGATGTGGCTTTGGGTAAGTCACTTAATCTTCCTGTGCCTAATTCCATCGATTTTGAGGTGGTGATAAGAGCACTTACCGTGCAGGGTTGTTGTGAGAATCAGATGGGCCGATCTGGTTGATTATTTAGACAGTGACCGGGACATAGAGAGCAAGCTAGTAATGAGTTAACTACTACTAGTACTACCAGAACCAATACTATGGCAGTTAACCAAAGCCTGGATGGAAATGAGAAACAGGCAAGTAGAAAACACATAAGTGAGAATGAAGCATTTCCAACATAGATAAGCACAAAGAGGCAAGGAGGCAAGGAGAGGGTGGAAGAGAGGGACAGGAGATAGCGAGCAAACTGCATGCTCTGTCTACAAAGCCTCCGCAGCCTCCTGTTGATGCAAGCTCTCCCTCACTGTCTACACAGCATCCCCAGTGACTTTCTTTCCATGTCCGGCAGACCGCAGCATCCCATTGCAAAATATGCCCTGTGCACTTTTTGTCCCTTTTAACTGAAATAGTCTTTTCCTCCCGCCCTTGCTTAGTTAATCACCATGTTCTATTTTCTGATGTCCCTCAAAGTCAGCTCATCTTGGCCACGCTTCCTGATTCCACGTGTTACCTTGGAGTCCTCCTAGACATCTTCGCATAGCTCTGTGCACTTTACCGCACTAATCAAATTTGTAAGCGTACATTGATTTGTTGAAGGGTATGAATGCTGTCCTCCACATGCTATCATGCTATCATTAATACATTTGGGCAGAGATTTCCTGACATTTCCCACAGTAGACATTCATAAAATATTTGTCAAGGAATGACTGATCCAAACTTCAAAGTCAAGATCAAAATTCATCTCCTTCAGAAACATCTTTCTGATCCTCCCGTGAGGTTTTATCCCTTGTAATATTGAAATGCAGTAGCATCGCATATGACTTCTGTTATCATTATTTGTTCCAAGGATGTTTCTGCCATCTGAGAGCACTGGCAAATCCCAAAACAAGTTCCATTTTATTGTTTTGTTTTGTTTTACAGCCAATCCAAGCAGCAATTTATATATACCTTTGTACTATAGGAGTGTTTGTGTGATGGACAAAAAAGTACTTGTGAAAATCCCTGACTCTCTTACAATAAAAAACAAATGGTTTGAAATTACATTGCAATGATTTTATAAAGATGTTGTCTAAGAAAATTTGTAATATAGAAACTGTTCTTGAATGTCATGGAAACTCTTTCTCCAAAAAGGGCTAGAGTTCAGGGTTCCTTCATAATTTGCTTCATAGTGCCTTAAAGTAAGATTCAAAAACTTAACTCTCTAGATCTATCACTCTAGCACCACTCAGCTACTGAGTGTTGAGGGAACACTGATTTCACTACCTTAGCTTATACCTCCATAGAATGCTGTGTCTCTCCCAAAGCCAGCGCAGGCAAGTAGGAGTTCTTTTCAAGTTTTCTTCTTCCTTGTGGCAGAATTAGCCTGATTGTCATTTGGCAATGAGGAAGGATGCTTCTCCACCTCCTCTCCTCACCTGCCCCTTCAGGTAGGTCTACCTAACCTGCAGATGGCCTTAACATACAGAGAATAGCACAGTGAGTAGTGACTCAGAGAGAAGGATAACAACCTTTATTTGGTTCTGGCTGATTCCAGCCCTCTCCACAGGGAGATATTGTAAACATCATTTCACATATCTGAGTAAGGAATTCGAAACTTTTGAAAAATATAAGCAAGATCAAAGTTTTTGGATAAGAGGGTGAAATGATGCCTGTGAGTTCACGTCCTGAGTTCAGGGATCACTCTTCCTTGTCATGCTCAAAGCCTCGAGGTCTAACTGAACAGCACCTTGCACTTAATAGGCACAGGATAAATAGCTATTGAATCAATAGCTGCATAGTGAGCAACTGCCTAACACACACGTGTGCGTGTGTGTGGGGGCGTGTGTGTGTGTAGCTATGTGGGCAGATATGTAGCCAGTGCTTACTTAAACTACTTGAACAAATATTTGAGTGGATGGACAATGATATTTCCAAAATACAGAGCTAGTGAGCGGCACTGCCAAAGCTGTAATCTACTTCTTCTCTCAGCCTGTAAATTAGCCTTGGTCACTTGTTTCTGATTATGTAAGCTGACCCTGATATATAGGCTTATGTTTATTTTTAAGACAGAGTCTCACTCTGCTCCCAGATTTTCAGGAAATAATTGAATAGTGTAAATATTCATGTCAATTTTAGGCATGGCAATTTGTTTCTTCCCTGTGGTTATTAACACTGTCCATTGTGTTATTTTCTAAAAACAAATGCTTAATTTTTACATAATCTCATACATAATTTTTCCATTTGCTATTTATGCTTCAAGGTTTTCAGAACTCTCTAACACCCCATATCTAAAAACAGTCTCCTTCAATTAACTTTAAATCAACTAACAATGAATTTCCTTCAATTAACTTTGTCATTTCTTTTTCACCTTCAATATTTAATATTTTCAGAGTTCATCTGCATATGTGAAGTTACATGATAATTAAGTGTTTGTATTTCTTTCAATAGTATGCCGTGTTTTCATTCCATTTACTTTTTTTGTTTTTTGTTTTTTGTTTTAAGAATATCCCTCTGTAGCCCAAGCTGGAGTTCAGTGGCACCATCTCGGCTCACTGCAACCTCTGCCTTCCAGGTTCAAGCGATTCTCCTGCTTCAGCCTCCCGAGTAGCTGGGATTAGAGGCGTGTGCCACCATGCCTGGCTAATTTTTGCATTTTTAGTAGAGACAGGATTTCATCATGTTTGCTAGGCTGGTCTCAAACTCCTGCCCTCAGGTGATCCATCTACCATGGCCTCCCAGAGTGTTGGGATTACAGGTGTGAGACACCGCACCTGGATAACAGTCTGTTGTTGATCACCAGTTTTTATATAATTTTTCTTTTGAACACAAGTATATTATAAAAATACTTGAAAGGAGTATTCAAAAATTGATTTTGAATACCGGGTTAAAGATTCAGGTATGGTCGTTTTCCTACTTCGAAATGCAAAGGAGGTAAACTCACAGAAGAAAACGATGTTCACAGAACACCAAGAGATTGGGGATTGTGGCATATCTCTGGGTGAAAGGAAGCAGATGGGAGGATGTTTACTGACGAAATAGTATGAGAAGTTGTAGTTAAAAACACAAATTAGGCCGGGCGCGGTGGCTCACGCCTGTAATCCCAGTACTTTGGGAGGCCGAGTCGGGCGGATCACGAGGTCAGCAGATCGAGACCATCCTGGCTAACACGGTGAAACCCCTCTGGCTAACTCAGTGAAACCCCGTCTCTACTAAAAATACAAAAAATTAACCAAGCGTGGTGGTGGGCGCCTGCTGTCCTAGCTACTCTGGAGGCTGAGACAGGAGAATGGCTTGAACCTGGGAGGTGGAGCTTGCAGTGAGCCCAGATTGTGCCACTGCACTCCAGCCTGGGTGACACAGCGAGACGCCGGAAAAAAAAAAACAACAAAAACAAAACAAAACAAAACAAAAAACATGACTTAGTCAGGAAACAGTCTTTCAGTTGGAGCCTATGAAAGACTCAGGAGGTAAATTTTGAGGTATGGAAGTTAGGAAAAGAGAAGTTGCAAAATGGTGAAGGGTCTATTGAAAACTAAAAAAGAAACTTCAAACCAGATGTTCCTGTCAAACAGAACGAGTAAAGGATATGAAAAACCAAAGCAATAAACAAAAACAGCAACAAAGAAAAAGTTCTCTTTTTTAAAAGTCTGAATGTAATCTTGGGAATAATAAGGGTTGCCAGAAGTACCAACACCTAAAACAAACACTTACTTCCAAAATCTGGAAATAAGGGACCCTCAGGCTATTGGCTCCTTTTGACCCCCAAACTAGCCTAAAAAATGAAAAACACAGCTCTTATACTTATCACAGCTCCATTCACACTTCCCATGAAAAGAAACAAGATTTTTTTTTTGTTTTTGCTTTATTCATATAGAAAACAAGGAAACACCGAGGAGAAAGCAAGAATGATAATCAGTCTTCTAAATGCTAAGTGGGCAATCAGGATTCACCAGTACCTATAAAATGAAAATGAAAACCCGATATAGACAGAGAAAGACTAACCTAACTGAATTTGGAGATCAAAATAAAATTTTTAAACATTATTATTACCTTCCCCAGAGTTTCAAATACAATTTGAATAAGAACTTTGTTTAAATGTTATTATTAAAAAAATAAGCAGAGAACAAGAAAGAGTCATTGGACAGTTGAACATTCAATTACCAAATAATAGAAAAATTAAATGTGCGAGCTGGACCATAAAGTCAAAACAAGTCTTCAAGAATATAGAGCACATAGACAAAGAAATGAAAATACAATGGAAAACAAACAAATAAACAAACAGAAAAGAGAACTTGAGACTCGGCCACCGGGGATATTCAACATTTACCCTCAGAATTTCCCAGAAAAGAGCATGAAAGAGGGAAAATGTTCAAGTAAATAACGCAGAAAATTCCCAGAACTTAAAAAGAATTTTTTTTTCCATAGAAAATGTTTGTAAAGAGAGATAATAGGATTAAAGGGGGAAAAAAGCCCATCACTAGATAAGTTCTTGTGAAATGTCAGAACATCAAGGATAAAGATTATTTTAAACCTTTTAAAAACATAAAAGAAACCTATTATACTGCTTATATGATCTAAGAGGAAATAATGACCAGTCTATCATCAATGCCACTGGATACAAGAAGGCAATAAGGTGAAACCTTTAAGGTTCTGAGCAAATATTATTTTGAACTTAGACTTCTAAGCCCAGCCAAACCATCTATCAAGTGTGAGACAAATTTTATATACATATATACGCATATATTATCTATATGTTTGTATTATACTTAAAATATTTTCCATATGAAAGGGCCATTGGAAGTCTACTATAAAAACGGTACAGAATCAGATGACACTTTATTCAGTTAGGACTAGGTGATGTGGAATGGTGTCTTTTTGGAAAAAATAATGCAAGCAGTAGCTATTATGATTGAGAATTTTAATAAATGTAAGGCTATAAGAAAAGCTTCATTTTTTTTTGTCAAAAACAAAAACAAAAAAAAAGCAAATAGAAATGACAATTACATATAAAGCTCCACTAGTAATTCAAGGTCCAAATCTAAAGCTTAGAAATACTTTAAATATGGAAGTAATTCAACCTGAATCTTTAACCAGATATCTTGAATCAAATTCTGTGCATGCCTTTTCAAGTGCTTTTGTGTTGCATTTGTGTTAGTAAGAAAATATGTGACATTATATTTAGCATTTTAAAAAGTACAAACAAAACCGATTTATTTGTTCAAGATCTGCCAAAAACATCTTCCTTCAAGTTGCACGTGGTGTTGGCATTGAAACTTGAAGGAAAGTCATGTCATCCTATACCACTCGCTCTGTACAAAACAATATTGTTCTGGTTACAATCATGTAAATGCTGTTTATGAGATTTTCAGGTTTAGTGTTAATTTTTGGGCAAATCAGAAGATTTAGCTGTGAGATAAAATGGAAATGTGATAGAATAGGAAAAAATATAAATATGTAACTGGCAAAATTTAGGCAATTAATAAAAGAGAAACGGTACAAGAAAGGGAGACTTTACAAATACCCTCAATATACACAGTGAGTAATGTAGTCTCAATTGATGCAACAAATGGTCAATGTTTAAGTAGATTATTTGTTAACATTATGTTAATATTATTTAAATTCACAAAAGAAGCTAATTGAAGATCTCAAAATTACATAAGAACAGCAGAGAACTATGGAGAAATAAAACAGGTATTTATATGTTTGACTTTGATAGTTGTGAGGCAATATAGTCTAAGTATGATGAAAACAATGAATTAAAATTCATTTTAGCTGTGCGGTTTAATATTGTAAGGGTAGAAAGAAAAAGAAATTGAGAGAGGCAGAGAGAGGGAGGTTATTGAAGGGGCATTCCATCTAAAGATTGTGCTACCAGCTTGAAAATGTTGTTGAGTTATAAGAGGAAGAGAAAAAGAATGACTAAGAAAATCATTATATTAACTTGGTTACTACTTCATAATGTATTTATTTTGTAATTAATATGCAGCACTTAAATAGCTAGACTTCACCCTACTCCTCAAAAGACAGTCTTTCAAGCTATCCCGTTTTCCCATGGAGCCATTAGATGTCTTACAGTAGAGTATAACATTTGGCTGTTAAATGATTTTTTCTTATTTAGCATTCCCTCTTTGCATAAAAATTGCCTGATGTCGCTGACCTATAAGAACAGTTAATCCTAATAGTAGGCTACAGTGTATTCAGCCACGGAGTTTTATTATTTATGACACAGAAATTAATTCAAAGATCAACTGGGAAACGAAAAGAATTAAAGAAGTCCAGCGTATTTTACCAATGAACAAGAAAATAATCTTTTTTGCTGGATAGCTGGGGATTACTGTGTTTTGTATACACATCATTTCTTTCAAAGACTGCAAAAGAGTATTGACTTGGAGACAGAACATTGCAGAGATGTAGCTAACGTAATTTTTTGGCACCTAAGTTTAATTCAAAAGGATTAAGTAAGTGTATTCATAGATTTTAAACCAATCAAATCACAAAGCCAATTCCTGCATTAATTTTCCAGCAAACTTAATTATACTGCCCCAAGCTCTGACTTCTTATCAATTAATCGAGCTGTAAAAACCCGGAGCCTAATTCTACAATGTATTAATCAACACATCTGATGTAGGAAACAGACTTTATTGTAATCTCTCAGCTAAAAATCAAACCAGGAACCACTGTCGATTTAACCATATTCAACTTAAAACACATTAATATTTTAACTAATTAATTCTTTAAAATTGTGCTAGTTGACCAGATGAGACAGCAAAGTAGATATTTAGAAACAAGAAAACGAGAGTCATACTGACTGAGCACAAATTTTACTTTTAAAATTAAACAAAAAAAGTCTAAATGCAGCAGTTTCAAGCAGAAGTAAGAGCTGTTTAAATGCGTGTAAAAAGGTGTAAAACCATGGTGGGCAATCAGGAGCCCTCTCCAGAAATAATGCAAAAGACAGCTTCCATGCATCTGGTGGTGAAGTCTAGCATTAGTGGTCAAGTCTAGCAAAGTTAGACAAAGATTCATGCACTGTTCCTGTTCCAAGTTTTTAATGTTATATCATTAGGGACTTTCCACCAAAGATGACTGAGAGTTGATATGCTAGGCTTGGATGACAACTCCTGTTCAGGAAAGGTAAAAAGATAAAAAATGGAGTTAGTAGAAATCCCATAGTACCTTTTACTGTAGAGAGACAAGAGTTCATGACCCCATAGGTCAGACATGTTTAAGTACAAAATTGTCAGACATCTGAAGCTTGTAGTCTATAATTTTGAAGAATAGAAAGAAAACAATTTGGAAAGGAGTGTGAATTAATTACAGTTAAAAAAAAAAAAAAAAAAAAAAACGCGTTCACACTTGTAATCCCAGCACTTTGGGAGGCTAAGGCTGGTAGATCACCCAAGGTCAGGAGTTCGGGACCAGCCTGGCCAACATGGTGAAACCCCGTCTCTACTAAAAATACAAAAAATTAGCCGGACATGGTGGCAAGCACCAGTAATCCCAGCTACTCAGGAGGCTGAGGCAGGAGAATCGCTTGAACCCAGGAGGCGGATGTTGCGGCGAGCTGAGATCACGCCATTGCACTCCAGCCTGGGGGGTAAGAGTGAGACTCTGTCTCAAAAACAAAAACAAAACAACAACAACAAAAAAACATTTAAACATTTATATATACTGATATTTGCCAAACTCATATGGCATTCGATCAATATTAAATTAAAAATACAATGAATTCAGTAGAGTTAAGATTTCCATATTACCTAAAGAGTGAGTTCCAAAGCCTACAAGATAGTATTGTATTTCAGCCTTATATCATCTTTTTATGACAAATAAGGTAAGTTTTAAAATCAAAACAAGTCAATTTTACAAGCTTTTCTCCTCCCTTTTGTTTGCTCTTTACTTTTGTTAAAAATTTAGTGAAGATAACATATTTTACGTTTATTTTCCAAACTAGAAAGGAGATAAACAGGAGAGATTCTGCACTACTTTCTCCTCTAGTACAACCTCAAGCCATTTCTGTCTCCACTCCCTCAAAGGACATTGACCATTTATCTTTGGAAAATCTGTTTCCTCTGCCTCTCCTCATTTTAATGCCTCCATTCCTTCCGTGACCTGGATGTCAACTGCATAACCCTATTCAGATGCTTGTAAACTGATTTCTTAAGTTCCAAAGCAATTAGATAGTTATTACATACTTTCAGAACCCCTTCATTTACTTCTTTTTAGATGTTCCTTTTCTTCCCCACGTAGAGTCTGCTGCTTTATCTAGTCATGGTTAAAATATGCTCTGTTTGATAGCAGTAAAATTATGTGATGCACAGGATTTCTGTGTAAATTTTACACCTACATTACCATGCTACAAGCTTAAGGAAGAGGTAGAGCTATTCATAGATGTAAAAGCCAGGAACTCTTCTAGGCACTTACGTATATTTAATTATCACAACTATTCTCAAGATTGAAGCACTTTTGTCCTCATACTAGATTGACACAAACTGAGGTTCGAGATGTGGTACATGGTCTAGCTGGGATTTGAACTTAGGCGTGACTGTCTCTAAGCCTCAAACACTAATGTAACGTGGTGTATTTTACATTTCTTTCTTCTCTTTTCTTTTCTTTCTTTTTTTTTGAGATGGAGTCTTGCTCTGTCGCCCAGGCTGGAGTGCAGTGGCATGATCTCAGCTCACTGCAACCTATACCTCCCGGGTTCAAGTGATTCTCCTGCCTCAGCCTCCCAAGCAGCTGAGACTACAGGCGTGCACCACCATGTCCAGCTAATTTTTGTATTTTTAGTAGAAATGGGGTTTCACCATATTGGCCAGGCTGGTCTCTAACTCCTGACCTCATGATCCACTCACCTCAGCCTCCCAAAGTGCTGGGATTACAGGGCTAAGCCACCATGCCCAGCCGCATTTCTTTATTATTTTTTAACCCATACTCTATAAGCCTCCCCTTCATTTACATGTGGGCCATTTCTTTTCATTAGCATATAATATGTGATTTAGGGAAGACAGAATTTTGTTAATATTAAAACAAAATTTTAAAGTAAACCTTTAGACATAACTATGAATTATTTTGAGGATTTAAATAATAAATGATTAAATAGAGATACCTTAAAATATTGTTGGATTTGGAAGTTTCCATTTCTTTTACCTTTCCTGTGTCGTACAATTTTTCTATAAAAAGTGTAAGTAATTTTACTGTGGATTTAATAAACATTATTTTTTTAAAAGACACCTTCTGTGAACAGAAAACATTTTACTTTCTTGGTGGGATCAAACCAAATCAAAGCTTTAGAACACTCTTTTAGATGGAAAAAATGATTAAAATTTAATGTTATATATTAATACGTGTATGTTAAATTCAAAAAGACTTGAATAACTTTATTATACAGAATTTAGTAGAGCAAATAATAGAATTGATTATAAGGACCTACAGATATGATTCTACCATTTAATACCCATGCTATTTAGTCACTCTTAGCTCTTTTTTCCACAAAATAAAAATAAATAAATCATTGTAGGGTTGTTATGATAGCTCAATGGCGTTAAAAGAGATAATATGAGTAAAGTGCCTAGCCAAGTACTTGGCATATCATAAGCACTGAGTACATAGAAGCTCTTATACGATATGAAAAAGCCATTATAAAGGTTCTTGATTTATGAATATTATGGAGTAGCTATTATATGACTAAATGATCAAATGATCTTCATGCAGTTTTTATAGAAGCGAGTTATTTTTGGAGTCTTACTATTTCAGGGCTGGAAAGGGCCTTGAAGATAAAATATAGTTTTTAAATATGTAAGGATGCAGGTGACTATGCCCTCACCCAGAGAATCAGAATGCTTGGAAGATGGGCACTTGTAATTTTCAAAGCAGCTTCAAGGGACTTAGAGTTTGTATGATGCCGTGTGCTTAAGAGCCCTGTATCATTTCCTATTTTGTGGGGATATGCAAATGACGGAATGAGAAAAAAATATGCAAATAAGGACCCAGAGAAGTTTAGTAATCTAAGAAGTAGCCTAAGGACCACTGACTTCTAACGCAGGATTTTTCCTTCTATAACACACCCGCTCTTTTAAAAAAGACCATTGCATAAGGAATTTAATTGCTTCCTTTTACTATTCACTTTCACTAAAGTTGTATTCTTCTCAGCCAAGGAATTATAAATAGCTTCGGAAAAGATTGTTTTTAAACGAGACCTGGCCTAAATGAGCCCATGGTACACATCATATGCTTTGCCTCGCAGGGACATCTTACTCCACAGTGACAACCACAGGCAGAGGCCCTGTTTCAACACAGGGAAGAAAAGCTATCTTGGATCTCAGTGGGAAAGGTCCTTTTTAATCACCACGGGAAGTGATTTCAAACAGCAGGTATTTTTAGATTTATCTCAAAGCCAGAAGAAGTGTCTGTGTGTGCCTGTGGGAAGGAGAAAAGGAGAGAGGGAAAGATACAGAGACAGAGAGAAAAAGAGAGGCAGAAAGAGACAAAGAGAGACACACAGAGAGACAGAGGTGTCCGGATATTCATGTGTGTTTGTTAACATTTATTGTGTATACGTATTCTCTCTTACCATATGGCAAATAATCATGAAGAAAACAGCAGAGAGAAGTAAAATAGGGCTTTATTAAGATAATTGCTTCAATATATACTTGAAGGTATTAACACCAGATAATGTGAAACAATAATCAGGAAAATATTTCACCCACTAACCCAAGCTATCTGGCGATACTGGTAACAGTCTGCCCTTTCAACATCAGATGAACTACTAGCAGACACCCTGTACTTTTCATTTAAGAAAAGCTCCAGGACTTCTCTGTTTCCAAAAATAATAAATAAATAAATAAATTTAAAGAAAGAATTAGGTTCCTTACAAAAGAGGATAATAGGAACACCAAACAGGTCAAATCATAGTACTATTTATGCCAGCCTGGTTTGAAAAAATGATCTATATATACAATGCATTATTATGGGGTAAGCAATTGCAACAAAGTCGCTCCACCTCCTCCCTGGTTGCTGCAGGCCTCTCTGTTCCCAGTTCAACAGAAGCAGCATGGATGGATGCAGCAGGCTCTCAATCAAGGGCAGATAAGAATCCCTCTTCGCATGTGCTGCTGCTCTACTTTGGGGATGGCTCGAGTCTTCACACTACACAGTCACTGTTTCCTCTGGACTTTTAAGAAGGTTTGCAAGTACCTCTCTCATCCTTAACATTTCATGATGATTTTGTCTACTGGCAGACGCTACCACAACCTCTAGCAAAAATAAACGATAACAAAATAAACATTTTGCTCACTTGGCGAGAGAGTGCCCAAGGGAAGAACTTGTCTTTTGGTGTTTTTTATTAATCAACTGCTGATAAAAATATACCTACATAGAACAAAAATCTCCTCACTCCAGTGATAAGCAGTCTGACAATTTCCAAACATGTTGAAATGCTTTGGAACCAAACAGTTCTTCTTTCCATCCCCAGTTAAGCTGCTTTCTGGTTGGTGATCTCAGGCTTTACTGATCTTAGATTTCTTCACCTGTGGAATGGGGTGAAGGACAATAATGACTCAATAGGGAGGGTTTTGCTGGAGTCGGGTCCCAGTGGCTCACTAGAGCCTACTGTGTACACCCCTTCCAAACTCTGCACTCTACAGCATGACACTGCTAGTGGGAAACCTGCCATCTCTGGGGTATTATATCATAGAAATTGGCAAACACTAAAAATCTTTTTTTCTCCAGACAGCTTTAAAGATTAACCAGCACACCACAGCTCATAAGGTTGTGTTAAATTGTAAATGATCTAGAGGATTTAGCACAGGTAAATGTTTAGTCACTTAGAGCTACCTGCCCCCTTCTCCCACTTTTGTTTCCTGTCTGGTGAAGTTTGCGCTTGTTCTCCAACATTTCTCAACACAACATTCAGGTTTTATCCTTACAGCTACATAAACTGAGACTATGTAGAAACAAAAAGGATTTTGGAGTCAGGCAGAG
This sequence comes from Homo sapiens, assembly GCF_000001405.40. NCBI lineage: Eukaryota > Metazoa > Chordata > Mammalia > Primates > Hominidae > Homo > Homo sapiens. The sequence goes on along the minus strand of NC_000002.12, from coordinate 4,695,283 downwards.
AGAGAGAGAGAGAGAGAGAGAGAGAGAGAGAGATGCCAGCCCACAGGCACTTACTGTATGACCACCAAAAATTCTGTAGTGCCAATCTGTTTCCTCATCTGATAAATAAATAGGAAAATACGTCCTTGCGGTTTGTATAAAGGAAACTGAGAGAGCAAAATTAAAGGTCAATCATTAATAAAGGTCAATTTAATAATAAATTAAATGCCAAGCAAATACTCATTGCTTGGCATTTAGGAAAAATTTAATTTTCTTGCTTTTTTAAGAGAGATTCTAGAGACTTTGAATAACTAAAATAATTTTTAAAAAACAATAAATTTCCCGCTTTATTTGAAATGGTGCATTTCTGGGCATCCTCGGGAGTGTATCAGGCTGTGGGCAGCAGCATCACACCTTCAAGGTGATGTTTCTCAGGCTCGTGCTTTGCTTATTCATCTTAGGACTTGGGGAAAACAAGGAAGTCCTTGGTAGTCCTGGGCAGGCAGAACCCTGGATAAGGCTTCCCTGAAGGAGAGGCAAATATTTAGACAAAAATTGAACAGCTTTAAACCTACCTAAATGCTACTTTACAAATTGCCATACAGAAAAAAAAAATCAAGTGTTCACTCTCATGAGTATGAATTACAATAGAAAAAAAACGTAGGCTGAATGGGGAGAGATAAACACTTGTAAATGATGTGCAGAATGGTGTTGGTAACCTTCAGCAAATAACATTTTGCGTATCAAAGAATATGCTCTTCAAATCCTAAAGGAAAACCAAGCAGTGAATCTGAGATGAATGTGGCTTTAGATTAAATGGTTTTCACCAGGGTCATTTTAGCATGTGATTTTCTTTTGTCCCAACTAGCACACAAATCTGCTTTTCTATTTGCAAGTGAAGTCCTAGACACGTGTATAGCGGTAATCTTAGATACAGTCACCTTGGGTGGTTTAAGTGTTAGTTTAAGTCTCATGTAATCTTACCCAGTTCACCCTCCTTATTCATCAAGGATTATTTACAGAAAAATAAGAGTTGGTGAATATATATCCTGTTGGAATTTTATAATAAAACAATCTAATTTACAAAGCCCTTTTCTCTTATAAAGGCATTGAGGGAGCTACATAATTAAATGGCTGTCATAAAATTAAAAGAATCTATTTCTAACCTCATTTGAAAAGTTAGCTGGAATCTTAACATGATAGCTATATTATTTTTGTACTTTTTTTATTCGTATTTTTCTTCATGCTTGCTGTAGCCTATTTCATGACTTCCCTTCACTGTTTCTTTTAAAGTGCACCTCATGCCATTAAATGCAAAGTGTTTCTGTATGTCTGCAAGAAGGAACATTTGAAAATATTCATGCCATACAGTAACCGACTGTTAATATGTCTAGGAAGGAATTAAAATATCCTAATACATAACTTGACAAACCATCAAGAGATGGTTCTTTATTTTTCTCCAACAAGTTGAAAGAAGAAAATAAATACATCAAATTAGTTTAAATGCTAATGTAAAGTCATTCAGCAATTCCTCAACATACCTAGTATTAACCAGTCCCGTTGCTGACCCTAATTCCCCAAGACCAGCAGGTATATGATCCAGACTATCTTTCTTCTGAAGTAATTTATGTGTCTGGGAAGCATTTTGCTTTTTTTACTCAAATTATGGTGATGACTGTTTTTATGTCGTCACAGGAGATCATCCTTTCTGCTCCTTTTACTCTCCTCTCAGTGCCTCTCCATGCTCAGGCCATCACTTTTCACGTCTCCAAGTTCTCTCTCCGTCTTCCCTCTCCCCACGCAGCCCACACAGCTCTGAGGGGCCATGTGATCATAGGGCCATGACTCACAGGCAGACTTGGAGAGCCGTCTGCGGGTTTCCTGTGTCTTTGCACCCTCCCAACCACAGTGAGACTATTAATTCCCTTGGAGTCGAGGAAAACTAACTGAAAAATATGATTTGAAGACAAACTGGGTCACTCGGGATTCTGTACAGGAAATAGAAAATCGTGTCAGAATTTAAATAGACAAGAACATCTTAAAGGGAATTTGGTGCTTCAAAAAATGTTTTGGAGAAAAACATTTGGTATGCCACTAGGAATGAATTTCAGAGAGAAAAACATCAAGCTCACTAGAAATCTCATTCCTAAGAAACCACTACCAAAACTATTAAATTCAAGAAGAACACGTCTCAGCTGTGATCTGGGGAACTGGGCAGTCAGAAACCTGAAGCCTCCACCACAGTGGCCTCTTGTGTGGCTGCCTCCACTCACCTGGAAAGTGTGGATGTGATCATTGCATGCTACTGCACAGACTTCCTATTTTGACGGTGCCATTACCATCTCAAAATCAGCCCAAAGTACCAGGAAGATGGTTTCTATGTCACTTCTACATTGAAAGCATTATAAAAGGGACTAGGACTCAGCTGCAAATGAATCCAAGAAGTTCAGTCTTGGTTCCCTACCCTTTCACTCTACCCATCAGTACAGAAGGAGGGTGGATGGAAGTTTAGCAGCTAATTCATATCTGCTGTTTTAGTTCATGTACTAGTCAACGTTCTCTAAAGGGACAGAACTAATAGGATGTGTATATATTTAAAGGGGAGTTTATTGGGAGAATTGACACTTGTGATCACAAGGTGAAGTCCCACAGTAGGCCATCTGCAAACTGAGGATCAAGGAAGCCAGTCCAAGTCCCAAAACCTCAAAAGTAAGGAAGCTGACAGTGCAGCCTTCAATCTGTGGCTGAAGGCTGAAGAGACCCTGGCAAACCACTGGGGCAAGTCCAAGAGTCCAAAAGCTGAAGAACTCGGAGTCTGATGTTCAAGGGCAGGAAGCATCCAGCATGGGAGAAAGATGAAGACTGGAAGACTCAGCAAGTCAGGTCTTCCACCTTCTTCTGCCTGCCTTATTCTTTCTTTCTTTTTTTTTTTTTTTTTTTTTTTGAGATGGAGTCTCACACTGTTGCCCAGGCTGGAGTGCAGTGGCCCGATCTTGGCTCACTGCAAGCTCTGCCTCCCAGGTTCACACCATTCTCCTGCCTCAGCCTCCGGAGTAGCTGGGACTACAGGCGCCTGCCATCACGCCTGGCTAATTTTTTTGTATTTTTAGTAGAGACGGAGTTTCACCGTGTTAGCCAGGATGGTCTGGATCTCCTGACCTCGTGATCCTGCCTGCCTCGGTCTCCCAAAGTGCTGGGATTACAGGCGGGAGCCACCGTGCCAGGCCCTGCCTGCTTTATTCTAACAGCTCTGGCAGCTGATTAGATGGTGCCCACCCAGACTGAGCACGGGTCTGCCTCTCCCAGTCCCTGGACTCAAATGTTAATCTCCTTTGGCAACAACTCACAGACACACCCAGGAACAATTCGCATTAAATACTAACCATTACAGTTCATTTTCTGTTGCTTATAACAGAATTCCTGAAACTGGGTAATATGGTTTGGATGTTTGTACCCTCCAAAATTTTATGTTGAAATGATAACTCCTATGTTAGAGGTAGGACCTGGTGTGAGGTTTCAGATCATGGGGATGAATCTCTCATGAATGGCTCAGCACCATCCCCCTGGTGATGAGTGTGTTCTTTCTCAGTTAGTTCATGTGATATCTTGTTGTTTAAAAGAGCCTGAGACCTCCCAGCCCTTTTGCTCTTGCTCCCTCTCTTGCCATGTGACACATCTTCTAGCCATTCGCCTTCCTCTATGATTGAAAGCTTCTTGTGGCCTCATCAAGAGCAGATGCCAGCATCACACTTCCTGTACAGTCTGAAAAATCACAAGCCAATTAAATCTCTTTATAGATTACCAGTCTCAGGTATTTCATTATAATAATGCCCCTGGACTAATACAGAAAATTGGTACCAAGGAGCAAGACATTGCTATAAAGATACCTGAAAATGTGGAAGCAGCTTTGGAACTGGGTAATGGGCAGAGGTTGGAAGAGTTTGGAGGTCTATAAAGAAGATAAGAACACGAGGGAAGCTTTGAAACTTCTTAGAAACTTGTTAAGTGCCTGTGACCAAAATGCTGATAGAAATGTGAAGAGTGAAGGCCAGGCTGAGGAGGTTTCAGATGGAAGTGTGGAACTTACTGAGAACTGGAGTAAAAGTCACCCGTGTTACACCCTAGCATTATACCTTGGCTGCATTGCATTCATGCTCTAGGGTTGTGTGGAGTTTTGAACTTAAAAGTGATGACTAAGAATATCTTGTGGAAGACATTTCTAAGCATCAAAGCATTTGAGAGTTGATCTGGCTGCTCCTAACAACCTATGATCAGACGTGAGAACAAATAAAGGACTTAAAGTTGGAACATATATTTAAAAGTTTGGATAATTTGCAGCCTAACCATGTGGCAGAGAAAGAAAAAGTTTTTTGGGGAAAGGAATCTAAGCAGACTGTGAAGCAAGTACTTGCTAGAAAAAATAGCACGACTAAAAGGGAGCCAAGTGCTAATATCCAAGACAATGGGAACAAAACCTGGAAGGCATTTCAGAGACCTGCCAGACAGCCCCTTCTAACACAGGCCTGGAGGCCTCAGAGAGAGACTGGTTTCCTGGGACAAGCCCAGGACCTGACTTCCATGAGCAGCCTTGGGACACTGCTTCCCAAATTCTAGCCAGTCTAGCTCCAGCCTCAGCTCAAAGGGGCACTAGTGTAACTCAGGTCACAGCTCCAGAGGGCACAAGCCATAAGCCTTGGAGGCTTTCATATGGTGTAACTTTTCAGATGCCCAGAATGCAAACATGAAGGTGATTCAGCAGTTTCTAACTATATTTCAGAAGCTGTCTGGAAAAGTCTAAGTGCCCAGGTAGAAGCTTGCTGCAGGGCAGAGCCCCTACAGAGAAACTCTACTAGAGTATTGCTGAGGGGAATTGTGAGGTTGGAAGCCCCAGACAGAGTCCCCATGAGAGCACTGCTTAATGGAGCTGTAGGAAGGGGACCACCATCTTTCAGACCCCAGAATAGTGAAGCCATGGGCAGCTAGCATCTTGAGTCTGGAAGAGCCACAGGCACTCAACTCCATCTTGTGAAAGCAACCATGGGGGCTGCACCTTGCAGAGCCACAGGGGTGGAGTTACCCAGGACCTTGGGAGCAGACCCCTTGTATCAGTGTGCCCTGGATGCAGGACATAGCATAGAATCAAAGATTATGTTGGAGCTTTAAGTTTTAATGCCTACCCTGCTGGGTTCAGATTTGTGTGGGGCCTGTTACTCCTTTACTTTATTTTGGAATGGTAATGCTTACCCAATGCCTGTGCCACCATTGTATCTTGGGTGTGAAAAACTTGTTTTAATTTTATGGGCTCATAGGTGGAAGATGAGTCTCAGATGAAACTTTGGACTTTGAACTTGGTGCTTGAACAAGTTAAGAATTTGGAGGACTATTGAAAAGAGATTTTTATACTTTGAAATGTGAGAAGGACATGAGATTTGGGGATCCAAAATGATATTGTTTGGTTATTTGTTCCCTCCAAATCTCATGTTGAAATGTGACATCCAGTTTTGGACATGAGGCCTGGTGCAAAGCACTGGATCATGAGGACCCATCTCTCATTAACGACTTACTACCATCCCCTTGATGATGAGTGAGTTCTTGCTCAGCTAGTTCCTTGAGATCTGGTTGTTTAAAAGAGTGTAGCAACCTCCATCCTTGCCCCTGCTCTCATCATGTGACATGCTAGCTCCCTCTTTGCGTTCCGACATTATTATAAGATTCCTGAGGCCATCACCATAAGTAGATGTCAGCATCACACTTTCTGTATATCCTATAAAACTGTGAGCCAATTGGGCTTCTTTCAAAAATAAATTACCCAGTCTCATACATTCTTATATAGTAGCACAAACAGTCTAATACACTGGGTAATCAATATACAAATGAATTTATTTCTTACAATTTTGGAGGCTGAGAAATCCAAAGTCAAGGAGTGGCATCTGGTGAAGTTCTTCTTGCTTGTGAGGACTCTCAGCAGAGTCCTGGGGTATCTCAGGATATCCCATGGCTAGGGGCTGAGTGTACTGGCTCTGGTCTGTCTGCCTCTTCTTACAAAGCCACCAGTCCCACTCTCATAATTACTCATTAATCCCTTCATTCATGAATTGATTCATGAACCCATTCATAAGGGCTCTGCTCTCTTTAAGGCCCCACTACTCAATACAGGCACATTTGGGATTAAATTTCAACATCAGTTTTGAAGTGGGCAAATTTCCAAACCATACTACCTGCCATGTTTCAAATGTGTCCTCCAAAATTCATATGTTGGAAATTTGATCCCCAGTGGAGCAGTGTTAAGAGGTGAGATCTTTAAGAGGAGATTAGGTCATGAGGATACTGCCTTCATGAATGGAGTAATGTTACTGTAGGAGGGAGTTTGTTATAAAAACAAGTTCAGCCACTTCTTGCTCTTGCTCATCTTCTCTTGCCCTTTCACCTTTCACTATGGGACGAAGAAGGATGAAGGCCCTCAGCAGAAGCTAGGAAGATGCTGACATCATGCTCCTGTAATTCTCAGCCTCCAGAATTGTGAGCCAATAAATTCCTTATCTTCATAAACTACTCAGTTTCAGGTATTCTGTTATATCAGCACAAACTGAACTAAGATATTATCCATACATGATTTTCCTGGTACTACACTGAGCACTTTCATATGACATCATATTTAATTCTTACAAAACTTCTGTGAGTTAATAACTTTACCCGTATATTAAAGACAGAAAAATTGAGACTCGAGGGAAATAGGTAAGTAAATGTTGTCTACATATGCCAGATAATGCTAGATGATTTCCACTCTTTACTTCCTTCCTCCTTCCCATAGTCTTATGGCTATATAGATAATATTGAAGCTTAGAGAGACTAAATAGCTTTACCTATATAATAGAGACATGACACAATTGCATTTCAAAAAAGTGTCTGATGACAATCTCCATAATCTCCTCATCAAAATATTATTCCAAAACACTAAAAAAATGCTATTGTATTTCCTTTGATATTAGGCGTATTTTACACGATCAAAGTAATGTTTTGATTTGTTAATCCTAATTTCCAGAATAAGTAATCATGAGTAAAAATGTCTCACATTGCTCTCTAGGCCAGAAAGTAAATTGTCTGCATAAAAGTTAATGTTATGCAGTTTTTTGATGCAATAAAAATAGTCTTTATTTACATTTCTTTATATAGGGATGTGACATTTTGCTAAATGAGAGTCAACTAACCTACAATATCCTAATTTATACACAAATACTCATACACTATAATGTGGATTCTACCATTTTACTTTATATACTGAATATAATAACTTTTAAAATATTGTTATTAACTGACCAATAATTCTTAAATTATTATGGTAACTAAATAAATTTACATCATTTAAAGCCAGGAAAATCTATGATGAATTGTATGTAGTCAAATAATAATTTTATTTTCATAATATCTGTCTTACAGTACGAAAGTAATCTTCCAATAATCATGATGAAAAACAGAATCAGAAGCAGGACTTTATTACATCCAAAAAGCACATAAGTGACTTAGACTCTTAGTGCTCATCATTCTGGAAGGTATCAAAATCTTCTCATTTATGATTGAGTGTACAGGGCTCAGTGAGTACAGAATATACTGCAACTGAGGTCATTTGTCCTCTATAAAAATTTTCAACAGACAAATAAAACAGAAGCCAACTTTTGCTACTGACTTTGAATTTTAGCTTGAAGGTCAGGACTTATGAACATGATATTCTGACAAGATGGTATTTTTATGAAGGAGTGAAGGTGAATGACCCACACAATATGTGATCTGGATTGGCAATGTACAAAGATTTGGCTAAGAAAATATTAAGAGTGTCTTTTTCAGGCAAGCTGCCAAGTAGCCTCTAGAAATGAAACCCGTTTTTTATATTTTTCATTATGGAGCAGGACTATTACAAAATTGACAACTAGATTCCGTTTTGCTAGTAACTAGCTTAGGTGTTTAAGTTGAGACGTCGAATCATGCTGTGGGAAAAGGATTGTCAAAACCTACGGCTAAATAATAAGTGGTATCAAAACACATGAAATCAGAAGAACACAAACAGCTTGAATTTTAATTCCTAGCATTCTTCTTTTAACAAAGGGAAGACGATTTTTTTTTCTTGGCTAAGGATTTGTTTCATTTTTATGTTTTTCTTTTCCCCTCACATACACACTCATTCCCCTCCAAAATTGTGTTTGCCCTAATTCTGTGTTCATTTATGAATTTTTTTTGAAGTAATTAAGGCATTCTGTATTAGTCAGGGTTCTTCAGTAAACCAGAACCATTAGGATGTGTGTGTGTGTGTGTGTGTGTGTGTGTGTGTGTATGTTGACACAGATATAAATATAAATACAGATATAAAGGTTTTGAGGCATTGGCTTATGTGATTATGGAGGTTAAGTCCAAAATCTGCACAGTGGGCTATCAGGCTGGAGATCCAGGGAAGAGTCAATGCTGCAGTTTAAGTCCAAAGACCCTCTGCTGGAAAAGTCCTTCTTGCTTGGGGGAGGTCATTTGTTTGTGTTATTCATGCTTTCAGTCCACTGGATGAGACTTATCCAATATTAAGCAAGGCAATCTACTTTACCCAAAGTCCATGGACTTAAATGTTAACCTCCTCCAGAAACACCCTCACAAAAACATGCAGAATAATGTTTGATGAAATAATACAAATGAAAGCAGGGGAAAGTCAACAACCTCTAAAAAATTGTGACAAAGAAAGAAAACATTTGTGGCATGACTCCGCATAATTTCTAGATACCTACCCCCCCTCCCAAACCATTCTTAAAAAGTCATTTTATAGGAAAGAGTACAACCTCTTGAACATTTGCACAGTTATTCCTGAATCTGAGGATAAGCATAGAGTAGTATTAATAGATAGGCTACAGAACGTTAAGAGAGAAAAGGAGGCAGAGAAAGAGAAGCAATAGAAGAAAAGCGAGGAAAGAGAGGAGGAGTGTGAAAAGAAGAAATTTAGAAAGCAAAGCAAGTCACTTTCAAAGGGTGGATGGGGGGACAGTCCAGTCTTACTCTTGACATTCCAGGTCCTCCCCAAAAAATTGACAGAGATTGATTAAAAAGAAAATGAATCTCAAACATAATATCCAGTCATGTTTTCCTCCAATATAAAGGCAATAAAAACATTTGAACAGGAAAGAATTTGGGAATATAGCTTGCATGAACCTTTCTTAGAAAAATTATTTGATGACAAAAGCCAGCTTTCCAAAATATGTATGTAGACATCACAGTAAAAGTGCATCTGCAACAATACAACATACAATATATTAAAAGACAGTAGAAAAATATCCACACAAAAACTCCATAAATGTTGTCCTGTGAACCCTTCTTGAAAAACCTTGCCAATGAACTATAACTCTCAGTGAGATGAATTAGAATAAGAAATAAAAAAGTAAAAGAAGATAAGTACTGAATGCAATTAACTCTACTCTTTAAGACTAATAGTAATAGCTGTAAAATCATGAGTTAAGTATCATAAAACTTGAGAAATCAAAATATTAAATTATAACAACAAATGAAAAGTTATCTGTGACTATGACTATGTCTAGGAATTTTATCAATAACTTCTGTTTCTAGCTGTTTTATTTTTCTTCTGTTAATGTGACATTTTAAGTGTTTTTTTAATCCAGACTATACAGTATGATCACATCTTTTTAAATTTTTTTTTTTGCTCTATATTATCATAACCTTTATTCTTTTTATCTACCTAGAGAAATAGCTGCAAAGATAGTAATATAATTGTGTCATTTCTGGGGAATTTTCCGTGACATTTTTTATATTTGTTATGTTCTATATTACTTAATTTTTAAAATAAAAACTTACAAGCTTCAGAAAAATCAAACAATAAATTATTATTTAAACATGCTGTTTATATAAGAAGAGAACACTTAACAAGTTCTTAAAAGTCTAAGAAAATGAAAAATGAAATTACCTTCAAACTAAACCTAAAGCACAGCAAACTGCAGTTCTCTTCTGGGTTTCAAAATTGTTTCCTCTTCAGAACTTCAAAAAAGTAAGAAAGTTCTTTGTTTATAACTCATCGTAATGAAAGAATAAGGGCCACACCCATGAAAAGGACCTAGGAAGGAATCCTGCCTTGCCTTTTCTGGTGTCTGTTTTTTGCCTACAATCTCCGGCATTCTTTGGTTTGTGGCACGATGGCTCCAATTTCTGCCTCTGTCTTCACAAATCTTTCTCCTGTGTGCTTTCTCTGTGTGTTCAAATCTCTCTCTCCTTATATGGACACGAGTCATTGAGTTCAGAGAATGCCCTAATCCAGTGTGACCTCCTTTTAACTTGACTAGTTTTTTATTTATTTATTTTAAATTTAGTGTCTGCAAATACCTTATTTTCAAATAACGTTACATTCACAGATCCCAGGGATTAGGACTTAAACTTATCTTTTGTTCAATACACAATAATTATAATAATATTTACACTGAACCATCATTTTCTTCAATCTACAAAATGCAATCAGATAATATTCCAAATAATATATTTATTTTTAAGCTTGTTTTACTTGTATCTTATCAGTTCTCTTCAGATAGTCACACTTAGAATTTAAAATCGCCTTTTGAGTTATTACTTCCTTTAGAGCTTCATTACAGAGGTTACTCTGTAAGAAGAACCCATGCCCTTATTTCTTCCATTCAGATAGGTTTCAAATTCAACCTTGAAATATTTTCTTCCTGACACTAGAGATGTGAGATTGACACTTCCTGTCTTAAGCATCTTTCTTAACTTTATTTCCTCAAACTTTTCACAGACTAAAGCTAACAGCTTTTCAAATTTCCATTTATGATGAGAGACAGGGAAATTCTAGAATTCTCAAAATACTTTTAGTTTGAAGTGTAATATCTAGGTACATCTTAACTCCAACATCCTCCTTGTAGGAAAGAGATGAGTGAATGAAACTATGTTTTATCTGAACATTCCCCTATTCAGAGTGACAGTGCATAAAAAATATTAAATGATTACCTTAATATTTGTTAGCTGTGTATCTGCTTCAAGGGAAGCTAAAAGGGTTGAGGAATTGAGTCCTAAAAGTGTACTGTCCATGTTCAAGCAGGCATGACAGGGCTGCTTATTCTGCATATACATGCTACAAAGGAGTAAGGTGAGAGTCAGGTGGGTTTGACCAACGAAGGGTAAGAGTGGCAGTCCACATCTACAGTTTACCACCACCTACCATGGGGCTTTTCTTTTAGTAATAAGCCTTATTTTTCTTTAGAAATAACTTCTCTCATTTGTTCAGTTTTGGGGAAATCTCTTACATAAGGCATCTTCTACGCACTTGAAAAGAAAATGTACCTCATACAAAATATGTCAGATTGCTCCTTCTGCAATTTTGAATTATGGAAAAAATGATGAAAAAAAGAAAAAATATATAAATTATTCATTCCCATGACTGTGTTTTGATGCACAAGCCAAGTAATTCCAGCTATTTAGATACCAGAGGTCCTTCTTCCTGGGCAATTTTTTTGTGAGTCAGTCTTTTTATTATTCTTTCCGGATTCTGTGAGGCACTACCTGTCTTTAAAAATTTGTGATTTCTGACTTGTGACCAGGAATCTGTTATCTGTATCAAAGAACCCGGATACAGCAATTGATACTGAAGTAGGCAGTGAGTAAGCAGATGTCTTTTATCATCTTAGTTCATCCCTGCAATAGTTCAGTGAGGTAGCTAGTGGATTTGCTATGTTAGAAACAAAGGAAATGAATTGCCAACGTATTTGGTAATATTTATCTAATGTCACATAACTAGTTGCCTCCAAGATCAGGAACAAAACAAAGTAGTTGTGATTCCCAGTGCATTCCTAATTCCATTCGGGCATGTGGTCTCAAATACGGTTTTATAAAGTCTAATACATTCATGGCCTCAGTGGTTTGAAACTGGTTGTTCAGAGGAGACAGTGGCTGCTATGAGAACTGAGTGACAGGCCGAGCTCGGTCTCTGAACCTTGCTCCATCCAGGGCAGTGCAGTTTTGTCTCTTCTGTAAATAGAGGTTTCACACACATTTTCTTTAGAAAAATATGTTTCAGAAGTAAAATATCCTTTAAATATAAAGGCAAGATGAAAATATTTTAGATAACAAAAAATGATATCTTTCATGATTAGCAGATCCTTATAAAAATAAATAGGTGGACAGAAATTGATTCCAGAATGAAGCACAACTATGAACGAAGATAAGAAAATGATAAATATGGCCAGGTGCGGTGGCTCACGCCTGTAATCCCAGCACTTTGGGAGGCTGAGGTGGGCGGATCACCTGAGGTCAGGAGTTCGAGACCAGCCTGGCCAATATGGTGAAACCCCATCTCTACTAAAACTACAAAAATTAACCAGGCGTGGTGGTGGGCACCTGTAGGCCCAGCTACTTGGGAGGCTGAGACAGGAGAATTGCTGGAACCCAGGATGTGGAGGTTGCAGTGAGCCAAGATCATGCCACTGCACTCCAGCCTGGGCGACAGAGCAAGACTCCTTCTCAACAACAACAACGACAAAGATAAAGATAAATATGTGGCTAACTCTAAATTGATACTGATTATAAAAAACAACAATTAAGTTTGAAGGGTTATAAAATACAAGTTGAATTATTATACATTACATCAAAACACAAAAGGTAGAAAGAAAAAAATGTGATTTAAAGCCTTATAGGATGCTTGCATTATTGGGTGCTGGTCAACAAAGTTGTATTTGAATATAAATAAAAACACATTTGATATCTCTAGGATAACTCCCATGGAAGTACTTTAAGAATGTGTAACTAAAAAGCTATTAGAGGGAAAAAAAATGGAATAATAAACATAATTCAAAAGAAAGCAAAAAAATGTAACATAGGAAAAGTAGAACAAATATATCATAGTTGAAACATGTTATACTAATTGTATTAATCAGCACCAAGCCATCTTGCTTCTTTTTGGAACTTACACTGCCAGATAAACTGACGTGGCCCTAAAGAGAACGCTTTGCAGTGTACCAGGAAAGTCTCAGACACGTCCATGCAACACACACCGTGAGCACCTAGTGAGTGCCAGGTATTGTTGTAGGCATTGGCGTTAGAGTGGTGAACAAGGTAGGAGTAACCTGTGCGCATACAGACCTTACATTTTAGTGGGGAAGAAAGGCAATAAAAGTATAATGCGGTGCTAGTGGTGGTAAGTCATGTAAGGAGAAACCAACCAACAGACAGGGATAGAAAATGACAGGGTAATATCAGTGTAAATTTCCTTAGTTCATAAAGTAATTCCATCCTTGGGAAAACTGCCCCTTGCATGAGAAGTGTTTCTTCTCTGAGTACCGTGCAGTAAACAGGGCCATTCTCTGCGGATCTGTTTGATAACGAGCTGTGGTCATGGGGAAGCTACTGACCATGTAAGGATCTCTGCCTGACGGAGACCAACTAGGGGAGGCTCTGCCTCCAGGGAAGTTACTGTCTGGGTGGTCTTTCAGTCAATAAAGGGCAGAGCAAATCAACATTGGCTTCCTCCTCTTTATTTTTATGTGTGTGTGTGTGTGTGTGTGTGTGTATGTATGTATTTCTGGCCAGAAGTTAGAATACTTCATAAGGTGTTGCAGAGGGAATTCCAAAATGATTCCCCAAGATGTCCCCCTCCTAACACAATGAGATATTATGCCAATTGTTATTTATATTCTTAGGTCAGTGCAAAAGTAATTGTGCTTTTTGCCATTACTTTCAATGGCAAAAAAAGAACCCAATAATTTTTGCACCAACCTAATACACAAAAAAGGAGATTTTACAGATTAACTTACAGCTACTAATCAATTCACTTTTTGTTAATCAAAAAGGAAACCACCGAAGATACATGAATGCTGTTTCAAAATGCTGCTTGTGGTGATCTGTCACACACAGAGAGAAAACGAATACAATGATAAAAAACCTAAGTGATAGTGTATAGAATCTTGAATGCTTTCTATTTGCTATCAACTGTACTCCTGGTGTGGATAAGAAACATTTGCTGTCTGGTGCTGAGTTTCAGAATTTGTGGAGTGATGGGGTTAAACTAGCTGCTGTCTAAAATACCTCTCAACTTCCAAATTCTAAGATTCACTGGGTCCTTTATACTTCCCAGGAAACCTTCCATCACTGCCTAAAACGGGCATTCACGACAGCCACCCACATGAATAAAGGTGTCCTCATCACTGAGGATAATGAGATTGTCCAGAGTTGTCACTCTAGTCTGTTTCAGTGGTTCAACTTGGGAGAACCCAATTCTTCTGATTTCTAATGTTCTTATACCTTCATTGTGTCCATCGTTCATGTGAGGATATATGTTAACTTCATTTGTGCTATTTTGAGAGATACTATGAATTTAGAAAACCTGCCTTCTGAAGTGTTCTGTAACTATGCCATTCAAGCTCACCCTTGGCCACATTTATATAAGCACCCTTATAAGCTACTAAATAGGAAATTTATTTTGGTATTTTGTCATCTGATCTACCACTTTTATGATTAAGAAGTTTTAGAAGAAATGTTTCAAATAGGCAAATGAAAGGACAATTATCTTGTTCAGTTTCACTGTTTCTCTATACATTTAACTTTCTCACCCTAGCCATTAACTCTAAGATTTTCGATTTCTAAATTCAAAGTTAGATTGAAAACCCTAAAATATCTGCTGAGAATGAGTAAACCATGTGCTGTTGAGGTGCAGGGTAAGTTTACTTAGGAAGCAATGAGAGTCCTTGAGCAGTCATAACACGGAGAGGGTGACAATGGACACTTGTGATTGGTGTATGAAAATTGCCTTGTTTGACAGGTCATTTTTATTTGTGGATACACTTATTTCTACAAAAGCAGGATCTGTATTATATTAGTATCACTCAATTGTCATTATTTTTAAAAAATACACAGTTGAGCCTATTAGAGTATTTTTTATGAAAGATAAATCAAGAATATAGCACAAATAGCCCATGCTGACACCCATTTGAATATGACTAGCATTAGATAAATAAGGGAATATTGAAGATATAACCAAATATTTAAACAAAGATGCTCAACACCTCACTGGTTAAGAGAGCTACAGTGTATTACTAGGCAATGATTACCGACATTATCAACAGAAATCGTTTAAGTCAATTACAGAATGCTCAGTTAGTAGAATAATATAGTCATTTAAAAAGAGGGTTTCTATGTGTTAATTTAGAAAAACATATATTCAAAAGACTGTGAAAGCAGGTTAAAATTCTGCATACAGTATGACAATTTTTATAAAATAAATGAATAGGAAACTACGTAAGGTATACACCACATTTTTCTATGGTTGTTTTTAAACAAAAGGATTATGAGTAAATTATCTTCTCTTTGCTTAACTACATTTTAAAGTAACACAATTTTTAAGTTATATAAATACTTCATTCATATGTCATTAAAAGAAAGTTTTTAAAAACAGTTCTAAGACTATACCAATTCTGGATCTGTTACTAAATGCCATGCAAGAAGTAAGGGTATGCAATGGTGTGTGTTTGTGTAGTTTGTGTGTGTGTGATGTGTCCGTGTACACATGCATGTGTGCGTGCATGCCTCTGTTTGTGCAGGTTCATGCAGTGCTGTTTGTGCAGTGTGTGCATACCTGTGTGTGTGTGTGGTGTGCATGTGTCTTCACATTGGTGTGTGTGTATGTGCATAGAATGGCATGTGTGTATGGTATGTGAGTGTGTACACGTGCACACATATGCATGCATGCGTACATGTGTTCACCATCATGTCAATGGCCTTGGTTAGCACCATTGCTGAGGTGAGGAATCTGTGTGTGTTTGTGTGTGTGTGTATGTGTGTGCATGCACAGTGGTGCATGTGTGTGGTATGTGTTGTGTGTGCATACATGTGTACACATGTGCATGCAATGGTGCGTGAGTAGTGTGTGCCTGTGTTGTGTGTGTGTATGGGTGTGGGTGCACATGCAGAGATGTGTGTAGCATGTGTGTGTGGTGCACATGCCGTGGTGTATGTTATGTGTGTGTGCAGTGGTGTATATTTGTGTGTGTTTCCACACATGTCAGTGTGTGTGTCCCTTTCTTTTCAATGACCTTGTTTTGCACCATTGCTGGGTGAGCAAGGTGGGACAACCTAGGGGGCAGCAGGAGACCAGGCTGACCTTCCCAGTGACTCAGCCCTCCCTCAGTCAGACACAGGAAGATGTAACCAGAGCCTTCCTGACTCCTCTGCATAGGAAGAGCATCCTTTGCTTTCCTCAGTAAAGCTGGCTTCCTTTCAACCAACACAGCACAGAGCTGTATGAGCAAGCACTGACAACCCTGGCTAATGGGAAGAGATTAAATTGAAAGAGACGATCAGTAATGGAGTTTTTCGTAGAATAAGCTGGAGAATTTCCGGTGATAAGGTGATAAGAACGCTTATAAGGAGGTCATCCAGAGAGTTTCTCCATAGCACTGTTGTACTAAATACAGTGGCCACTTGGCCACTGCTCATGCCATGAGGGACTGGAAGCTGTAGACTTTGGAAAAAGGATGCAGGGCCAAGATTTACAGAGATGCATAACCAGACAGAAAGGAGGCTGTGATCCAGAATCATGGGTACCTGGTCCACATCTTGACAGTGCCCCTAAATGGGGATTTTGATCTTGGGCATGTCACAGCCTCGGAAGCAATGGGTTATGATAACACCTCGAGTTTTTCTCAAAGGATCCAACACGTATCCTTTATCTGATGACACTTTGGCACTTTCAGAATATGTGGTGCATTTTAACACAATGAGGCAATTTAGATTTCTGCTTTCCTAAATCTTTACATCATAATTTATGATTATTTCGCTTCTTTGCCTTTCCTTGAAAAAAAATCAAATTAACTTATTCTTGAACTTCCATCCTGTCTGTTCCTTGCAACTTCAACTTGCTTTTACTTGAGAATGGTAACTAAGTGTCCATAGAACAAGTGTACGTGTCCATATATCTTTTCTTCTCTGTTGCTTTGCTAGAACAGCTAAAATTTACCTTGCCTGGGGATCTTGTGATATATGTATCACTATATCTTGCTTTCCATTCATTTATTTTACAAATATTTATTTGGTGCTCATTATATGGCACATATTATCCTAGGTATGGGACAAATAGAGCTGGTTTCTACTCTCATAAATGGAGGAGACAGATATTAAATAATGCATGCCTAGTTGTTGGATTTTAATTGAGATAAGCTCTCTGTAGAAAAAGTGCATTGTGCTAGGTGTGTCTGTTTGAGGCTGAATTGTGTCCTCTCCAAAATTCATATGTTAAAACCTTAACCCCCAGTACCTCAGAATGTCACTCTATTTGAAGACGGAGTCTTTAAAGAGGGGATTAAGGTCATAAAGGTCCCTAATTGGATAGAATTTGTGACCTCACAAGAAAAGGAAATCAGGATGCAGACGTGATGTTAGTGTAGCCTTGTCAGATAGTTTGAAGTCAGGTAACGTGATGCCTCCAGCTTTGTTCTTGTTGCTTAGGATGGCTTCGGATCTTTGGGTTCCTTTTTGGTTCCATGTGAATTTTAGAAAAGTCATTTCTAATTCTATGAAAAATGACACTGGTAGTTTGATGGAAACATTGCTGAATCTGTAAATTGCTTTGGGTAATATGGCCATGTTAACAATATTGATTCTTACTATCCATGAGCATGGAATGTTTTTCCATTTGTTTGTGTCACCTCTGATTTCTTTCGGCAGTGTTTTGTAATTCTTCCTATAGAGATCTTTTACCTCCCTGGTTAGCTGTATTTCTAGGCATCACTTGATAAACTTTACCACATGCAAGTGGGACTTACTCAAAATCTATTTTCAGGTACAGAGAAATGTGACTGAAGTGACACACACAATCCCATTCCCAGAAGGCACAGCTGCATTATCCCTTATCACACTCTTCCTAGTTGTCTATCATAAACAGATACATTAATAAATATTTATAGCTGTTTCTTAAATGCAATCTGTAAGCCACCTTCATAAGAATTGCCCAGATGTGGCCAGGAGCGGTGACTCATGCCTGTAATCCCAGCACTTTGGGAGGCCGAGGCAGGTGAGTTATTTGAGGTCAGGAGTTCGAGACCAGCCTGACCAACATGGTGAAACCCCGTCTCTACTAAAAATACAAAATTAGCCAGGTGTGGTGGTGCATACGTGTAATCCCAGCTACTTGGGAGGCTGAGACAGGAGAATCACTTGAACCCGGGAGGCAGAGGTTGCAGTGAGCCAAGATCGTGCCATTGCACTCCAGCCTGGGCAACAAGAGCGAAACTCCATCTCAAAAAGAAAAAAAAAGAATTGCCCAGATGCTTAAAAGCCAGTTCTTGTGTCTGAACAAATCTGTTGATGTCTTTGTTGAGATTGAGTCCTGGGGACCTACATTTTAAAATGCTTTCAGCCCATGATTATCTTGATGTGTGTTAAGACTCATAGTTCGATGGTTACAGTCCTTCTCTCTACCATCTATAGCTCCCCTCTCTCTCTCTGTCTCTCTCTGTCTCTGTCTCTCTCTCTTAGGCACTGTCCCTATTGTCTTACATGTATTAACTAATTTATAGGTGTTAGCTAAGAGGATTGGGTAAATCTTACAGCATCTCTTATTGAACCACAGTCTCAGCATGTGCCAATTACTTACAGCTAAATCTATTTTATCTTTTTATAACTCCATAAAGTAAAATAGAAAAGACACATTATCACAAAAACTTAATAGGTGAACAAAGTAAGAAAAAAAAATTCAGTAAGTGTAAGTGAAGTTACGCAAGTTTCCATCAGCTCTGGAACTCACATTTCCCAAACTCACTGCAATGGTTTTTGTGAGAGCATCAGACTCTTACTCAATGAATGTGTACATTGAGCAGCTAATAGCAAATCATCCATCATCACGTACACACAATAGAAATTCTGCTCTATCATTTTTCTTCACAGTGACACATAAAAAGATTGTTTGGCTAACTGAAGCCCTGGTTACTGAAGGTTCCCTCCTGTGAGCAAACCTTATGAGGCTTACCCTGGAGATGACTAAGTCTGGCTCTATGATTCTACAAGACACATACTAATTTTCTTTCTTAGATTTTTATTATTTTCTCTGCACTTTTAATGGCAGGTAGAGTTTTAAGCCATCTTTTCTAATATGCATGGTTTACCTGTACTTAAAGATTTCTTCTGTAAAGAACCTTGCAGCTGGTCTGTGGTATTTTATGAAAAAAAAAAAAGAGAGAGAAATAAAACATCTCTCAAAATGCATCCTGAAAAGAAATAAGAAACACAATATTAGAATCCACAGTTAGGATCCACAGCACTACTTTCAATCAGTTACACTCTACTGGCCCCCCAGGAAGTATTAATAAAATAATCTGTTACGTATCAATTGAAAGGGACTGAAAGAAGCACAGAATTGACCTCAATGAAAGAAAGCTAAACCAAGTGAAAATTAAAAGAAGGCAACTACACAAATCTAAGTGTTTGTAGGTCAAATGCATTTCTGCAAAATTTACAAAGAGAATATTACAGACTGTTGGCTGCCATGACTTGCCTAAATGTCAGTGACCTGAGGCCAATCACCCTCAGAGTAAGGACATGGAAGTGTTACAGGATCCTTCGAGTGTCACTTCACCAGCCAGAAATCTCTGTGACCAGTGACACCTTAGCCCAAGTTTTGTTCAGGCCCACTGGGCCCACTCAGCCTGGTAGGCTGCGCTCAGCTCACACTACCAACCTGGATCTCATGCCTACCAAGGGTGAGTGGAGAGGCGAGAGTGTGTGAGCAAGCATGCTTGAAGTCTGGCCACTGTGCACAGGCAGGCACACTGGCTGTGGTGTGGTAAGCAGCTCCAAGAGCTGGCACCAGCGCCGGCTCACTGCGAGGCTGTGGCTAGACCAGGTGCACTGCAAGCAGCTTCCACGGCTGGCACTGGGGAACACGGTGGCACCCAGAAGCTTAGAGATGCCAGGAACTGCAGAAACCCAAAGAGGATTGGGGAGCTCCTAGGTCTGGGATCCCTGAGGGACCATAGCTCTTCTCTCCTTCTTGTCACCCGCAACATGGTGAGCAAAGAGGGTGTTTCAGCCTGTTTATGTTGCAGTTCTTTCAGCCTCGCCATTTGGCAGGTCCCAAGTTCTTGTCCTGCGTGTCCAGGAAGAATGGGGTATGTGGATAAGTGGAGGGACAGCAAGGTAAAGAGAAGCTTTATTGAGCAACAGAACAACTCAAAGGAGACCCTGGAGATGGTGGCTTCTCTCCATAGCCATGGCAACCCAACAGGTGCTCAGCTCTCAGCAGAGGGGAGGCCCTGGAGTTGGTAGCTCAACTCCGCAGGCAGGTCATCCCTTCCTCTTCTCAGCTCTCAGAAGAGGGGAGACCCTGCGGTGGGTGGCTCCTCTCCACAGCGGGTCATCCTGTCATCTCTCTTTTTGAGTCTGGCTTAATGGGGGTAGGGGAGGACGGGGGGCTCTTATGGGCTTCAGAGGAGAGGAAGTGTGTGCTGATTTGTCCATGGATGACCATGAGTGGGCCCAGAAAAAGCACCATAAGTTTCCACTCTGGTCCACAGGGCAGGCAGCCAAGGCCCCAGGCTTCAGGCCTTCCCTGACTTGAAGGTGGGGATTCACCAGAGACCTGCCCCTTTCCACACAAGGGCCTGTCTCCTTCCATCACTCACTGTTCACCCAGGCTGGGCATCCAGGGTGTTCCTGCACAAGGGCACCTGCAGGCCAGCATCAAGCTACACTTAGCACCCCCTCGGCCTCATTCCTGTGCTCCTTGGCACCCAAAGTCTGGAAGGGGCAGCATGGGGCTGGGGTGTCAGCACTGCTGAAAGCCTGCACACAGCTGTCTGGGTTGTGACAGTGCCTGAGCTCGACCTCAACTCCCCTCCAAGATCAGAACAGGGTCTAGGAACAGGGAGAGGCCAGGCAGCAGGAGCAGGCACTTCAGAGCCTGCGGTGATGGGGTGGCCTTCCTGGGCCCCCGAGAGTGCAGAGATGCCCAGGTCCCCAGCCAAGGCTTCTGCAGCTGTAGCTGTGCCAGAGAGCGCTTTCCTGCCTGCTCCTGGCCCCCAAGAGCACAGGGAGGTCCAGGTCCACACCTGTGGCTTGGCAGCTGCAGCTGCACCCAGGAAGCATGAGGCTCCCACGCTCACAACTCAGAAGGGGGCGGGGCTTACACCTATTTCCTGTTCCCTCCAGCTCAGTGGAGCACTCAGCCCCAGCTGTGCCTCCCCCATTGCAGCTGACATCATGGTCGCAGCAGCTCCAGGTGGGTTGCCACTGCTATCAGAAGGCTCAATCCATTTTTTTCTCACCAAGTGTGCCCTCAGTCAGAGTTCTATTATTAATAGTAGTGGCTAAGACAGCCTCAGAATCCTGGATTACTTTTAAGCAATACAATGTTTTCCATTAAAAAAAAAAAAAGCCAGTAAGGTACAGGGAACTCTACAAATAGATATTATATACAATAGTCAAAAAAGTAATTTCTGCCTTTATTCAAAATTTTTATAGTTCATTTCAGCTAAATCAAGGGCTAACGAAATTTACTGCTTTTATTTTCTTCTAGTTTGTTTCTTTCCACATTCTTAGAAAGCAAACTTAGTTCTCTAAACTCTGTATAAACGGCTTCATTGATTTCAGGTAGAAAGATAGATAATATCTTGAAATTATCTTTATTCTAAAGGCACATGTCTGTATTTAAGACATAATATGTGAATTAGTTCTGTAATTATTTTCCATAAATGTTTAAATAAAGCACTATATACAAATTGCATATGAATGCATTTCTAAATCAATGAAACTCTGCTTGCTAATAATGAGTATTCGTTGTTTTGTTATTGTTGAGTTTTAGCTGTTCTTTGCATATTCTTGAGGGACTAAATGGCTAAGTTGGCTGGACTTCCTGGGTCAATAAGGACTTCCCTAAGGGGACTTTCCCCTAAGCCAAAATGAGTCATAGCTGCAAGCTAAGGGATTGAAACTTCAACCAATCATAGGAAGTTTAAGCTCTAGCTGCAGCCTGATGTTTTCAACCAATCAGGCCCGCCAACCCACAAGTGGCTAGAAAATAAGCTAATTCTATAGGACAGAAAAAGGAAAAGGGGAGGGGTCATAAGGGGATATAAGCGTAACACACCCAAGCCAGAAACAGCAAGCCTTACGGGTCCCCTTCCACTACGTGGAAGCTTTACTTTCGCTTTCGTTTTACTTTGGCTTTCGCTTTAATAAATCTTGTCGCCGCACACTCTTTGGGTCCACACGTTTCTCTAATCAAGCTGTAACACTCGGCGCTGCGGTCCATGGCTTCATTCCTTTAAGCCCGAGAGACCACGAACCTTTCGATAGAGAAAAGAACTTCGATCCGGAGAAGACTTCTTGTCTCATTCTGCATGCACATCATTTATCCAGTGTGTGCTTTGCAAATATTTCTTCCCAGTTTTTCAAAATTCTTTTCTCATTGTTTTTCAGAGAACAAAATATTTGAATTTTGATAAAGTACAATTTTTTTATAGATTTATTTTGTTGTATTTTTTAAAAACTCTGCCAGTCCAAGTTCATACACAATTTCCCCTGTTCTCTTTTAAATGTTTTATAGTTTTACGTTTTCCACTGAGGTCTATGATCAAATTTAGTTAACTTTGTACAAGATGTGAGTTGTGGGTTAAGGTTGCTGTATTTATTTATTTGTTTGTTTGCATATAGACATCTAATTGATGTAGAACCATGTGGTGAAAAGATTACTTTGATTCCATTTTCTTTTTTCACCTTTTGCAAAACTCAGTTAATTATATTTGTATGAATCTATTTCTGGTGTGATGCCCAAGTAGAAAAAAGTAGTTTTAATTTTTCTGCTTATATCCCCTAATTGTCAACTCAATGGTCTCATATTTTCCTTTGATTCATCAAGCATATGTTCTTTGAATTTGTGAATGTATTTTCAATAGAAGTGTCTGCTAAATCCTGCTTCTGAAGACAATTATATGCAGCTTCCACTGATTTATATTTTTATTATGTCACACTTTCCCTTTTCTTTGCACGTCAGTAATTTTTCTTTGAAAACTGAACATGGAAAATAATACATTGTGTTAGGTTTAAATTCTATTGTGTTTTTCTGAGAGTTATTAGCTTTCTCTTCTAATTTTTAACTTTCCTAAACTAAAAATGTAAATTTTGTCACTCCAAAATAAGCAGCTGCTGAGACCTGGGCTTTGCTCTGGTAACTTCCCCTGTAGTGTTGCTGTAGATTGTGAGCTCTCCCTCCTGTGAAACTTCCCTGTGCCTGTGAAATTGGTTCTTCACCCAAGAATTGAAATAGAGATGAGGCTCATCCTCTTTTAGGTTCTCTTACTTCTGAAAATTTTCCCCTAATTTCCAACTTTGATCTCTGTAGTCCAACACTTCATGTTCTCTTTTACCTAAATTGTACACGGACTCTGTTAAGAAATTCATCGAATCACAGTTCTGGATCCGAGTAACTCCATCTTTCCACAGTAGATTCCTCTCTACTCTGCTTATTTGGTCCTGGACATTTCTCCGAGAACAAGCAGTTTAGCTGTCATTCAGATATTTGAAGAATTTATGCATTAAATTTGGGTCCCACGTCTATGTTTCTTGTACTACTGGGATTTTTTCTTTAAATATTTCCATTTCCAGGTGATTTCCCATTCTTGAATCACGATCTCTGAATTTTTTTCCTGGTAAGCTTGCAGAGTGCCCCCACCCACCCCTGCCATAGCTCAGTGGGGTGGGCAATGCCATCAGGCCTGAAGCCACCTGTTCGTAATTCTTACCATTCATCAAGTTTTTTGAGAATATGCCATCGTCTTTCTTTGGTCAGCTTTAGGAAGTTTACAAGTTATCATTTTTATAATTTCTATTTGCAGATGGTCTACAAGACAGATTCACTTGTCCACCATTACAAGAAGCCAATAATTCATTTTTATATTTAGGCTTCACCAGTTTGATTATGACATACCTAAAGAGTGTGTGTGTGTGTGTGTGTGTGTGTGTGTGGTGTTAATGCTCTCTCAAATGTGCGGAGCTTCCCATGTCAGTGGCTCACTAATTTTTCAATCAATTTGGAAAACTGCAGGCAAGATTCCTCAAATATTTTTCACCCCATTTTCTCTCTCCTTCATTACTGGGACTCCAACATCAGAGTACTCAATATTAACTTGCAGGCTGCTGCTGATGCTCAGTTTTATTTTATTTTGTATTATTGATTTATTTTCAATTTGTTCTCACTTTCCTTTATTTAGAATAATGTCTAGTGATCTTTCCTCAAAGTAACTGATCCTTCCTCCTGTGGATCGCATGTGTTATTAATCGCATCCATTGAGTTTTTTGTTGTTGTTCTTGTTTTTCAGAGGTGTGTCTTTCAGTTGTAGGATGGCAGTTTCTATTAGGCAGCTTCCAAATCTCTCCTGATGTCTCTGATTTCTCCACTCATTTTTTCGATTTCTTGTAACATCTGGCTTGTTTAGGGGTCTGATTCACCAGTTTATTGACTTTTCACTATGGACCACATTATCTTTCTTTTTTCATATTTCTGATCATTTTTGATAGTATTTGAGATACTGCATTTAAAAGTAGGGTAGAATTGACAGTAAATAAGCATTGAAATAACTAGAACTGTTCTTATTTTCTGTCATCTTTCTTTTTCATTCAGTTGGCATTTACGTAAACCCCATGGTGTACAATTTACATTACGACACTCTAGGAGTTGAGTTTCCATTCAGAAATTAGAAGTCCTCAGGGCAAGTGAGTGGGAGAGTTCTAAATGTCTTAGGAGAGACTTCAAAAGACTTCAGAGGAGACTTGATGGCAATTGCTTTTGTGCATGAAAATTCATTTTGCAATACCAGTACCACTCTAGTTTTAAAATATCCTATTTCACATACCAGGCTGTCTCTAAGCAGGAAATACCTTCAGATAAAAATATGTGTTCAAGAATATGGCTCCAAAAATGCAAGAAAGACATGTCTAGTAATAATAATACCTCTAGTCAGAATTCTGGGTGGCAGACAGAGACTCTCAGAGGAAGGGTGATTGGTATCAACAATATTCTTGTTAAAAGTTACGCATGTCCCCAGAATACCCTCAGTGTGTATAAAAAGGTAAAATTTGATTTTATATAAAGAAATAATCAAAATATTTCAAATGAATATTTTTTTTCTGTAGTATTAGGAGTAAGCCTGTGGCTTGTTATGGCCAGGGACCAGAAAAAGAAGTCCAAAGTCTGACCAGACATTTGACTCTTTCAGTTTTCCAGGTATCAAGGGATCTGTAATTTAGAGAAGAGTATTGAAGTGGGAATAAAGTACCATTTTACTATGAGTCCACAAAAATACTTCTCTAGTATATTTGGACTGGGTCATGCAAAGGCTAGTCCTTATACTCCAAAATCATGTTAGATTTGCTGATACTGTTCAGCCTCAAGGGAAAAGAAAACCAAAGAGAAGAAAAATGAAAAGATGACACTTTGTACAAGTCAGTTCCATAATTTAACCAGCTGCTTCTAAAGTAATATTGCTTTCATTCATCTTATTTTTCTCTTTTATACATTTAGTCAATTTCACCTAGTATTACTATTCTAAACTTTAGAGTACATTGTCCTGTTAATCCATTTACTCAATAATTTTACAGTCAAAACCAAACCAAGTATTTATTTAGCATCTCAGGCATGAATTATGCTTTAATGATTTTTGTTTTTATCTACAAGTGTTATGAGAGAGCTCAAAATGTCTTAAAATCATAAGGTTCTATGAGTTTTGATGAGTGCAATGCTACTAACCACAGGAAATACTTCATACAAATGTGTGATGCGTATAGATATGAAACTGCTTTTTCCAAAATGTTCTTTACTGAGACTTTCTCATGGCGTTTGGCTAATCAAATAATAATTATCAAATAATTATTAACATATATACTAATATGAAATCAGGTTGACATGTAAAATGTATTTTTATGCATGTTTTAATTTCAAAGAGGGTTAGAGAAAACATTCTTTAATAAGAAGCTAAAGGTAGTAGTCCAGGATTTTCATTATCTTACACAAGGAAACTGTTTTACCAATGATTCAGTCAAACTTAACAAATGTTAAATGGGAAAAGCAATGATTCCATACTTGTTCTCAAAAGGTAAAGCAAAGATGAGTTTTACAAATAACCAAAAAAGCATTCTATTTGAATATGTTAAGTTTAAAAGATACACAGCCAATGATGATAATGTCTGAAGAATTTTATCGACTATCCGAGTTTAAGTAAATGCTTTGCATCTTGTTATCTCAAGAAAACAGAAGTGAACCTTTCTGAAATTAACTTGCCTTTACGTGAATTGAATGGTATGTTTATTCAAGAATGAAGAAGACTCGTCTGTTTTTTTTCCCCTCAGTATTAGTGGAGTCTCCTTGCTTGGCACCACATTCATGCCAATCAAAGACGTCTTTAGTTCAAGTTCAGGGTGAAACAGGAATTGCAGTTGCGTACTTTGTACTTACAAATTATCAGTGTGGTGCCAGCTCTTGAAAGAAACAGACTTAGTTTTTGGCATATTACAGACAGGACAATTGTTCAAAGAAAAATTTTAAGGCAAAACATTTAGGGTAACGTTATACGAACAAGAAATAAGACTTCCTGGAACTTTGGCTCTTTCTTTTTTTTTTCCTTCATTTTCTTAGCTCTGATTCTGCCTTGCAAGTTTTTGCTTATCGGGATTCTGTACGATCTCATTATTTCCTCTTGGCACTTTCTTTAGGCAAGGCAACAGCTGCACAATATTGATAAACTCTAAGGAGGCTAGAATGCACAACAACTGCTATGGCTTCAATCTAAATGGAACATACACAGAAACAGAGTTGGCATCCTTACTTTGTGAAACCTTCATCTCTCTCCTACATTGAAAATGCATTGTCTAAAAGCTGTGCACAGTAATTTTCTCACAGAATCTTTATTCCAACCTTATATTTTCACATTTAGTACAGTGTGTTACAATTGAACGTGAGAATAGAAGATCTCAAAAATGATGAATAATTAAATTGTCAAGATGGGTGTATAAAAATATTTCTCAATAATATCACATCTTTAAAGCGGATCCAGCTTCTTTCAATCCAAACCCAAGCCATGTATTGATGACTTATTAAGCAAGTCAGATCAGGAACGAGATACAATGACCAAGCGTAAAATTACAAGTGAGCTCACAAAAGAAAAGGAAATTATGTATAGATTCCAAAAGAAAAAGTAAAGCACTAAATAATAATAATAAAAGCAAACACCAAATAAAAAGGAAACTGGAAATATTTTCCATTAGCATTTAGAGAAAAAAATATTTAAAAAGGTAAATAGCTCTTTAAAAATGCCAATAGAAAAACAGACAAATGATACATATAGTAAATATCCAAAAATGTTACAGTCAATAAGTATAAAAAACACTTAATCCACCATTAATCAAAGCTATGCAAAACAAAATCCTATTCATAGTACTGAAGGTGCACAAAGGTAGGTGTCATCAAGCCCTGATGCAGAGACTTTTAAAATGATTTTCTTAAGCATTTTGGAAGGAAAGTTGCTGATATACATCAAGAGGTTATCATTTTAACTGTTCACGGCTTTTTATCCAATAATTTTACTTATAGGAATCCAGGCTAAGCAAATTTGTTCAGAGAAGTAAATGATCAGATAGAATGCTCATGGAGCATTGATATATAGTTGTAAAAGATTTCACACAACTTCAATGTCTGATACTAGTGGTGTCAGAAATTAATATGTGTATATGTACATATATATATAATATGTATATAGATAGTATACATTTGCAGGAGATGGAATGCAGAGCGGGAGTTATAACTTTAGCAGAAGCAAGCAATGAAAGAAAGAGGGAAAGCTCCCCGAGTTTCCTGGGGGATGAAAAAGTGTTCTGTTCCTCTTACCATGTGGGTGATTCTATCGAAAAAACGAGGCCCCAGAGGATTGAGGCCCTTGGGGGACATCTCAGCTCTGCACCTTTGGGTTGAGTAGGATCCAAAAAGATCCCCAGGGCTCATGATGATGCCTGGTGAATGAAAGAGCTCTCATGTCTCCACACAGATACTGAATCAAGTGATGATCAATTCCTCAAGGATGCTCAAAGATTCTACCCTTGGCAGGGTTATGGAAATGGGAAATGAAAAGCAAATATAACCTCCGAGAAAGGGTCACTCTCAAACATAAAGATGAATTTTGAAATTATTTTGTTTGTTTTACTGGAGTGTGCTTTGCTAAAACATCAGCAGAAAAGTCAGCCCAACCCCTAGGCACTCACTATGCTAGGTGCTAAAGAGACCAAAGTAGAATGACTACCACCTTGACTTTACAAATGACTTTACAAATGTAAGGTAACCATGTGGACAAATACCTATAATAAAATATGATCAGGATCAGGAGAGAGGAATTCATAGAAAATTTTGAGGGTCAGAAAAGGGACAACTGATCAAGACCCACAAGGTCAAGAAGACTTCCTGGAGGAAATTATACATAAGTTGATGATTTTCAGATACTTAGGAGGTAGCCAAAAGAGAAGCAAAACGGGAGAAAGGGGCTCAAAGCAAAGGAACCCCTATGGGGAAAGGTATGAATGCCCGTGGTGTGGGCTCCTGTGTGTAGATGGGAGGATTGGGTTTAGGGACCGTGTTTCGTCTGATACCACGTAAGGTGAGCAACAATACCAGAGGCTGCGAAGTTTCACTGAAAATATCTGGAAGCCGCTCCTGGACTTGCCCTGCAGGAGAGCCCAGTGCGCACCCTCAGTGCCTTGAACATCTGGGAGGTGGCCCAAGTCTAGGTCAGCAGAGCTACCAAACCAGCAGCACTTGGATGGCATTTCATCCCGTTGGGGGAAGAAAGAAGTGTTGGGAAGGGCCACGCATTTCAAGAAGAACCACATTTACGGGAGTAGCATTGAAGTCTCCACGGCTGGACACAGAGAATTTTTTTTTTATTTGTTCATCATATACTTAATAGCACTGTCAGGTTTCCTTGTTGATTTTTTTTAAATACAGGTTTCTGATTATTTTGGTCTAAATAATCCGGGCCTACAGCCTTCTCTGGTGGAATGGCTTTTGGTTTCTTATTTGTGTCTTCTTAAGTAAGAAAAACTAAAGAATGCCTCTATAAAGAAACCCTGTATGGTCTGCTGTGGTAGTTAAGAGTGTGGACTCTGGAGCCAGACTGCCTGGACTTGAATGCTGTTTTGCCATTAAAGAACTGTGTGGACTTGGGAACGTCATCCAGCCCTCCCTGCCACGGTTTCCTCGGCTACAAAGTGAGGATAATAAAAGCGCTTACTTTGAAGGTTGTAGTGGGGATCAATTGTGTCAATATATATAAATGTGAAGCACATGGAACAAACATTGGCACATAACGCATACCTAATAACTATCAGCCATATCGTTATTTTAATATTTTATGAGGTTTAAAGAGTGACGTTTTCCAAAGAAAAGGCTTATTTTCCTGCTCTTGTAAAACATATTGCTTCTCGGAATTCCTTCCTTATGGTGGGAGATTTATTCACACACACACACACACACACAATTTGTATATTGTAAAATTCCATGTGCTTTTCACAATGATCAATTTCACAAATGTCTACCTTGTATTTTACTTTAATAATTGTGCCTTCAGTTCTGTGTTTGTTCATTTTCTGTGTATTTTTGACTTCTCTCTCCCAGTAAAATGTAAGCCCAATAAAGGCACAGGCTTTATATGTTTTGCTTGTTGCATGTGGGTCTGGGCCTGGCATGTGCTAGGTACCCAGTAAGTTTCTGTTGAATTAACTAATAAGTTCAGAATCGAGTCATGTGTAATAAACAAAGGGATTCTTTTCTTGGACATTACAGCATTATCATTATTGGTCCAAGGAGATGCCATTTTCAAGGTTCTTAAGGGCAATGCCTATATATGTTTAAAAAAAAGTGTCAGAAAGTGAGAGAAAACTATAATTGGTAAAGTTATGCTTCATTAAAATTTATTATTTGTGCTTAATAGACACTTGGACTCTCATCAGATCTAAAGTGTACTGCCTGAGAAGGAGGAAAACATTTATCTTTGTTTTTGAATATCAAACCTTCCACAGCAAAACCTGCTCAACAGAATTACAACATAGGAGAAGATGCCAACCTAATTTCTGCCTGCTGGTGACACAATCTTAGAGCATTAACCTGAGACAGGTGGCTATGTTCAACCCAGCTCATTACGGTGTACTAGATACCAAGGGTCTAGTGGGACAATTAGGCACCAAATGTGTGATATTTTTGCCATACAAATCTTATTTACAAGCTTACCGAATAAATTTCTTCAAGGCTTTACGTGACTGAAGCTCCTATTTGGTAAACTAAGCAAGTGGGAGATAATTCGTAATGTGAAAATTTGCTGTTTTAAGCAGCTACATAAATCTTTTTCAGTTACTTTCCCAGCTTAAAAAACTCAAGCCACCTTTAAAAGAGTGAGAGTCAATTAGATTTGCACATAACTATGAGTTGCCTTCTTGTGAAAATGGGGCTATTGAATTAGGGAAAACATAAACAAGATGCCACTGTGGTCAAACTCCTTTGTAAACTTACATTTTCACAGGAAACCCAAGAGGGAGACTCTGTGTTGTTATATGAACCATAATCTAAAAATCTTAAGGGTGCTTGATTTTCTGATCAGTAGAAAAAGTGGAAAAAAACCTTACCACATAGCCTGGAGACCATCAACCCTAACGTCAGACTCAGCCCGAACACCCAGATCCCACACTCTTAGCTCTCCAAATTGGACAAACTACTTAAACTTCACTCACCTACTTATATCAAAAAGGGCTGATCATACCTCATAAGAATACTGGGAGTTTGGGGTGACATTTCACACATGGTAATTTCTCCCATTTAAAAATATTTAAAACTTGCGTTTAAAAGAGTAATGAAATAGCCTGGGTGAGATGGCTCATGCATGTAATCCCAGAACTTTGGTGGGCCAAGACAAATGGATCACCTGAGGTCAGGCGTTCAAGACCAGCCTGGCCAATGGGGTGAAACCCCGTCTCTACTGAAAAGACAAAAATTAGTCGAAAGTGGTAGCACGTGCCTGTAGTTCCAGCTACTCGGGAGGCTGAGGCAGGAGAATCGCTTGAACCTGGAAGGTGGAGGTTGCAGTGAGCCAAGATCTCCCCACTGCACTCCACCCTGAGCAACAGAGTAAGACTCTGTCTAAAAAAAAAAAGAAAAGAGTAATGAAATAAGCTTTGGCCTTTCTTTTTTACTAAAAATAGAAACACATATCTTCCTTGTGAAAATAGATGTACAACTCATTTTACCCTCACAGGAAATCACCCCTCTCGTGAGACCATTTGAGTTGAAGAGAACTTCTGAGGAATAGATTTGTGCTAATGGACATTTGTGGATATTAGCTCAGCTCATAAGGACATCAGTGCTGATCAAAACTGTAATGATAACCCCTTTATAAAAAAACAAAGTGAATTCCTTAGTTGTGTAAATTCAAATTTGAAAAGGTTAGTCTTCAATTAAGTCCCTTCATTGGCTTGGTTGCCGGGATATATTCAATTGCCTAGCTAAGCATTATGAGAGTCCCAGGAATGAATACCCTAAGTTCCACCTATTTAGAACCATCTGAAGTTCTTCAAATATGCCAGATGATTATGGAGTATTTTGTACCTGCTCCAGAAATGCTTTTGTTACCTCTTCTCACCAACCTGATGTTTATGGTTGCCTAGTCAACACCCATCTCTGCTTCTCCTACCCCAGAGATTGGTAACTGCAAAGACTTCCATCAAAGAACATGTATGACTTTATTAAAATGTTGGGTGGATAGATCTCTTTCCCAACCCCTAAAAGGAGGTATTATTTTTAATTTCTGGATTATATTTCTTGTTTGTATGTATGATATGCTCTCACTTAATGATTGTCAAATAAAGGGTTGAATGAATGGATGGATAAATAAGTGAATGGGTGAATAGATAGATGAACCAATGAAAATACATTTTTTTTGTAGCATGTATGAAATGTAAATCAGGTTGGGGAGTGAATGGGGAAAAAAACAACATGATCTTTTTAGATTCCATAGTAATAAACTTGTCCAAATTTATTTTCCTACTAAATCCTTCATGATGCATGATTTTAGGGCCAAATGTTGTGCAATTTTCATACTTAAAGGATAAACGTATCCCAAAGGAAAGAGAAGAAAATATATACTTTACTCATCCTGACTGCAAGGTATACACGTCACACAATAATATATTTTTATCAGACAACACTATAAGATTTTATTAAAATCTACCAGATAAAGCTTACTCTAACTATGATCAAATCAGTTAATGCAGGAAGAAAAATAAATCAGTGCACCTTTAAAATCACTGTAGCTTCTAGGAAAGAGATGATCAATACAGTGAAATAAGAACAGCCTTAATGTACGTCAAACCCACGTTCTCATTCCAACAGAAAACTCTCTAGCCATGTTTAAAACTATAACAGTGATCATGTATTTAGCACTCACCGTATACCAGACTGTGTTGTAAGTGATTGCTACAACATTCTCTGTAATCTTACAGACAGCCTTTTGATAACGGCATTGTTATACCTATGCTCAGAGGAAAAGCAACTCGTCTCACACAGCACACTTGCTGAGCAATGAGGGAAGTGTGGTTTGAAATAGGAACCCCCTGAAAGCAGTGACTATGCTTTTAGTCTCAAAGCTGGGCTACTCCATGACTCTAGCAAAGTGACCTGACACCCGGCGCCATTTTTTCCTTATCTCTAAGGGAACTAAGAATCAGAAAATCCCTCCTAGACAGTCATTGTTTTCTGTTGTTTCTCTCCCGGAATGAAGACTGACCAAATTCACTCTCATAAAAATACCGTAACTAAAGATAGATATGCATTTTTGTCATATATGAAAACACTTTCAGAAGTGGTTGCATGCTCAGACAGTATGATCATTTGTTTACACAAGGATTGACATGGCTTTCACCTTGCTGTCAGGAAGATAAAAATCTTTATCTCACCCCTGCAATTACAATTTGATTCAGCCTGTTTCCTATTTGCTCAGAACCATGGCCTGGACCACATAAGACGTGTTAATGTGACAATCTATTCAGGAGCAATGGCTCGTCAGAATGCTGTGGTTGGCATCAACCATGGGGATCACAGTTTTTGAAAACAGTGGCAATGATTTGGCTCTCATTACAAGTATATCTATCATTTTATTCAATTAAAATATAAAACTCATTAATCACCATGTCTGAATTATGGTAACAGCTGTGAAAATTATTTCTCTGCCTCTGTTTCTATTTGAGTCTTTCTAATTCATTCACAATACTGTGGAAAAAATAATATTTTAAATGAAATATGACCATTTCATGCCTCTTTAAAATTTGTGGAGACATCTTACTGACTTCAGATGAGTCTAAACTTCTCAGCATGACCTAAGGGTCCATCAAGACCTGCTTTTTAACCTGTTCTTTTACTGTTCTTACTGTACCCTAATGTCCAAGAATCTTGAAAGAGGTTCCTCGGCTTTGACCATGCTGTTCTGTCTCCCAAGAGTGCTTGCGCCGTACTCTCTGTGTGTGGCCAACTCCTACTCACCCTTCGGAACTCAGCTCATAGGTTGCCACTTCCAGAAAGGCTCTTGTGCTCTGCTCATATCAGTCCGAGTTTTGTAGCTATCTCAGACTTTGCTGTAATTCAATATTACAAACAAGAATTGTGAGCTGGACAGAGATCTCTGACAGGGATATAAATATGAATAAGATAAAGAGTCTGGGATTTAGGAAATAAGTCATCCAGTAGCGCAGAACATAATTTTAATATGCCAGTGAGGGACATGAGAGACTGAAGTAACACAGCTTGATATGCCTTTCCCAAAATACTATTAAATGGCTCTATAGGGACATCAAGAAAATGTCAAAGTACAATTTATGATTAAATAAAGAAAAAAAGTCAATTAATTCAAAGTATTGAGCAGAGCAGATGAAGTAAAATGCAATATGTGTGGAAGAAAGTTCAATGCGTTAATTTGTTCTTAACTTTGGTTATTAGAATTTTGTCAATGTGTTCTTAAATTTTATTATTAGAGTAATATGGCTTTTGGATATACCATAGGAATTAGAGAAAACTACTTTAAAATCTAAACTAAAAAAAAAATAGTTGAAAAAAGCTAAAGGGGTAAGCTTCATCTGGTATTCAAAAAAGTCAGAAAAGTGCAAAGTTAAATAAGACTAGCACAACCATAAGACTGGATTTATAGAGAATACACACCAAAAACAACCCCAAAATAGGCCTTGATATGTAAGAACTTAATATAATAAAAATAGACTGTAAGATCAAATGTTTCAAGTAATTTAATGTTGGTTAGCATTTTGGAAAATATATATTTACATATTTATTTCATAGTAGAGACAAAATACATTTTACAAAAATTTAAGTATTAGAGAAAAAAATTCTCATGTCTAGTGTCTGGTAGATTAAATGTGCAGAAAACTAAAACATTGGTTACAGGGAAAAGCACCATTTAAAAAAAATGGTGGAATGTGTTAAAACGAGAAAAACTGTTGGAAACCACAGAGCAAGAAGGCTAACTCCACAACCAGAATTTCTCCTGAGCACTCATACTGATCTCTAGTGGCCTAGGGCTCGCTTTTTTTTTTCCTTCTCTTCCATTCATAGAGAAATATGCATAGAAACAACAGTTGGGGACATGTTTTGCAAAATATTGTACCATAATACAGTTTCCAGAAAACTGTATCCCCAAGTGTGACATAATCAGGAAGTAAATGCCAATCAAGACTTTGTGGTACAGGTCAAAATGAGAGACAATTGGGAAATAAAGTTTTCCATTCACAGTAAAATATGATTGCCCACAATTTGTGAAAAAAATTCAATGGGGACAAAATAGTCTTTTCAAAAAGCTGTGAGGAGTCAATTATATATATATGCAAAAGTAAAGTTAAAAATGAAATTGGACCCTTTAAAATGGAATGTTCTTCAGCCTTAAAAGGAAGGAAAGTCTGAAGCATGCTTCAACATGGATGAATCTTGAAGACATGGTACTAATGGAAATAAGCCAGACTCAAAAGGATACACACTATACTATTCCACTTACATGAGGTGCATACAATAGTAAAACATATAAAAAGATAAAGTAGAATGATGGTTACCAGGGGCTGTGTGGGGAAGGAAAGGAGGAGTTGTTTTTGAACCGGTATGGAGTTTCAGTTTTGCAAATGAAAAGGTTCTGGAGCTCTGTTTTCCAACAATGTGAATATACTTAACACTATTGAACTGTACAGCTAAAAGTGACTAACATAATAAATTTTATGTTTTGTGTTTTCTACCATAATAAAAAATGCATTAGGAATAACATTAGATGCTTGCCTCACATCATTTACAAAAATTGACTTAAATTATAGAACTAAATGGAAGAGCTTACAGTATAAAATTTCCAGAAGGAAATATAGGATTTTTTTTTATGTTTAGGCAAAGAGTTCCCAGGCATGAAGTAAAAGTACCAACCATACAAGCAAAACATTGATGAATTTGACATTATTAAAAGTGAAAATGTTTACATTTCAAAATATACTCCTATGAAAATAAAAGTCAAGCCAAAGACTCAAAGCAAATACTTAAAAATCATAAACCTGATAAAGGGCTTTGCTCCAGAAAATATGAAGAACCTTTCAACTCAATAATAAGAAAAACAGCACTTTTTTTAATGAGCCAAAGATTTAAAAGAAACTTCACCAAAAACAAAAAAACAAAGAAACAAAAAAAAAACTAATAAAAATAAATAAACCAAAAAAAAAAACCATACAAACACTTAATAAGCACCTAATGAGGACCCTGGCATCATGAGCTATTAGGAAAATGCAAATGAAAACCAGAATGTGATACCACAATTTTCCCACAGAGTGGCCACAATAAAAAAGACAATAGGGGTTGGCAAGACAAAATTGGGACTCTCATATATTGACTGTGGGGATGGAATTGGCATCGCCACTTGAAACACAGGCAATTTCTTTAAAAGTTAAACAGGCATTTACAATTAGACACAGCAATTCCCGTGTATTATTGCCACCCTGCCAAAAAAAGGAAAGACTCCACCACCACCACCACCCATACCTTGGTTCAGATGTGGAGGCTGATGATGCTACACACACAACAGAGGGTGGGAAAAGATGTGTTACTTACAAGCGAGGTTTCCAGGGGAGAGCAGGAGATGTCTCCCAAGCTTGTCTAAAAATGGTTTGAAAGAATGGGAAAGACCCTGGCTTGGGGTTTTACGGTGGTTCAAGCCTGAGGCCACTGTGTTCATTGCCTGAGGCCATGGGCTTCCCATGTATGTGAAGGGGCTTGTGTTGCTTGAATTTTCTGCTGGCATCAAAGAAAGGAACACCGAAGTTTTCTTATCAACTTGCCCAGTTGTGGGACACAAAGGGGAGAGGGGGGTGAGACTTAGAAGCTGTCAGTCATCAAACATCAAAAATGTAGTGAGAGCTACCAAACATGGAGGCACTGTTCATCTTTGTCTGACTCCAAGGTGTCAGGAAGACAATATGGCCCCTGAAAGACACTTTGTTTAGAGATGGACAAAAAATCTAGGAAATGCCTCTGGATTTGAGCAATACAGCCATTTTAGGATGGAAAGCAACTATGTTAGAAAATTTGGAGAGGACATCTCTATTTTTCTTCAATGTGTTTTGGATCAGAGATCTGCATTTTAGAAAACACAAGGTTTTTTGTTTGTTTTTGTTGTTGTTGTTTTGTTTTGTTTTTTTAACTGGGGAAAGAACACCCTGTTCAAGAAATGGTTCTGGGAAAATTGGATAGGCACATGTAGAAGAATGAAACTGGATTCCTTTCACCACATATGAAAATTAACCCAAGATGGATTAAGCACTTACATCTAAGGCCTGAAACCATACAAATTCTAGAAGAAAACCTAGAAAAAAACCCTCCTGGACATTGGCCTAGGCAAAGAACTTATGACTAAGACCCCAAAAGCAAATGCAACAAAAACAAAAATAAATAAATGAGACCTAATTAAACCAAAAGCTTCTGCACAGCAAAAGAAAAAAATCAGCAGACAGCCCAGGAGTGGAAGACCTCACGCTATGTGAAGCCACAGGGGCTGCACGTGGAAACAGCAGGAGCAGCAGGGCCATGGGAGGCCGCTTTACAGTAATAAGAGGGCGTGGTGCCCTGGTTCCCATGGGATGTCATGACTGGATTTTTTTGAATAATTCTGCAGGCTGGCAGAGAGCTGAAGCCCTCTATACAGGGGCAAGCAGGGCGCAAACCTGACCCTATTTGTGAGAAGAGTGGCTTGAGTAGGGGGCGGAACCACTGAAGCAAACTGAGGCGAGGGACTTGCGGTCAGGCCAGGGGAGGCCCTCCTGGTTTCCCCAGATGGCCCTGGTTTTAGCTTTTACACCACAATCAGACTAGTTATGAAATCCTCATGAAAAATCAGCTGCGTTTCCACACATGGACTACAGCATTTAGAAAATACCACTGTTAAAATACGAAAGCATGCACAAGCAGAAGGATGCCACCAGTAGATTCAAACCTTTTGGAAAAAAAATGAGCCTTTATTCAAAGTAATTAAGTAAGACTCAAATCAATGTAGAAATGTATTAGATTCATGGATTGAAGGACTCCTTGTAAAAACTTCAACTCTTCCCAAACCTTGTTTCAAGAATTCAGTTTTTCATGGAATTTGACAAGTACATTCTCAAATTATATAGAATTTCAAAAATTGCCAGTATATTGTTGAGAAAGGAGCAGATGGAGAGAATCATTCTTCCTGACATTATTAGTTAATATAAATCTACAATATTTAGGATGGTATAGGCTGGTACTGACTGATATAAATAGATCAGAACAGAAAGAAACAGAATAAATGGCCCTAAAATAATAAAAACCTGTATTTATGAAAAAACTAGTTTTATTGTACATAAGCCAGTACAAAACCGTCTTCAATAAATGGTGCTAGAGCAACTAATTCATATTTATTTTGTAAAGTAAAATATATACTTATTCTATGTACCTATCTCCCAAAAAAATTAAACCCACATGGATTACAGATTTGAATGCAAAGTCAAAAATTTAAAAAATGGTAGGAAAAAGTGGCAGAATATTTAGTTTCCCAAATAAAGGAGTTCATAAACAAGTCTGTGATGCCCAAACTAAAAGGAAAACAAATATTGTTAACTTGGTTTACATAAAATTAATAAATTATATTAAACAAAAGGCACCATGAAGACATTAACCACTGGGAGAAGATATTTGCAAAACATATAACCCAAAAGAGTTCATAATATATAAACATGTTACATAAAAAACTGATAAAACCAATTAAAAAGGACAAACGTGCACACGCGTGCACACACACACACACATTAGGAAAATGAGCAAAAAACATAAGCCATCATTGTACAGAAGGGAAAATAGAAATGTCCATAAAAACATGAAAATAAACGGGACCTTAGTCATCATAAACATGAAAATTAAAGCCACAGTGATTTAGCATTTCACATATGGTAATATAAAATGGTAAAATAATTTTGGACAGTAATTTAGCATTTCTTAAAAATGATGACATGCACACATGCTTTGACCAAGTACCTCTTCTCCCAGGCATGTGTCCTGGAACCTCCTGTTTAGGAGCACTAGATTAACATGAAGAGATTTGCGTCTGTTATGAGTTATTGCCACCCAGCTCTGAGACCGCCATTCTTGACCCTGCTTTGTGATATGGAGATGGGCCCTGTGAACAGTTCTCTAGCTGCTGTCTCAAAGTGAGGCTCTGTCTCTAGACAGAGCTAGGTGGGGCACTGTAAAACAGTCGCAGGGGAGAGGTGCTCCCTTTTTTTGGTGCTTTTGTGCTGCTTGTAGCATGGCAGCCAGCAAGTTGGTGTGCAAGAGGCTCAGTAGCATTAATCTCTGTGACTCTGATGGGCCAGCTGCATCCTGAGCCCCTGAAAACTTCTTGACTTCTTGGTGCACTGGACCAATGGACCGGCTCTACCCACGTCTTCCAGCAAGTCCCTTCTCCCAGCAGGTACTGCTCCTGCGCAGTAAAGCCTTCTCCAAAGAGGCGGGGGTCTCAGCCTGGTTCTTCCTTGTTCCTCGTCCTCTGAGGTAGTTGCTGCTTTCTGTGTTTGCTACTTTTGTACTCCTTAGCACGCTCTTTCATTCCTTATAGTAGTTAAGAGTAGGTCTTACTAGTTAACAATTCTTCACATGAAATGTTCACACTACTGGCAATGTTTCTCTCCTGGTTGATACAGTGTTTATAGCAACATGTTTTATAATAGAAACATATTGAAAAGAATAAAGTATTCCTCAACATTAGAATATATAATTAAACTGCGCTATACATATGTAAAATGACGTATATAGCAATGAAAATGTAAAAACCACAACCATATACATAAACATAAGTGAAACTAAAATGTATCATATTTGGAAAACAAAGGCATGAAAAACTGAAGAGGATTCATATACATAAATGTTTTAAATGAGCAAAATAAACCAACATATTGTCTAGAGAATTATGCATATATTTTACAACCGAAGCTAATATTAAGAGAATCCTAAGCAGAAAATTGATTATAATGGTTTAGCTGTTGGAGCAGAATGATGGATGTGATTGGTCGATACTACTAATATGATTCCGTTTCCTCAGCTGTGTAGAGCACATAGGACGCTTGTTTTAATATTGTGCTTTTGAAATGTGTGTGCGCGCAATATTTCATGTTTTTCTTTTAAATGTGTGTGAGCAGGGTGAGATTTTCTAAGCCTAAAATCAAGAGATGATATCATGTTATAGTAGCAGCAAAGGAGACATTTAGATTTCTAAATGAACACTCGAATGTATTGCTGCAACTGTGACTGATAAATTAATTGGTAAATAGATCAAAATTATAAATAACATACAATGAATGTAAAGATAAGATCAATAAAATACAATACAATGACAAAATGATATTCATAGATGACTAATAAGCAAGTTCATAGTATTTTGTAATAAGCATAAAAGATGTACCAATGCTAGGATTACATCAGTACTAACTGATGCAAAGTTACAGGTTTTCTTCTTTAGTTTTAATTGAGTGAGATGGTAGTGATGACGGCCCGCAAGCATTTGGGCTATAGCTGTTTCTACTGGATATGTATTACTGCATCTTCCTCTGACTCTCATTTGTTAATAATTAGCAGGAATTTTTAAAACCTCCTGATTTTAGCTTCAGTAAGTCTATTTGTTAAAGTCATGATTCTTGTGCAAGTACTTAGACATAAGAAGCTTACCAGCCCAAACAGGAAACCCCCACAAGCTGTGACCCATATGTCTCGATAAAGTAACAATGGTATATCCATATAAACGAATAGTGCAATTGCCTAAAATGTTGTCGATTAAAAAATACTTAATGGTGTGGAAAATAACTATAATACAATGTTAATACAGCAATGTATATAGCACTTTATGACACACATATTTGCTCATATATAATTAAAAATAAGATATTTGTCTAAATGTTACTTGTCTTGATTTTAGGTGAAAAGATTTGATGTGACATTTTTCTCTCTTTCTCGCTTGTTTGTGTCATTATCTCTAATGGTTTTTGTATTTTCTAAATCTCCTTACTTTTAGCTTTCACCATTTAGACAATTGTCGGGGGACAGGGAAGAAGGAAAGTATAAATAATGCCAGCATCAACATAATTATTTTTGTCAAAGCTTCCTTATATTAAACTACTGTAAAACTTGTATTTTGTTCATCATGAGTACATACAAATGTCCGGTTTCGTATAGAAAGATGAACAAGTGAGGGATCGGACAGACACACACATCTTTCACCTGGGCATGCAGAATGTTTGCCTGAATGGGAATTACTAAATTTAAAATAATTGCACTGAAGAATCAAGTAATTTTCCTTTTCCCATCTTACTTTCTTTTAAAACATTTAGACTCTCAATGATGGGTTCAATTTACACATACAGCCAAATAAAGACATTCTGGAGTGTAGGTTCTCTGGGCAGAAGTCAGAACCTGTTTCTGTGTTGCTCAGATTTCTGCAGTGTCTTCATGCCTGACCAGTCCTTCCTGTTTTTTAAGCATGCATGTTCAGCTTTGCAGGAAGTAGAGCAGCAGGGGCTCTGCAGTGATTGCTACATGGGTCTTTTTTCCAACTGAACTGTTTCACAGCTCCTTTACCTTAAAAATGAATGCTAATATGAGCCATGCTTCACAGGAGCCATGGAATTGGAGATCGGTGTTAGCTCCTGGTTTTCTGGCAGCCCAGATGATTTTCATCGCTGCAAGGAACCTCAAGGGTAGCACCTGTGCAGTGGTTCCAAATCTGACTAATGATCAGAGACCCTGAGGAGACAGGACCCCCGGCTAGAGAACTGGATGGGTGATTCCCATGCTCAGCCAGCTGTGAGAACCATTTGGGGAAGTTTCCGCCTCTTCTGTTGGGACAAACTTGGGAGTATCCAGAAATAGTGGCAGGGCTGGGGCAAGGTGGATTGCCAGTAGGTTGTGATTTTAAGTTTCTGGTGCAGAGGTGGCGTAGACACTGGTGGTGTGGCTGCAGCCAGGTAGAGCCCTGGCTTTTAGCTTTCAGCCACAGCAATGAGGCCATTGGGGTGGGAGTGGAGGCTGAGGAGAGAGCATTTGGGCTTCCAAGGCTGAACCTAGAGGCAACAAATCTGTACACCTAATGCCTTTTAACAGCCTTTGATAAATGCGTTTTCTGCTGGAGGTAGACAGAGAGGTTTTGTCACAGCGGGGAATAATGACTAATAAAGACACTGGTGAAATCCTTTGCATTTATAGTTATGGAGCCCAAGGAGTATTACTGTTGTGGGATTGTTTTTCCTCATTCCCAAAGAGCAAATTTTAAAAAATCCATCCAGAGAACAGGAATACAGAAACTTTTTTTTTCTCTCTCTTCCCTTGACCCCACCCCCAACACACATACACACACACACATACACACACACACACACACACCAGCATTACATTCAGGGTCCATTTAGACACTGGAGACAAACTCTGCTAAACCATATCACATAGAGAAATAATGTTTGTGCAGAGGAGTCAGCTTCTATTAGTGTGGTATTCTT
The DNA here is from genome assembly GCF_000001405.40 of Homo sapiens. Taxonomy (NCBI): domain Eukaryota; kingdom Metazoa; phylum Chordata; class Mammalia; order Primates; family Hominidae; genus Homo; species Homo sapiens. Next base: position 4,653,175 of record NC_000002.12, on the reverse strand, counting down.
TCTCAGGTCAAGTGGCTGGCCGTTTCCTATCCTATTTCAGTCAACATAAGGGCTCTTTAAATCTGTTTCAAGGCCAGCAAAGGGGATGAGTGAGAAAGACAGAGGCAGGACTCACGGGAGCTCTCTCTTCAGGATTTTAAGCTTCAGCTGTGTGAGGTTCATTCACGAGGGGCACAGCAGCCCTGAACTTCTGCACCCTGGCCCAGGTACGAATTACCCAAAGAGACTGCTCCTCAGACCAACCATAAAGCTAAAGATACATTCAGAAGATGAATGAAATTGGCCATAAAATTTCCAGACTCTTCAGTTGCAAAAAATCTGAGAGATGAGCAGCTCAGAATTTAGACTCTGGTTTCTACCTAACTGGCTGTGGGCGAACCACTTATCCCTATATTTTCTCTCTTGTTTCTTCTACATTTTTTTTCTTTTAGTTAGGAGACAGGTAAGATGTCAAGCTCCAACATTCCACAGTATTTTATATTTAGAATTATATATTCTAGCAGAAGATTTATTTTGTAAATTTCTATATTTAGAATTTGATCTTGGATTAGAAATCCCTTGGGTACTGATAGAAAATAAAATCCAATCCTTTCATTTTCCAGGTAGCAACTGCCTCATCTTTTCCATCTATGGAGTGTGGAATATGTGCCCTACTTCATTCAGGTGTGAAAATAAAATGAGATAACAAATATCTGATGGTTGGAAACAAGTAAGGTGTCAATGAATGTTGATTTTATTATAACCAAGAATAATTAAAATATTTTGAGCTGCTTCCTATAGCTAGTCATTTGCCTGCAATTTTTAGTGTGCTCATTAGTTCATAAAGCAATTTCTGGATGGAAGGGAGGGATGTGGTAATTGTGTTTAAGTACATAGGAGATTTTAACTTAAGAGAAAGTTTGTAAAGGAGCCACAGAAACAGGGTACTGTAGACAGAAGATAGCCAAGGAGATAGAGTGATGGAAAAGAACTAGGTAGGACCCTTCTTCAGGGAACATGTATATTGCTTCAGTCACTCCAGGACTAATGAGGAGCCAAAAACTCTCTAGAGCGAAGCCGAAGTAAATTACAGATATAAATTAGAATATGTTAAATAGTCTAGCAACAGCAAATGAAGGTTACCTGCTGGCATTAGGTCACATAACACTCCCTTATTTACTGCTGGTGCTAGTCCCCATTGGCATGGTAGAAGCCAGGACTTCTGCACCTGAACCTTTTCCTCCCCCTTAAAAAATGAGTCAGTCCAGTACATAAACCAATCGACTTAAAATTTACATAGTTACTAAAAAGATCTGAGAATGTTTAGACTTGTATTAGTTTTTAAGTGAAGTTGGTTTCTCATTTCTTAAAACAGTCCAGAGACTTGAGGCAATAAATGACTCTCAGCTTCTCCTATTCATGAGTCCATCTTGTCACACTTATCTCATGAGAAAAAAACTAGAAAGAGGCAGAAATGAGAAAAAATGACTTCCTCGGGCAATTCGAAGGCAGAAAAGTTGTTTGAGAATTATCCTCATTATCTTCCTGACCACCTCACATACCCTGTAGGTGGAAAGATTTAATTCTTCACTACTTCTTAGACTGATGGGACTGAAGTGTAATGTTTCTTGTTCAAAGTCATAGTTCACTGGATGTTTTTCAAACAGGAATGTTGGACAAACCAGCTATTTAGAGAGTGAAGGAGAGGAACTTCCGAGAGCAACCGGCCCCCAAGAGAAACCCAGGGACTCCTGCCCTTCGGCAGCTTTGTCCATGTGCTGCTCACACCAAAAAGCACTCGAGGGTGACCTGCACCAAAAATGCATTGCCGTAGTCTGGGCACAGTGGATCACGCCTGTAATCCCAGCTCTTTGGGAGGCCAAGGTAGGTGGATCATCTGAAGTCAGGAGTTCGAGACCAGCCTGGCCAACATGATGAAATCCTGTCTCTATTAAAAATACCAAAATTATCCCAGCGTGGTGGCAGACGCTTGTAATTCCAGCTACTTGGGAGGCTGAAGCATGAGAATCTCTTGAACCCAGGAGGCAGGGGTTGCAGTGAGTCAAGATTGTGCCACTACATTCCAGCCTGGGCAACACAGTGAGACTCTGTCTTAAAAAAAAAAAAAAAAAAAAAGCATTGCAGTTTGCAGTTTGGTGTGGTGTAAGGAACAATTTGCACGTCCTGTCCAAACTGCCTGTCTGCCTCTGCCTTCGGAGATGCTTCCTCCTGTTCTATATCCAGGTTATTATTCACTGCAAATTACATCTGTAAGATAAATAGAAGAGAAGCACACACCATTAAATAAATGTCTATTTTTATACAGTAATACACCAAAAGTAGTATGTATGTTTTCTGTATATTTTCTAATGAAGGATCTCAGGAAGGCTTGTGTGGGATTCTAATCCGAAAGGTAACTGACAAACAATGGCCATATGCCTGCACACAAACGTCTACTCATCAGTCACTCCTAGTTCCTGTAAGAGCATTCTCACATGTGTGTGAGCCCTATGGGATCAGTTCTTCTTGACCAACTTGCAGCAGCAGATTTCAATGAGCACATGTTTAGTTTTACTTTAATTTGCTCTTTCATTCATCACTCATTCATTCCTGCATTGACCCAAATAACCATAGATTCCTCTGTGCACTGAGTAATTTGCATGGTTCTGAGGATTTGATTATGAATTGAAGTTAGTCTCTACCTATTCAGAAGAGAGGAAAGTATACTAAATTCAGTAGAATATGATGTTTTCAGCAATAATAAATAAAACAAGTGTATCACAAGATATTCTGTGATTCCTATGAAGAATAACTTTCTTTGAATAGGAAAGAGGAAGCAGGGAACTCCTGGCCGAGGGAGTAGCTTGTGCAGAATCACAGAGAAAGGAGACCCACTGGGGAGCACATTCATGAGATGCATGAAGATTGAAGGACTTTATAAGATTTAGTATAAAATTCTTTTTCTCTGGGCTTTTACATTCTTTGTAGTATAACATGCTACTATACATTTCCTGAACATCTATTCATCATATTTAAAATGTGTTTACATAACTTACAGCATTAGTGTATTTGGGAGTAATAGTCTAGTACCTCTTTAGGTAAGTAGAATTTTGCAAAACTAAGATTATAATCAATGAATAACACTGACTGTCATTTTCTTTTCTAAGAATCAAACTGAACCATGTGCCCAAGTCGACCCCCAGAGTGGCTTAGCAAGGAAAACCTTATTTGAGTCCAGTTGAAGACTCCGTGGTTGGCTGCCCCAACATCCATTCCCAATCCCCTTGTTTCTGATACCCAAACAGAGCTCCTGCCAAGCTAAGTACACATTCCCGAGGCATCCACTGAGGGAGGTACTGGTGGTAATGATGGTGATAGGGCTACAAAACATTGGTTTGCTGACTAAATCAACAAAAATTAGGCAAATCACCTCCAACCTCTTTCCCCATTCCTCCTACTTCCTACTGTGAATATTAATTAACAACATGACATCAATATAGGCTGCCCTATCTTGCAACGGTGATGGAAAGGACAAGAGAGCTGCAAAGCCATCTGTTTTGAAATTCCAAAGCTGGTAGCTGCAGGCACATCCCCGGAATTCTCGCTTTGTGAGAAGTAGACACATTTGTTTATAAGTCACATTAATTTGGGTTTCTGTTCCTTGTATTCAAATGCAGTATTAACCAGTATTTATTCTTCATTTATAAGAATACCTCTATTACACACCATAGACCATTATAATAATTTTATGCAGAACAGAGCAGAAGTGGTATTCCAATACTGAACTGGCACCACCTTCTCTGTGACGGTACATTTTAGGTCACTTTTCTGAAGTTCTGACTGTCACTCTTTTATCTGAGTTCCTACTGGAAACCTATCACCACTTCCTCTCCAGTCTACCCTCATTTTAGCCATGTTCTTGTTCTTAGGAACATAGCTGTCTCACTAGAGATCCTATCACAATTCTGTGTATACAGTAAGTGTCATGTCCCTGAGATTAAACAGATGAAATAGATGTTTGTTCTCTTGGGAAGAAGAGCAACATTTTGAATTGAAGCTGGATTTTATTGCTTTTATTTATTCTGTTCATAGTTTGTTAAATCTGTATGGTGGTACGTAATGGTACCCAAACTACTTCCTTTGTTCTATTAAATTTTAGCAATATTTATTGATTGATTGCTTATTGTGTGTTAGCCAATGGGAGTTACAAAAATAGAAATGATGTAGCTTCTTTTTTTTTTTAATTATACTTTAAGTTTTAGGGTATATGTGCACAATGTGCAGGTTAGTTACATATGTATACATGTGCCATGCTGGTGCGCTGCACCCACTAACTCGTCATCTAGCATTAGGTATATCTCCCGATGCTATCCTTCCCCCCTCCCCCCACCCCACAACAGTCCCCAGAGTGTGATATTCCCCTTCCTGTGTCCATGTGATCTCATTGCTCAATTCCCACCTATGAGTGAGAATACGCGGTGTTTGGTTTTTTGTTCTTGCGATAGTTTACTGAGAATGATGATTTCCAATTTCAGCCATGTCCCTACAAAGGACATGAACTCATCATTTTTTATGGCTGCATAGTATTCCATGGTGTATATGTGCCACATTTTCTTAATCCAGTCTATCATTGTTGGACATTTGGGTTGGTTCCAAGTCTTTGCTATTGTGAATAATGCCGCAATAAACATATGTGTGCATGTGTCTATATAGCAGCATGATTTATAGTCCTTTGGGTATATACCCAGTAATGGGACGGCTGAGTCAAATGGTATTTCTAGTTCTAGATCCCTGAGGAATCGCCACACTGACTTCCACAATGGTTGAACTAGTTTACAGTCCCACCAACAGTGTAAAACTGTTCCTATTTCTCCACATCCTCTCCAGCACCTGTTGTTTCCTGACTTTTTAATGATTGCCATTCTAACTGGTGTGAGATGGTATCTCATTGTGGTTTTGATTTGCATTTCTCTGATGGCCAGTGACGATGAGCATTTTTTCATGTGTTTTTTGGCTGCATAAATGTCTTCTTTTGAGAAGTGTCTGTTCATGTCCTTTGCCCACTTTTTGATGGGGTTGTTTGTTTTTTTCTTGTAAATTTGTTTGAGTTCATTGTAGATTCTGGATATTAGCCCTTTGTCAGATGAGTAGGTTGTGAAAATTTTCTCCCATTTTGTAGGTTGCCTGTTCACTCTGATGGTAGTTTCTTTTGCTGTGCAGAAGCTCTTTAGTTTAATTAGATCCCATTTGTCAATTTTGTCTTTTCTTGCCATTGCTTTTGGTGTTTTAGACATGAAGTCCTTGCCCATGCCTATGTCCTGAATGGTAATGCCTAGGTTTTCTTCTAGGGTTTTTATGGTTTTAGGTCTAACGTTTAAGTCTTTAATCCATCTTGAATTGATTTTCGTATAAGGTGTAAGGAAGGGATCCAGTTTCAGCTTTCTACATATGGCTAGCCAGTTTTCCCAGCACCATTTATTAAATAGGGAATCCTTTCCCCATGGCTTGTTTTTCTCAGGTTTGTCAAAGATCAGATAGTTGTAGATATGCAGCGTTATTTCTGAGGGCTCTGTTCTGTTCCATTGATCTATATCTCTGTTTTGGTACCAGTACCATGCTGTTTTGGTTACTGTAGCCTTGTAGTATAGTTTGAAGTCAGGTAGTGTGATGCCTCCAGCTTTGTTCTTTTGGCTTAGGATTCACTTGGCGATGCGGGCTCTTTTTTGGTTCCATATGAACTTTAAAGTAGTTTTTTCCAATTCTGTGAAGAAAGTCATTGGTAGCTTGATGGGGATGGCATGGCCATTTTCACGATATTGATTCTTCCTACCCATGAGCATGGAATGTTCTTCCATTTGTTTGTATCCTCTTTTATTTCCTTGAGCAGTGGTTTGTAGTTCTCCTTGAAGAGGTCCTTCACATCCCTTGTAAGTTGGATTCCTAGGTATTTTATTCTCTTTGAAGCAATTGTGAATGGGAGTTCACTCATGATTTGACTCTCTGTTTGTCTGTTGTTGGTGTATAAGAATGCTTGTGATTTTTGTACATTGATTTTGTATCCTGAGACTTTGCTGAAGTTGCTTATCAGCTTAAGGAGATTTTGGGCTGAGACGATGGGGTTTTCTAGATATACAATCATGTCGTCTGCAAACAGGGACAATTTGACTTCCTCTTTTCCTAATTGAATACCCTTTATTTCCTTCTCCTGCCTGATTGCTCTGGCCAGAACTTCCAACACTATATTGAATAGGAGTGGTGAGAGAGGGCATCCCTGTCTTGTGCCAGTTTTCAAGGTAATGCTTCCAGTTTTTGCCCATTCAGTATGATATTGGCTGTGGGTTTGTCATAGATAGCTCTTATTATTTTGAAATACATCCCATCAATACCTAATTTATTGAGAGATTTTAGCATGAAGGGTTGTTGAATTTTGTCAAAGGCCTTTTCTGCATCTATTGAGATAATCATGTGGTTTTTGTCTTTGGCTCTGTTTATATGCTGGATTACATTTATTGGTTTGCGTAGATTGAACCAGCCTTGTATCCCAGGGATGAAGCCCACTTGATCATGGTGGATAAGCTTTTTGATGTGCTGCTGGATTCGTTTTGCCAATATTTTATTGAGGATTTTTGCATCAATGTTCATCAAGGATATTGGTCTAAAATTCTCTTTTTTGGTTGTCTCTGCCCGGCTTTGGTATCAGAATGATGCTGGCCTCATAAAATGAGTTAGGGAGGATTCCCTCTTTTTCTATTGATTGGAATAGTTTCAGAAGGAACGGTACCAGTTCCTCCTTGTACCTCTGGTAGAATTCGGCTGTGAATCCATCTGGTCCTGGACTCTTTTTGGTTGGTAAGCTATTGATTATTGCCACAATTTCAGCTCCTGTTATTGGTCTATTCAGAGATTCAACTTCTTCCTGGTTTAGTCTTGGGAGAGTATATTTGTCCAGGAATTTATCCATTTCTTCTAGATTTTCCAGTTTATTTGCGTAGAGGTGTTTGTAGTATTCTCTGATGGTAGTTTTTATTTCTGTGGGATCGGTGGTGATATCCCCTTTATCATTTTTTATTGCATCGATTTGATTCTTCTCTTTTTTCTTTATTAGTCTTGCTAGCGGTCTATCAATTTTGTTGATCCTTTCAAAAAACCAGCTCCTGGATTCATTAATTTTTTGAAGGGTTTTTTGTGTCTCTATTTCCTTCAGTTCTGGTCTGATTTTAGTTATTTCTTGCCTTCTGCTAGCTTTTGAATGTGTTTACTCTTGCTTTTCTAGTTCTTTTAATTGTGATGTTAGGGTGTCAATTTTGGATCTTTCCTGCTTTCTCTTGTGGGCATTTAGTGCTATAAATTTCCCTCTACACACTGCTTTGAATGCGTCCCAGAGATTCTGGTATGTTGTGTCTTTGTTCTCATTGGTTTCAAAGAACATCTTTATTTCTGCCTTCATTTCGTTATGTACCCAGTAGTCATTCAGGAGCAGGTTGTTCAGTTTCCATGTAGTTGAGCGGTTTTGAGTGAGATTCTTAATCCTGAGTTCTAGTTTGATTGCACTGTGGTCTGAGAGACAGTTTGTTATAATTTCTGTTCTTTTACATTTGCTGAGGAGAGCTTTACTTCCCAGTATGTGGTCAATTTTGGAATAGATGTGGTGTGGTGCTAAAAAAAATGTATATGCTGTTGATTTGGGGTGGAGAGTTCTGTAGATGTCTATTAGGTCCGCTTGGTGCAGAGCTGAGTTCAATTCCTGGGTATCCTTGTTGACTTTCTGTCTCATTGATCTGTCTAATGTTGACAGTGGGGTGTTAAAGTCTCCCATTATTAATGCGTGGGAGTCTAAGTCTCTTTGTAGGTCACTCAGGACTTGCTTTATGAATCTGGGTGCTCCTGTATTGGGTGCATATACATTTAGGATAGTTAGCTCTTCTTGTTGAATTGATCCCTTTACCATTATGTAATGGCCTTCTTTGTCTCTTTTGATCTTTGTTGGTTTAAAGTCTGTTTTATCAGAGACTAGGATTGCAACCCCTGCCTTTTTTTGTTTTCCATTGGCTTGGCAGATCTTCCTCCATCCTTTTATTTTGAGCCGATGTGTGTCTCTGCACGTGAGATGGGTTTCCTGAATACAGCACACTGATGGGTATTGACTCTTTATCCAATTTGCCAGTCTGTGTCTTTTAATTGGAGCATTTAGTCCATTTACATTTAAGGTTAATATTGTTATGTGTGAATTTGATCCTGTCATTATGATGTTAGCTGGTGATTTTGCTCGTTAGTTGATGCAGTTTCTTCCTAGTCTTGATGGTCTTTACATTTTGGCATGATTTTGCAGTGGCTGGTACCGGTTGTTCCTTTCCATGTTTAGTGCTTCCTTCAGGAGCTCTTGTAAGGCAGGCCTGATGGTGACAAAATCTCTCAGCATTTGCTTGTCTGTAAAGTATTTTATTTCTCCTTCACTTACGAAGCTTAGTTTGGCTGGATATGAAATTCTGGGTTGAAAATTCTTTTCTTTAAGAATGTTGAATATTGACCCCCACTCTCTTCTGGCTTGTAGGGTTTCTGCCAAGAGATCCACTGTTAGTCTGATGGGCTTCCCTTTGAGGGTAACCCGACCTTTCTCTCTGGCTGCCCTTAACATTTTTTCCTTCATTTCAACTTTGGTGAATCTGACAATTATGTGTCTTGGAGTTGCTCTTCTCGAGGAGTATCTTTGTGGCGTTCTCTGTATTTCCTGAATCTGAACGTTGGCCTGCCTTGCTAGATTGAGGAAGTTCTCCTGGATAATATCCTGCAGAGTGTTTTCCAACTTGGTTCCATTCTCCCCATCACTTTCAGGTACACCAATCAGACGTAGATTTGGTCTTTTCACATAGTCCCATATTTCTTGGAGGCTTTGCTCATTTCTTTTTATTCTTTTTTCTCTAAACTTCCCTTCTCACTTCATTTCATTTATTTCATCTTCCATCGCTGATACCCTTTCTTCCAGTTGATCGCATCGGCTCCTGAGGCTTCTGCATTCTTCATGTAGTTCTCGAGCCTTGGTTTTCAGCTCCATCAGCTCCTTTAAGCACTTCTCTGTATTGGTTATTCTAGTTATACATTCTTCTAAATTTTTTTCAAAGTTTTCAACTTCTTTGCCTTTGGTTTGAATGTCCTCCCGTAGCTCGGAGTAATTTGATCGTCTGAAGCCTTCTTCTCTCAGCTCGTCAAAGTCATTCTCCATCCAGCTTTGTTCCGTTGCTGGTGAGGAACTGCGTTCCTTTGGAGGAGGAGAGGCGCTCTGCTTTTTAGAGTTTCCAGTTTTTCTGTTCTGTTTTTTCCCCATCTTTGTGGTTTTATCTACTTTTGGTCTTTGATGATGGTGATGTACAGATGGATTTTTGGTGTGGATGTCCTTTCTGTTTGTTAGTTTTCCTTCTAACAGAGAGGACCCTCAGCTGCAGGTCTGTTGGAATACCCTGCTGTGTGAGGTGTCAGTGTGCCCCTGCTGGGGGGTACCTCCCAGTCAGGCTGCTCGGGGGTCAGGGGTCAGGGACCCACTTGAGGAGGCAGTCTGCCCGTTCTCAGATCTCCAGCTGCGTGCTGGGAGAACCACTGCTCTCTTCAAAGCTGTCAGACAGGGACATTTAAGTCTGCAGAGGTTACTGCTGTCTTTTTGTTTGTCTGTGCCCTGCCCCCAGAGGTGGAGCCTACAGAGGCAGGCAGGCCTCCTTGAGCTGTGGTGGGCTCCACCCAGTTGGAGCTTCCCAGCTGCTTTGTTTACCTCAGCAAGCCTGGGCAATGGCGGGCGCCCCTCCCCCAGCCTCGCTGCCGCCTTGCAGTTTGATCTCAGACTGCTGTGCTGGCAATCAGCAAGACTCCGTGGGCGTGGGACCCTCCGAGCCAGGTGCGGGATATAGTCTCGCGGTGCGCCGTTTTTTAAGCCCGTCGGAAAAGCGCAATATTCGGGTGGGAGTGACTCGATTTTCCAGGTGCCTCCGTCACCCCTTTCTTTGACTCGGAAAGGGAACTCCCTGACCCCTTGCGCTTCCCAAGTGAGGCAATGCCTCACCCTGCTTCGGCTCGCCCCTGGTGCGCGCACCCACTGACCTGCGCCCACTGTCTGGCACTCCCTAGTGAGATGAACCCGGTACCTCAGATGGAAATGCAGAAATCACCCGTCTTCTGCGTCGCTCACGCTGGGAGCTGTAGACCGGAGCTGTTCCTATTCGGCCATCTTGGCTCCTCCACCAGAAATGATGTAGCTTCTATCAGGAATCTGGTAGCAATGCAAAGCTAAGGTAAAGGGGCCTGATGAATGCTAAGGTGTTTTTTACATTGTTGCATAACTTGATTCACTCTAGTACAAATGTAAGATAATTGTGATAAGCAATCTATTACCTTACGACTAGATTGCTAAGATAATTTAATATGTAAATAATCTGTAGTATGAAATTCAAATATAATTTTTTAAGCAGGATACATATGACTTGGTCTTAATCCTATACATGATTTTAGAGTATGTCATTTTTACATCATTATCTATAAAAATGAATATAAGTTCGAGTCCTTAGAAACAGCACAAAGGCATTGAATTGAATTGAATTGAATTGAATCAAATTGAATTGAATTGAATTAACAAAGGGAATCTAATAAACTGTTCAACATCCCTGCATTTATTCTCAAAATACACATGGAGAAAGCTATACATTCAGCTGTATTCCTAGCAGTGAGAAGAAGTGGAAGAGAAAAATAGAATGTGGGTCCTATTTTTCACAGCTTACAATCTTTTGGGGGAGATATGGCACACACTAAAGAGATGTCTTCCATATTTGAGGAGAAAGCATGTAGTTCTCTTATGACATGAGGTCTAGTGTCTAGTTTAAATCAGGGATCTTCTGAAATATTATGTTTCAGAAAACTTAGTTTAACTTGAGCAAAAGACAAATGCAATACAGATAAGTTACATTAGGAATAAAGTCTGGCTGTATATTTATTCATTCACTTATCCATTCAGCCTTTACCAAGATGTTGAGGGGGAGTTTTCTTGTGGTCCATGTGTTGTGACTAAAGATACAAAAAGAAAGGGGAAAAAAAGTAACTCCAAATGTTTAGGAGTGCCACCATGGATCTGCGAAATTTCAAGTTCATGTATCTCCTCCCCACACAGAGCTGAGCTGTGTCTCCCCCAGACCCGATCCAGTGTGTCGTCTCTAGGACAGCAGTGGGAGGGAGGCATCTGTGAACACCAACCTTATGCAAAGTGCAGTTCCCTGTGTGGGAAAGCGAGAACTCTTCCCCCCTCTGAAGCCACATGAGTATAAATCTGACAGCAAAGCTTCCGAATGATTGAGGAAAAGGCAGCCAGTGAAGAAAGTGGAGTAAGACCCCTTAGCAGAGATGAGCACGTGTCCGCTGAAGAGAGAGGAGATAGAAGTATGGAGACAGCTTTCCACTTGTCCGTGGGAGATGGCTGAGGTGGGAGGCCTCTGCAGGAGCTCATGCAGCAAGACCATCACCCAGTGTTTCTGAGCAAAGACGGGATGACCCTCTCTCCACTCACCCCTGCAGCCTTTAGAGAGTGCTGAAGGGATTCCAGAATTTCTATTTTTTCTCTTTCACAAGAAGAACCATGGGAATTAATAGAGGGGCAAGATATGGGGCCTTGCAAATTCAATCTCCATCTCTGAAGAGAGCATGGGATTGTGTACCAGGGGAGTGGGGCCAACAAGGAAAGTACCTTCAATTCTGGAATGGTCATCAGTGATGGGTGGGACCAAGCTGAAGGTGGCAACTTCCTGAAAGAAGCCACAGCCACATAGGCATCACCCACAAGCTGGACAGAACTAGAGCAGTAGCGAGATTTCTTTCCTTCCTAGTATCTGGTCAGCCATGTGAAGAGGATCTCATCCCCATCTCTGTCCCCCATTCCTCCTAATGACAGTGTTATAGGAAAGATGAGGAGGCATCTTAAAGTGAGACCTCCTTCCCCAACTCCAAGCTGCAGGGATCAGAGCAGAAGCCTACACTGGGGGTGGGGTAAAATCAGATACGAGACTAAATTTTTAAAAGTTTCAGAAATACAAACGGAGAGAAATTTACGGACTCTGCCCAGTGATAACAATTGGAAAAACACATGCAGTATTTCAGTTGAAAGCTATCATTAGAAAAGAAATAAGTATATAATCACGAGATGATGTGTTCTGTATAAATTCATAAGATATTCTGAGTATTAGCTGCAAGCTGACATTATCTAGGTTCTAAGTGTATAAAGATGAACTCCCTGGGCCCTTGTCCTCTGCAGCTGTAATCATGGCATGCAGATGGACAATGGCTATGCAGTTTGGTGAGTGTGCCATGAGGTAGATACTAGGAGGATGTTTCTTTGGGTGAGGAGTTGGTAGGGTCGGAGATAAATGATAGAGAATTATATTTTATAATAAGTGCTTATTTTGACTTAATTAACTTCCCAGAACCAGCTCATGCTATCTCTAAGAATAATGTTAAACAAAGACCATAAAATGCTGGAAGAATTAAAGTATCATATTAATGACTTAATGATTACTCTAAGTGTGGTTTGTATGTGGCTGTAGTAACTTGTATCTTAGATCTTTCTCTAGGGAAGTTCCAATTAAGGAATGGGTCATCACTGGGATGAGTTTTTCACCAAGAAAAGGAATGTGGTGAAACAAAAACTTTTACAATGGTCTCAATATTACTTTGTTAATTTCTTTCTCACCATGTGTGTTTCTAATTGTTTGGCATTTATTCAGTAAATATTTATGCAGAGTCAACAGTATATTTGGATATTGTGAGAAAGATAAAAGCCAATGTATAAGATTGTCCTTGTAATTCAAGAGCTAAAAAAAATCTCCAGGAGGCACAGCCTATATAGATAGAACTGTTAAATAATATTGAGAGGTAGCATGATATTAAATCCCTAAATGAAAAGACAGGATAATAGATTCTAAACATAGATGTTAAATTTTTAAGACATTACCTTTCTTGTAATAATGAAGAAAAATACTTTTCCTTGTTCATAATAATGGATCTGACTGGTCCATAAACTGGTAATTTTCTTCTGCCACAATTGGCTTTAAGCTTCTTTAAAAATATTTTATGCAAGATGTATTTTGAAGATGTAATAATGAAATACTATATATGTCACCATAGAAGTTTATTGACCATAATTACTTTGAGTTTTTCTATTCTTTTACCCACATTGTCATCTTTTATTCAAAGAGGACAAGGTGCCATAGTGTTTGGTGATCATTCTTGACAATGATTTACTAGAATTAATGAAGTCTAAGGATGTTTAGGGATGCCACCTCTGAGGGGCCAGTTTACAAAACAGTGCCCCCAATGCCTCTTGGCAATGCCAGAGTGAAATAAAATATGTAGGGTTTGTATTCTCTAAGTCTGCATTTTCATATATCCCAGACTCTGCCCTCTGATATATATGCTGCTTTATAACATTTGAAAGTACTAAAGTATAAAATAAAACCTCGCTTACAACAGTGGTTAGTTCACCTGAACAGGTACAAGCAGAAACTCACCTCTGTCCAACATTATCTAGACAGGCAGATTCTACAGTGGTAACTTCTAGATACTGAAATACAGCATTTTTTTAAAAAAATAAAATATTTTATATTTACCAGGTAATATATAGGTCACATATATGTTTGTCGTAAAGCAGGATATTTTAATGTAGCATTGTATTTATAAGGTTTAAATGAAACATAATCATTACCAAATATAGAATTCCACTCAGAAGGAGATAAAAACCAAGACCAAAACAGGAGAAATCGCTGAAGTGAGTCTGTATTAACATTTCTCGCCACATTTATCTTTACTCCATTAGAGCAGAGAATGTTTTTGCCGCAGAATTTTTACTAATTCCAATTATTATTTCTAAACATTAGTGTGACTCAATTATTCTGAAAAATTTGCTTTCAAAGTTTGTGAATTCTCAATGATCAAAACACATTAACATACAAATAATCTTAGCATTCTTAACACTTCCCAAAGTAAGGTGATTATTTTTTCATACCTGAGTAAATCCTAAAAAAAAAAGAATACCACAAATATGGGGCCAGATATTTGTAAAATGTAATGTTTCATCACAAAATGCAGACTTTCCTAGCTGGAGGTACTCTTAGGACTGAAGAATGATATAACTCATTTTGTAAAAATTTACTTTGCCACCTCAGTGCATAGCCAGTACCTCCAGTAGGGGAGCAACTTTCTACTCAGATGATCAAAGTGTTTGGATTAGGGCCTCTCCAAGAATTTGAAATAAAGGGTAAAGCTGGGAGTCAGGATCCCAGAATTTAAGCAAGAACTCAGGGTAAAAGGAAGGTGTGGATGTCAAGAACACACAAAGGAACCAGGGAGAGAGGAGTTTGACTCTGGCCTTTCCTGAGTGACATCATCCCAGCTGCTTGAGCTCTCTGAGACACCTGTACAATAGGGATGCCAACACTTACCCCACAGGGCTGCCCTCAGGATGAAGGAGCCACCGCACATGATGTGCTTAAGTGCAGTGACTGTGAATGATGGCTTTCACGGTGAGTGCCTGGGGAGTGTTGCTATCCTGCATTCTGGACCAGCCAAGCTGCAGTCACCTGGCAGTCTGAAGTGTGAGGACCTGTGGGTTCCGTGTGTGTCTGCTGGTTACCAGGCCCAAGCCTGCTAATATTTCAGAACCCTGGAAAGAGCTTGGGGTTTGGGCCCTGACGTTTAATTTTGATTATACTTTCCTCTAATTAGGTCAAAAGTTCCTTATCTGGAAAATGGGAATAATAATAAGTTTTACCATTTTTACTAAGATTCAAAATAATATATGCAAAACCCCTGACAGAGGGGCTAGCCCTTGGCCCTTAACGCAGTTGGCCAGTTGCTGTGATTATCATATCCCTTAGCCCAGGGACTGGCCTGGCTAAGCCTAAGTGTTTTTTTGTTTGTTTTGTTGTTGTTTGTTTTAATTATTTTTTCTTTTACTTTAAGTCCCGGGGAACATGTGCAGAACATGCAGGTTTGTTACATAGGTATATGTGTGTCATGGTGGTTTGCTGCACCTATCAACCAGTCACCTAGGTTTTTAGCCTCACATGCATTAGCTATTTGTCCTGATGCTTTCCTTCCCCTTGTCCCCCACCCCCCAACAGGCCCTGGTGTGTGTTGTTCCCCTCCCTGTGTCCATGTTTTCTCATTGTTCAACTCCCACTTATGAGTGAGAACATGTGAAGTTTTGTTTTCTGTTCCTGTGTTACTTTGCTGAAGATAATGGCTTCATACATGTTCCTGCAAAGGACATGATCTAATTCCTTTTTATGACTGCATAGTATTCCATGGTATATATGTACCACATTTTCTGTATTCAGTCTATCATTGATGGGCATTTGGGTTGGTTCCATGTCTTTGCTATTGTGAATAGTGCTGCAATAAATATACATGTACATGTATCTTTATAATATAATAATTTATATTCCTTTGAATATATACCCAGTAATGGGATTGCTGGGTCAAATGGTGTTTCTGGTTCTAGATCCTTGAGGAATCACCACACTGTCTTCCCCAATGGTTGAACTAATTTACATTCCCACCAACAGTGTAAAAGCGTTACTATTTCTCCACAGCCTCGCCAGCATCTGTTGTTTCTTGACTTTTTAATAGTAGCTATTCTGACAAGCATTAGATGCTATCTCATTGTGGTTTTGCTTTCATTTCTCTAATGATCAGTGATATTGAGCTTTTCTTCATGTTTGTTGGCAGGATAAATGTCTTCTTTTGAGAAGTATCTGTTCTATCCTTTGCCCACTTTTTGATGGGGTTGTTTGTTTTTTTTCTTCTAAATTTGTTTAAGTTCCTTGTAAATTCCCAATATTAGACCTTTGTCAGACGAGTAGATTGCAAAAGTTTTCTTCCATTCTTTAGGTTGCCTGTTTGCTCTGATGATAGTTTCTTTTTAAGCCTGCTCTTTGAAGGTATCCACACCCACATCTGAGACAATTTGACAACAAGAGAACTTAAAACAAAGTTGACACATTCTACTCCATATTCTTTCCAAATGGTAATAGTCAATCTGAATTATTCTTGAAAGGTATCACAATCTGATTATGGCATTAATATTTATAAATCAAAGCCCACATTTTCATTCTGGAACTCAAATGCTAGCTGGCGTTAAGATGATGAAATAGATAATTAGTGTGATTTTGCAAACCAAACTTGTTTGTCTTTTAAAAATATACATTGTGTTGTTTCTAAAAACAATCGACATTGTATCTTCAATCTAATGTAGCCATCGTTAAGGTTTAGAAATGGTGGAAATAATTATAGAAGGGAACCTGAATTATTACTGAACTAAATGCAGAATGGCCATTGAAATGGGAACAACATGAAGGAGGGAGGCTGAGTGGGGTAGATTACAAATGAAAATTGGAAGAATGGTTATTAGTGTCATAAAATGGACAAAACTGTCAGGATAAAAGCCAACCACTGGCTGACAACAAGTGCTGTGTCATATCTGGGAAATCAGCGGGAGACTTTCAGAGGGTGTCAGAGTTAAATACATATGGTGGCAAAAAGAAGGGAAACCTATAGCCAGTCAGGTGCACCCACAGGAAAAGAACCAACAGGAGATGCTCTAAATGTCAGCCCTGCTGCAGTCCTCCTGTAATTATGCTAGTGTGTGCATTCTGGGCTTAGACATAAATGTTTGGTTCAATTTCTAGTCCCAAGAGTATTTCTCTCACCAGGTCCTTTGCGTGTATGACTGGTTAATAATGCCTATCTTATGGGTGGTTGTGGAAATTCAGTGTAATTAGTACTAAGGAACAGGTGCAGTCACTGACATGTGGCAGGTCGCTTCTATAGCATACATGATACACTCCAAAAGTGAAGACTAGGTGTTTTTACCCTATGCCCTTCCAAAAAATCTGTAAACAAAAATACTCCAATATTTCTGGACAAGGTATGGTTTTATCAGTGAGAATAGCCAATATCTCTTTTGACCTATTCAAAAAGAATGTGTGAAAATTAATGAAATGCAGATCTTCAAACTTTTATAGAAATTTTAATTAGTATTTAAAAACTATATATTTGTAAACTCAAGAAATTACTCTTGTAATTTTTAAGCAAATAAACAGGCCACTGTTTACATATAGTACTAAAATTTTAATTTATAAAAATATGAACTGTTGTCAATATTAAATATTCTGTAATGACACAGTCCCACTAGCTTGACGTGGTCATTTCATTTATCTATGTCTTTTAATACTTAGATCACACATACACATGTTGTTAAATACCAACAGTAAAGTATATGTGCTTATGTTGTGTTTTTCTTGTCTTATTTAACACTATATTATTTCTTAGAATCCACGAAGAAACAGACAATTGCAGGGAGTAACAAAATTAAGTGAAACAATATAGTTTAAGGTATGACCCAAATAAAAGAAAATATACCATTATATTAATTAATATAATGCTCACATTTATAATTATGATGATAATTACAATGGTATTTGAGTTTCCCAGCCTTGTTTCTTTTTCTTTATTATCAAAATTTTATTAGTATTTTAAGGAGTACCCAGATGAGGTCAGCACAAATCTAGGAAGTAAAATCAGAGAGAGGGCCTGTATTTACTTTTTATAGCTCGAAGGCAAATAAGCCGTGTTATCCTGGTGGAGAGGCAGTCAGACGTTACAGGCCATGACCTAGCTATAAAGAGTTTTGAATGCCATCAATAAATCACTCCCTAATTAACCTCCCAAACAGCAAAGTGCAAAAGAGCTGGCGAAGTTTAGATAAAATCACCTTTAAAAATATGTACAATCATAGCTATTTTGAGAAAGTTTGGTATGTTTAGCAATATTTGCTGAAGTAGTCCCAGTGTTCAACTAAATAGAGTGACCAACAAAACATTTTGAAATATGTTTGTATGAATAATTATATTGCTATATTTACATATGTAAATTTTACTATACCAGAAAATGCCTCATTTACTTCCTCTCAATATTTCTACCGTAGTTTTACTTTGGCTAATTCATGGTCAAGGAAAAGTAAAATGTGGCAAATTCCATGAAATACAGAATTGTTCAATGATCATTATTAATTTTTTTAATGAACTGAACTTTATAATTCTTTTTGTCTCAACCAGAGAAGTTAGAACACTTGAAATTAGCTAAGCGAGAATGCCATCAGCAGTGCATCGATCTCAGCTGCATCCAGGTGTATCAGTTGAATGGCAGAGGGACTAGAAATTACATTTCACGAAGAAAATTTACAGAACTAAAGATATTTAGGCTGCAAAAGAAAAGACTAAGGTAAGCCTGTGGGCAGGTTAAGGTTTAAAACACTAAGAGTTCACCTGTAGACTAATGCTTAGAAAGAGAAGACAAGAAAAATGAGGAACGGAATACAGAGAAACAAATCTTGGCTTATTTTAAATCCTTTTCAGAGAACAGTATACAAGCATGGTGAAGAGTGAAATCTCTACTGCTAAACTACAGAGGTATCCGATACAGGTTCTTAAGTGCTGAGGGACTTTGCATAAATTACTGATGCTGTGGTTTTGGTTTTCTCCAGTGTAAATAGTGTTGAATACAGTATCCATAAAATACCTGAACAGGTTGAGAAAGGAAATGTGTATAAAGTGGTTAAAAAGAGACTGACGCAAAGTAAGTGCTCTATAAAAATTGCCTGTAAAAAATAAGACTACCACAAATAATGCTGTCTTTTTTAATGTATTTATTAAATATATGTGGTACTAAATAAATGCACATATACATAAATATGTTTTAAAACACATATAATATGCCAAAATACATATTATTTTAAAATAAACAAATATTGATGATGTGGTTTGGCTGTGTTCCCACCCATATTGCATCAACAATTGTAATCCAAATTGTAATCCCCGTGTGTCAAGGGAGGGACCTGGTGGGAGGTGATTGGATCATGGAGGAGATTACTCCATGCTGTTCTTACAGTGCATAAGTCCTTATGAAATGTGATGCTTTTATAAGGCAGTTTTCCCTGCTCTTGCTCGCTCTCTCTCTCACCTGCTGCCGTGTAAGACATGCCTGCTTCTCCTTCTGCTATGACTGTAAGTTTCCTGAGGCCTCACCAGCCATGCAGAACTGTGAGTCAATTAAACCTCTTTTCTTTATAGGCTACCCAGTCTCTGGCCACTCTTTATAGCAGTGTGAAAAAGGAGTAATACAATTGATATTAGCGTAATGTATTGACATTGTAGAAATTTGAAAATATAGAAACATATAGAAAAGAAAAATCACCTCTAATCTTACTATTGTTATCTAAATGTGCTTTATTCTAATTGACTTGATGAATTGAGATCACAGGGCATACGAAGTTCTACATTTTGATATTTTTCACTTAGCATGATCTTTTGAGATCATAATTTTAATAGCTGTTTGGTATTCATTAGTACAAATATAACAGCAGGAGTCATGTTAATGGCTGTTGCATTGTGGACTATTCTCTAGTTCTTTATGTTATACCATGAGTATCACTTTTCATTATTTCTATAGGAATACTTCCTGGAAGTGAAATTGGTAAGTCAAAGATGTGAATAATTTTATGACATTTTACCTACATAGTCAATTTTACACTGTAGCCATTCTAGTATGTGCGTAGTGGTATTTCATGGGAAATTTAATTTGTGTTTCTTTAATGAGTAATAATATTAAATATCTTTTCAAGTATTTGTTTGCCATGCATATACATTCTTTGGTGACATATCCATTCATTCTTTGGCCATATGTCTTTCCAATCTTTTGATCATGTTTCTGAGAAGCTTATGACTTTATGATTATTGAATTTATGACTTTGTGATTATTATGACTTTGTTACTATTGAGTTGTGATTGTTGTTTATATAAGAGACACAATTTCTTTGTTTTGCAAGTTTCCTCAAAGCCTATAGTTTGCATTTTCAGTTTTAAAGAGGTTTTGAAGAATAATTATTTTTAATTTTGATCAAGTCAATTTAGGAATTTTAAAATATAATTTATTCTTTTTGTCTTGTAGTTAAGAAATCTCAGCCAAACACAGCATCACTAAGATTTTACAGTTTTTATTTTTAAAATATTTTATAGATTTCAGGATAAGATCTTGATTTTTTTCTAAGATTTATCCCTAAATATAGTCTACTTCTGATACTATACTATATGGCATTTTAAAGTTTCAGATTGCTGGCCAGGCGTGGTGACTCACACCTGTAATCCCAGCACTTTGGGAGGCAGAGGCGGGCGGATCACGAGGTCAGGAGATCGAGGCCATCCTGGCTACCATGGTGAAACCCCGTCTCTACTAAAAATACAAAAAATTAGCCGGGCGTAGTGGCGGGCGCCTGTAGTCCCAGCTACTTGGGAGGCTGAGGCAGGAGAATGGCATGAACCCGGGAGGCGGAGCTTGCAGTGAGCCTAGATTGTGCCACTGCACTCCAGCCTGGGCGACAGAGCGAGACTCCGTCTCAAAAAAAAAAAAAAAAAAAAATTCAGATTGCTTTTGACTGTCTATAGAAAGATAATTGATTTGTGTTAGTTCATCTTGTGCTATGTGAGTGTGCTACACTTATTAGTTCTAGTAGCTTTGTGTCAAATTTTATAGCATTTTTAATGTAGATGATGATGTCATCTGCCAATAAAGGCAGAACTGTTTCTCTATTTCCACTTGGATGTCTTTTTTTTTTTCTTTTTACATTTCTTGCCTTGCTTCCCTGGCTAGAACCTCCAGTACAATGTTGAACAGAAGTAGTGCAAGCGGACATCCTAAATTTGTTTCTCTTCTGGGGAAATCTGTTGTTTTTTACCAATATGCACATATTGATCTTCTTCTAGACTCTATATTCTGCACATTGATCTAGTCATCTATCATTTTGTTAATAACACTGTCTTTATTACCATATACTTAATTGTCTTAAGTAGTGTTTCTTTTTGTCTCCAAATTTGTCTGCTTTTACAAAATTGTTTTGGTTAGTTAATAGCCTATGCATTTTCATTATTTGTTATAGAATCAGCTCGTTAATTTCTATAAATAAAAAGCTGCAATGATTTTCATTGTAATCACATTTAACCTATTGATCAATATGCAATCAACTGACACATTAACTAAAAAAAAGACACTTCTCCATTTCTGTGGGACCCCTTCAATCTCTGTCACCAATATTTGATATTTTTCAGTGTATGGGTCTTAAACATGTTTGGTAAAACTATAGTAAGTTTTACCAAACCTAATATCTTTGTTGCTATTGTAAATGTTGTTTATTATTTCAGTTTCTAGTCAGTTGCTGCTCATCATAATACATAATACATAAATGCATACAATACATTATTGGATATCAATCTTATATCATACAAGATCATTTCTTACCCCATCTATGTGTTCTAGTAATTTTCTGTGGATCCTAGAGGATTTTCTACCTAGATAACCGTGTCATCTTGAATAAAGACAACTTCACATCTTCTTTTAAAATCTAGATGCCTTTCATTATTTTCGTCGGTTTATCAAGCCTCCAGTACATTGTTACTTGTTCTTTATCTTAGAGAAAAAACATTCAGTCTTTTACTATTAAGTGTGATGTTAGCTGTTACTTGTAGGCTTTTTGTAAATGCCTTTATTAGGTTCAGGATGTTCCTTTCTCTCCCTTGTTTGCCGTGACTTTTTTTTTTTAAGGAAATGGATATTGTATTTCTCAAAACTTCTTCTGCATCTATGCAGAAAATAATGATTTTTTTAAAGTCTATTATTGTGATAAATTACATTTGATTTTCATGTGCAAACTAACTCTGCATTCCTTGAATAGACACTACTTCATCATAGTGTATTATTCATTTTATACATTATTGGATGCTACTTGCAAATATTTTGTTAGAAATAATTATATCTATGTTCATGAGAGACATGCGTCCGTAGGATGGAGCCCAAAAATGCCCTCCCAGTTCCAGCCTCTACTGCAGGTTAAACCACTGCCATTTACAAGGAGAGATGGTACGTTTTGAATGTTCTTATTTTCATAAATTCAAAATTCCCTCTTCCCTGCGCCAGCAAATCTCACCCAGTGCAATTCTTTCAATATTAACACTCCTCCAACTTTGCCTGCTATTGAAATGTATCCAATGTCTTCAAATAGTTGTATTGTGTGTGTGTGCACGTGCACACGTGTACACTTAAAGATTTTAACTCTTTGTCCAAGGTTAAAATTATCTTTGTCTTGTACAATTGCACTATTAACAAAAGCAGAATCACTATTTTATTTTATTTTATTTTTTGAGATGGAGTCTTCCACTGTCGCCCAGGCTAGAGTGCAACGGCGCAATCTCAGCTCACTGCAACCTCCACCACCCAGGTCCAAATTATTCTCCTGCCTCAGCCTCCTGAGTAGCTGAGATTACAGGAGCCCACCACCATGCCTGGTTAATTTTGTATTTTTAGTAGAGACAGGGTTTCACCATGTTGGTCAGGCTGGTCTCAAACTCCTGACCTCAGGTGATCTGTCCGACTCGGCCTCCCGAAGTCCTGGGATTACAGGTGTGAGCCACTGCACCCAGCCCAGAACCACTATTTTAAAACAACAAATACTGTTTCTTTTTAGTTTATGGAAAGTTATTCAGTTAAATTTTCTTTTAGATTAGGGTTTCTTCATGGAAAATAAATTTTCTAAAATTAAGGCTAAAGTAGATTAAATAATTTTAGAAGAACCAATTGCCACTTATGAAATCCTTCAAGGAATATAATGACTATTCTTCTAATAATTGGATTCAGTTTGACTTATTTATTTAATATTCACTCTGTTCTCTTTTTCAGGCACTGTGCTAAGTTGGACTTACAGAGATGAATAAGATTTGGCCACATCTTCAAGGAGCTCAGACCTTCATGGACGTACCAAATATATACAGAACTAACTCTACTGCTTATCATAATGAGAGCTGTGCTATGGATATTTGAAAGTTAGAGAGATTTATTTTCAACAGAATAATAAAGTCAACTTTCACAAACTGGTGACAGATGATCTGGGCCTTGCAGACAGGGGAGGACTGACAGATTGAGAAGAGTATTTGGTTAAAAACGGATCATAAACTGGTATAAATATCTAAACAAACTCATGAGAATGAGCAGAGTCAGACACAATAAAATAATTCAAAGATATATCAGATAAACCTGGACCCAAAAGTCATGACTTTTTCTTTTCAGTTAACTCTGAACAATTTACAATAACTTCCTCAATTATTGTTTGTCTCATTTTAACATTTTGTAATAACACCTATGTCTCCATATTGGTATGAAGATTAAATGAAAATACATCTATGTTAGATAGTCCCTAAGTTTCTGTCCCTGATATAAGTCCACCCTCCCCACCATCATGTGATCACACGCAGGTGCACATGCACAGATGTATACATGCATGCCGTTATGGGGACAGTAATTGCAAATATCAATACTGTTATGGTTGTTACTTCAGCCATTGCACAAGTGTAGACCTCTGGATCAACACACATACGTATGTGTATGTGTAACAAATATATGGCTAATAATGCATAGGTTTCATAGCTATACCTTGAAATCAATTTATTAAAGGGATGTGTCCTTCCCATGCTGACTCACCTACTGCGGCCCAAAAGCAACAACGTAAACTGCCCTGGATAAAACATCTGCAGACAAGAGATCTCTAAGCTAAGCTACAGCTTCATCAAGCATGGAGTTATCTCATTTCATAGCTTCACACACACAAAGGCGCGCGCACACACACACACACACACACACAGCTCTCAGCTGGAGACCGTCAGGGAAAACAAGTACCAGTGAGACCTGGGGATCTTCATTTGATTTTGTCTACTGGGTGAGGCTGTGTTGAAAACACTTTGACAGAGGGCTCTTCTCTTGGGGCTCATCAAATATTGCTGGTAGAGGGTTTGCTTGCTTTAAATATTCCTTTCCTCAGGTAACGAAGAATACCATGTAATTTGTAATGATAACTTGGATAATGAATGCACACTGTAGTCAGCCATTACCAGTGGTAATTGGTCTTCCTTTCATCTCCTGTCAAGCAGAGTGGTTAGGATTAGGACCAAAAGGCAGCTATCATCTCTCTCATTTCCTGACTCAGACAAAAGGCAAAAAAAAAAAGGTGCCTGCTTGTGCTGATAGGTGTCTGATCAAAGCGGCTGAAAGCTGTCAGAAGCCAGCCAGCCTCAGCACCTGACTACTCCTTAATGCAGCTTTGCCTTTGATGTACAGGCAGTCCAACCGGGGTTCTATTTATGTAAAAAAAAATAATCAGGATTGTAATAGAACAGGAGAAAGTGTCATTTTCTATTTTGATTCCAGTTTTGCAGTCTGACACCTATAGGAAATGTGGACTAATTCTGTCCAGAGTATGGTGTGTGTGTGTGTGTGTGTGTGTGTGTGTGTGTGTGTGTGTGTAACTCAATAAAATAAAATATCTTTGAAACTTCATCAAATACATTTGGCAGTGAGCAGAAGTTAGATTGCTGGTAGAAAGAAATTATCCTTCTTGGAAAGTAAAAAAAAAATGCTTAAGTAAAATTGCAGCAGTTTTGACATGTGTATTTTATGTTTCAGAAATTCTACAGGTTATAGGTTTATAAATGGAGAACTGGTCTTGGATTTAAATGAATTGGCATCGTATCTCAGACTTCTAGCTTTCTACCCATGTGAATTTAG
Source organism: Homo sapiens (assembly GCF_000001405.40). Lineage (NCBI taxonomy): Eukaryota > Metazoa > Chordata > Mammalia > Primates > Hominidae > Homo > Homo sapiens. The sequence goes on along the minus strand of NC_000002.12, from coordinate 4,628,512 downwards.
GTGCGTACTAATCACATATGTGTTTTAAGTTTATCACTGGCTATATACATGGTTACTTTTGTATATGCCTGTGCATTGAATGAAAATACCTGGCATGTGGTTGTTATAAGCAATAGACAGTTTTTGGCCAGAGAGCCAGGCAGACAAGTGTTAATATCACTTAAGCCCTCTGTGTCTCAAGTTCAAAATTTCTAAAATGAGTGAATATAATATTTGTTTGAATTAAAGTATACAAAGCATGTATCTCAGTGTCTAAGACATTGTAAGACACCAATAAATGTCCAGTATTTCTGTTGTTGTTGGTATTTATTTTTTATTAAGGGATTCTTGAATTAATACACCATCCCTAGGGAATTGCTGCCCTGTTTTCCTCAGCACTGTGAGCTTCTCCACGAACAAGACCGCTGTCTTTTATGTCTGGGATAGTTTGTTGAATGAGTATATGAATAAATAAATGTGTGCAGGAACTGGTGAAATCTTACTTGGGAAACCAGAATGCTACAGGGATGTTTTTGGGTAAAGCTGTATTTGTGTCTTGATTATCATAATTGCTAGTGGTTTATCTGAACTGAGCCTGAGTATATACACACACAAACCCACATATGTAGACACACATTCATATACATAAACCATACATGCTCATGCACCTTCTCCTCCTCCTCTTTTCCCTCTTCCTCTTGGTTTTTCTCCTCCTTCTTCATCATCCTCCTTCTCCTTCTTCTTTCAAAAAGTTGTGTATTCTAAATATTAATGTGAAATCTCACTCCTCGATCTCATCAATATTTTTAAAATAAGGTAAACGCAGTTCAAGAGCCAAATTTAAAAATCCTAAGGTGTATGCAGGTCACAAACTACTCATTCTCTGTGACCTCAGCCTGATTCTAAGATATCGACCTTGATGGAACCAGTGGAGAGTGAGAACAAATAAATGAATGTATTGCCATCTCAAAACCTATCTTCTACACTAGGGAACAAAAACAAGGACTTAGAAACCATTTAAACTTGTCAGGTAATTGCCCCTGTTCAAGACAGTCATAAAATGTAAACAGTGCTTCTTACCCTCATTTCTCCATCATGGAATGGAAAGGGTAGTGGGACACTTGAAGACCCTCCAATTGGCCATCAGCTCTGCTGTTTTCCTTTTTCTTCTGCAAAACAAAGGTGAAGTCATCACGTACTTAGGTCTCCTGGTGACTTTATTTGTGTTGTTTCAGTTACACTTCAATTACTCCAGTTTATCAAACAGTTATTTCTATTGTTCTCTACTTTGTGTGGTATACTTTATAAGATGCGAAAGGTAATAATAAAAGATATGTGACTCTCTAGATCCCCCCAAAGGAAAGGCTCTGAATTTAGTAGAGACCTAACGTGTATGTGTGTGTATGTGTCTACGTGTGTGTGTGTCAGAATAAATATGTGCTATAAAAGTGAGGATAAGTGAATAATATACACCTAAAACAATTCCCCCTGTCATCTGGTAACACAGTCTGCATTTTCTTTGCAAAGTAAGCTCCCGGTGCTGGTTACATTATGTCAACTTAGCTGAGCCCAGGTATCTAGATATTTGGTTAAACATTATTCTGGAGCTCTGCATGGTGGCTCACGCCTGTAATCCCAGCACTTTGGGAGGCCGAGGCGGGTGGAGGTCAGGAGTTCGAGACCAGTTTAGAAAACATGCTGAAACCTGGTCACTACTAAAAGTACAAAAATTAGCTGGGTGTGATGGTGGGCGCCTGTAATCTCAGCCACTTGGGAGGGTGAGGAATGAGAATCACTTGAGACCAGGAGACGGAGTTTGCCATGAGCTTAGATCGCACCACTGCACTCCAGCCTGGGTGACAGAGTGAGACTCTGTCAAAAAACAAACAAACAAACATTATTCTGGATGTTTCTCTGAGAGTGTTTTTGGATGAGATTTACACTTAAATTTGTGGATTTTGAGTAAAGCAAATTTCTCTCCCTAATGTGGTGGGCCTCATCCAGTCAGTTGAGGGCCTGAGTAGAACAAAAGACTAATCTCCGCTGAGCAAAGAGAAAATCTGCCAGGAGCCAGTCTCTGAGCTTCAACTGCAACATCAGCTGTTCCTGCGTCTCCAACCTGCTGGCAGACCCCCCAGTCTCCATAATCACATCAGACTATTCCTAAAAATCTCTCTCTCTCTTTCTCTCTCTGTATGCGCCAGCACACACACACACACACACACACACACACACACCCTCTTGCTTCTGTTCTCTGGACAGCCATGACTGAGGGACTCCATATTTTGAGATCTCGTGAACTGTTGCTGTCTCTCCTGCCCCCTCTCAGCCCACGGAGGGCCTGTGTCTTCCCTGAGGCTTGATCCTTGGTCCCTGGTGTGGACAGAAGTTTCTTTTGTCCCCTGAGTTTCTGAATTTTAAGGCAATGGTGCCTGAAGAATTATTACCTGGCTGCCGGGTGAAAGCCAAATGCAGTGAGAAGAAGGAGCAAAGCCAAACAAGGAGGCAGGGGTAAGAGATGGAGAGAGAAAGGTTTCTTGAGCTCAGATTCCAACAGGGTCTAAAGCCAGCCATCCTCCTGTTTCCCAGTTACGGGAGACAAATATTTCCTTTTTTTGTTTAAGTGTATTTGGGTTTGGTTTCTGTTGCCTTAAATGTTAATAAATAGTGTTAAGGAGGTTTTATAAAGGAAGATACCCTATGCTCAGGAAATTCAAAAAGGAAAAGGGGTATGATGATTAAGATTAAAGGACAGGTCTGTAAACTGGCACCCTACTTAGAGGCTCTCAAACACCACGTTGAATAACTTTTTACATTTTCTGGCCATCGGGAGGCAGAGAGGGACTGGCATCCCAAAGTGACATCATCAGACTCATGGTTCAGAAAGCTTAAATTTGAGGCAATCGAGAGATTATTTGGAGGAGAAAGACCAAAGTGACTCTTTGTAACTAGTTTAAGTTTTCCTTAATTGTTTTTGCAAAGATAGGACATTTACAGGTGAAAGTCTAAATCATGCAAAATTGATGTCAGAATTTTCTTGAAACTTTCTTAGAGTATACTCCCTAGAATTCTACTGGTTTTCACCCCACCCCAAACCCCAGGGTCAAGAAGCTCTGTTTTGAACCCACCGTTCCCTTTTCCTACCTTCCCATTCTTTTCTTCTAAAGGAGTCCATACCATTGTCTACCTACCTATCTATCCATCAATCTTTCTATCCATCCATCCATCTATCCATCCACCCAACCATCCATCTACATATATGCAAATTATACACACACACACACACACAGAGAGAGGAAAGAGAGAGAGAGAGAAAGAGCGAGAGAGAGAGAGAACAGTTTTGCTTACAAATAGCCCCTAGCTTTCAATTAACTCATTCTCACTAGAGATATTTCAATCAATCTAATTGTTTGGGTAATTATTTCAGAATTAATTATTTTGTCTAATTTAATACTAATATCTTGAGAAGTTTTTTTTTAAAGAATACCTCATGAAACATAAATTATTCTAGAGAAAAAAAGTACTAGGCTGTTATCTCAGTTACTAAATTTCCATTGGTGTTTTATAACTAATAAAGCCTGATCTGCATATCCAAAAAAAAACCTTAGTTTTGGAGATATTTACCATGACAACTTATTTGCTAGCATAATTTAGTTCACAAAAAGAAATCCTTATATTTGATTATCATGATGATCATGTGAGGAGGGTATCGTCGTAATCCCTGTGTGTAGATGAAGTCACTAAAGCTCAGAGCAATGACACAGCTTGTCTGAAAATACATAGCCAAAGAACTCTAGAGCAAGGACTTGAACCCACGTCTGATTCCCCATCTCTTTCCATTGTGCATTGCTCAGTGAAATCGATGCAAAGAATTATTGATTTTCTAGTAAAAGAATGTCACTCATACGTTTCAATATGCTGTCATAATGCCAAGGGGACTGCTACTATCATGTTAGATGGAAATTGTACTTCCTTTCATTCTATTTACTCTTCCAGAAACCAGAGGAAGTGCATTCTTAGACAAGGCTGAACCAAGCTCAGAGTAAGGCAAATGATTATGTTTGGAAGGACGAAACTCCTCAGATCTTTGTAGATTTTTGAATGAGGCATACAAGATACACGGAAAGACTTAATCCTTGGACAAAAATCCTGTGATACACAGAGGCTGAATAAAATGAGATAAAGGGAAAAATGCACATTCATTGCCAAGGTTTGGGATTTGGGCATGGCTAAGGAAGAAGAGTTTAAAGTCTGCATAGCTGAGCACAGATTCTCAACTAAGCTAGGATGCTCAAACACCGATCTATTCAAATGTTTCCTCCATTCCCACCTATGAAGAAATGAATAACATTCATAAATGTAAATGATTTAGAAATTTACTTAATTAACACTTGTGAAAAAACATCATGATTCCTCAAAGTAGTGTACCTGAAACCTAGGAAGTAAACATCAAGATCAACAGGAAAGAAAATGTACTAGCTTGAAACGGAGGCTTCAAGAGGAGCTACTTTACCTAAACAAATTTATTGTGATTTTATTTGTGTTTATAGATGTATAAGTACATACACAAATAAAGTCCATTAAAGAAATTTTTTCTTATGTTTCATTAATTCTTCCTTTTACAGTTTTTGAAGAGCATACTCTTTTTCTCACAAGAACAAGTAAGCTGTGGTCTCCAGCCAGATAAATTCTTCTAAGTAGTATATAAAATGCAAGTCAGTAAAGGTAGAATTAATAGAATTTGAATTTTGCAACCAAACAAGAGCAAAGTCTTGCATAATTTTTTTCAGCTTATTAACTCTTCTTCTTCTGGGATTTCTTCTCGTACACTACTGGGCTTCTTTCCCTATGAAATAGGTCTTTGGAAATCCAAATAATCCATCCTTCCTTTAGGACTTTAAAAAGTAAAGCATCTCAAGTATTATATAAGATCTTAAAGACCTCCCCACTCTGGTCCTCAGTTTTCTCATCTATAAAACAAGAATCTTACACTAAATAATCTCTAAGGTACCTTCTAACTTGAACATTCTACATTTACGGAACTTACCATCATCCCTCTTCTCACTTCCTTCCATCTCCTCCCCTCGCAATCTCCCCAACCCCTTCCCTCTGCCAGGCTCCATCCAGTTAATCATTACCCTAACTTCATATAAGTGGAAAACAGCTGAGCCATATTCCACTTTGGATTCATGTGGTTTACTGGTGATTCTTTCTGAAAAAAACATCCTGTGGGGTGCTACACATATCAACTACTAGACACATCCAAAAACATCATCTGCCTGCAGGTTTTTTTTTTTATTTCAATGATATATTTTAGAGACAATACATAATTTACAGGTCTAGTTCTATCTTATCTCCTGGGCCTAGAGCAATTTGCAATAATGGGCATTAATAAGTTGACCCTATGATACCAAAAATTCTGTACTGTGTTATCACAATCAAGAAAAGCATTTTGCTTGATTTGAAATTAGTACATAATGTTGGGTTTTTATTCTCTAGAGGTATACTAGATACAGTCAACCTGATAATATTCATCCAGCCTCACGACAGGCTTTCTAAATGATCACTGAATCCAATTCAGTGATATCAGTGATACACAAAAGCCATGTTTAATCTACTGGGAAGACTCCAAAACCAAGGAGATTCAAGTGGTCTGCCTACACACTGAAGAAAAATGTGGCTTCCTTTCCCTGCTGGAAACTTGCCTGTTTTGCTTGTCTTCCCAGTGCCCATCTCTTTCTGGGGGGAAAGCCCTGCGGATTTCTCTCTGAAAACTACCTCTCCACTTTGCAAAGGTTTCGGTGACCCTGCCTCTTAGTGTATTTTGGCTGCTGTAAAAAAATGTCATAAATGAGGCACCTTATACACAACAGAAATTTGCTTCTCATAATTCTGGGGGCTGGGAAGTCCAAGGTCAAGGAGCCAGTCGATGCAGAGTCTGGTGAGAGGCCACCTTCTGGATAATTGAGGCAATTTCTTTCTATGAACTCATGTGGTGGAAGAAGTGAAGGGTCTCTCTCAGGTCTCTTTTAGAAGGGCACTGATCCATTTATGGGGAGGAGACCCTTTAATCTTGTAACCATTTAATCAGCTCCCAAAGGCTGTACTTCCTAATAACATCACATCAGTGACTACATTTTGACCTGTGAATCTGGGGGAGAGACAAACACTCAGGTCACAGTGGCTCAGGATTCTTTTCGTGCCACTTCACCATGTGGAAACTTCAGTGGCTGGTGGCTCCTGTCCCCAAGTTTCACTTGTGACCACTGAGCTGGCTCTGCCGACTTGCCTGGCAGGCTGTTCTTGGCTCATGCTATTGGCCCAGATTCCACTCTCACCTTGGATGAGCCAGGTGCAGAGTGGTGAGGGGTGTGTAAGGAAGTGAGCGTGGGGTCTGGCCATAGTGCACAGCCAGACACACTGGCTGCTGCAATGGGGCAAGCAGCTCCAGCCACCAGCATAGGTGTGAGCCCTGTGCAAGGTTGTGGCTGGACCAGGCATGCCTCAAGCATCTTCTGCTTTGGGTAGTGGCATCTGGACAAAGGGGACATAGTGGCACCCAAAAACCTGAGATGTCAGCAACTGCAGAACCCCAAGGGGGTGTTACACTAGGTCACAATTCTGGCTCGGGGAGACCTGAGGTCTGGGCCCAGAAGGGTCAGAGGTCTTCTTTCATAGTCTGGAGAATGGGAGTGTGTCACTGCCCACAGCTGGACAGGCTGGCCAGGAATGTGTATCAGTTTGTTCATGTTATGGCTCATTTGGTCCCGCCACCCTGCTTAGGCCCGCATCTCCTGGCGGATTATTCCCAAGCAATAATTTATTTCTATTTCGTGTTAAATATTTCATGAGAAGAGCATAGTGAAAACCTTGGGGCAAAGCAGACAGACTTCAAACGTAAGCCCTCCTGAGAGTGGGGTAGTGACTGTCTGTAGGCAGGATTGTAAGCACTGATATATACTTTTTTAATTTTATTATTATTGTACTTTAAGTTTTAGGGTACATGTGCACAATGTGCAGGTTAGTTACATGTGTATACATGTGCCATGTTGGTGTGCTGCACCCATTAACTCGTCATTTAGCATTAGGTATATCTCCTAATGCTATCCCTCCCCCCTCCCCCCACCCCACAACAGTCCCCGGTGTGTGATGTTCCCCTTCCTGTGTCCATGTGTTCTCATTGTTCAATTCCCACCTATGAGTGAGAACATGCAGTGTTTGGTTTTTTGTCCTTGGGATAGTTTGCTGAGAATGATGGTTTCCAGTTTCATCCAAGTCCCTACAAAGGACATGAACTCATCATTTTTTATGGCTGCATAGTATTCCATGGTGTATATGTGCCACATTTTCTTAATCCAGTCTATCGTTGTTGGACATTTAGGTTGGTTCCAAGTCTTTGCTATTGTGAATAGTGCCGCAATAAACATATGTGTGCATGTGTCTTTATAGCAGCATGATATTAAATACCATGAAAATGTACATAGTTGTTTTAGTGGATATCCCCAAAAATATAATGTGGTACCAATTCCCAAAGTCTAGATCCCTGGAAATTTGAATAGGATGCTTTACAATAACTAGATAGGATCTTTTATCTTAAGAAATTGTATAGAAAATATTTGTTGAAAGATATACATTCAGTGAACAGAATAAAATCAAGAACACTTGGTGCTTTGAAAACCATGTCACGGCTGGGCGCGGTGGCTCACGCCTGTAATCCCAGCACTTTGGGAGGCTGATGAGGGCAGATCACGAGGTCAGAAGATCGAGACCATCCTGGCTAACATGGTGAAACCCCATCTCTACTAAAAATACAAAAAAATTAGCCGGACATGATGGCGGGCACCTGTAGTCCCGGCTACTCGGGAGGCTGAGGCAGGAGAATGGCTTGAACCCGGGAGGCGGAGCTTGCAGTGAGCCGAGATCGCGCCATTGCACTCCAGGCTGGGAGACAGAGCGAGACTCTGTCTCAAAAAAAAAAAAAAGAAAGAAAAGAAAAGAAAATCATGTCATAACTCTCTGCCTCAAGTCTCTCCTTTTAGAAAACGAACGTGTATGTAGAGAATCTGCTAGATTTATCGTTATTTTGCTGAAGGAATGGTCTGTAGATACATATTTATTTCTGGAGGCATCGAATGGATATTGTGGCTCTCTGATGCATACAGGAAATCCAATGTCCTTATTATACAGGTGTTACAAAGTTAACAAAATGCACATGAGAAGCCATTTAAGGGTTTGTTGGCATAACACAGTTTTAAAGATATTTAGAGTTTGGGTTTTTGTTATTATTTATATATTGCTTGCCTTGGAGAAAAGGTGTGTGTTAAAACAGGATTTTTGTTTGTTGCATTACTTAACAAATGTGGCCATTTTAATTGTACTAGAAAACCATGTTTTAGAAGAAATTATTGGCAATTATGTTGACAAATAAAAATCTTCCATTAATTATTAATTAATAATTTGCTTATTTGTTTGTTCATTCAACCGATATTTATTGAGCATATGCTCTCTTGGCTCTGGGGTCATGGTGGTAAAACAAACAATCCAAGTCCAAGGCACGCTGACGTCCAAATTCCAATAAACAGAGACTAAAACCAGCAGTCAACTGTGCTTCGAAAATTTGAGTTTTATTTAAACGAATCATGTCGTTTCTACCACCAGAGTGTCTTCCCCATCTCTAAGATTATCCCTGTCTTTTACTCCAGAACTCCAGGCATTATGCACATGTAATAGCCATGTGCATATTTAAACCCGTACTCACCGGTAATAGTGAACAACCTGAATCAGTTCCCTGCACTGAACATAGTTGAATGAGAGGTTGTCAGGATTAAAGACGGTGAATATGACTATGTCCAGTGCAAGCACAGGTGTGCAGTGAGCTTCATCATTAGTAGCCATTCTTAATTGTGACCGTTAGTAGACATCATATGGATGTCTTAGAATCAAAGAATAATAGGAAACAGTGGTGTGACTGCCAGAATATTTTAAGTGACCCTGACCCTAAATAGTCTATGCCGCAAGAACAAAGGTGAGTTTAAGTATAATTATTAGACTCTATTTTTAATTTGCTTTCCGTCTGAAGGAACACTATTCAGTGTATCTCTTCTTCTCTCATAAAAAGGTAATGACTCAGTTTATTGCATTCATAATAATATCTTACGTTTATTTAATGTCTTTGCTCCCTAGCCAAGAAATTCAGAAATTAGATTGAGCATTTCTCCAAATAAAGATATTTTTACTACTCTTAACAGATAGTTTGTGCTTGTTCTTTCTAATGTAGCTCAGCCACATGACTTCTACAATTCTATCCTACAGTTTAAAGGACAATAGGGAATTTAGCATCAGGATAATCTACCCCTCCTTCTGCGCATCATGTGGATTCACGGACGGTGTCGCGAATTGGCTCAGAGCCCCAAAAGCAGCGGGTCTGAGTCACTGCTTTCAGTGCTGGGAGATAGAACTAACTCTAAATACTTTCAGTAATGACAGGTCACATGCGTACGTATGAAACAAATTCTATGTGTGTAGGATTGTGCTAGGCACCTGGAAAAGGGATTCGTGGTAAATAGAGATCATTACATGTGCTGTCAAACTGCTGAGTCATCATCTCAGTCCCACTCAAAACATCATACCCTTTCTTGCCTAAAATGTCTCAGTGGTTTTCTGTACTCCTCGCTGCCATGCTCCTGAGCCAGTGACCCACTTGCCACACTCACTGCTGTTTCTCTTGGCCACTCCTCTCTCTTGTTTCTCTTTCCGAGGTTGCTCTCTCTTCTACTTTCCCTGAAGAACTTCTACTCCTCCTTCATCAGCCACATTCAAACCTCCAATTCGTATCTCTTCTGACTCACAGAAAAAATAATATACTTCCTCATCTGTGCACCAGTGTGCCCTGCACACCATTCTTATATAGATGGTAAATGATAAACAATAAAGGTTTTCTCTGTGCCTCTCTCTCTCTCACTTCGTTTTTTTAAATCTAGCACCTAAGCAGTGCCCATTTGAGCTCTGTTATATCAATAAAGAGCCTAAAGCCGAGTTTATAAATTAACTTCATTTATGACACAAGCAGGAAACAGCATGAATTGGAAATGGCCTCCACTGGGCCCTCATAACACAAGAAGAATGGCATCCTTGATTTCCTAGTACAGGGCTTGGTAAACTTTTTCTGTAAAGGGCAGGTGTAAATACTTCAGGCTTTGTGGTTCCTATGGCATCTGTTGCAGCTGCTCAACCCTGCTGTTGTAGTGTGAAAGCACCAAAGAAAACGCTATTTACAAAACGATAATTGTAATAAAACAAAGAGGTTGAGGGCCTTAGTCTACTTAGTCTCCCTCCCTTTCTGGAAGGAGTTTAGAAGAGAACATACTTAACCTCCAGAAAACAATCAAAGCATATCTATAACATCCTTGTGGAACTTCTTCAGCCTTGCTGGCACAATACCATGTCTTGCAAAGGGAAAAGAGAAGCAGGAAGAGTGAGACGGACAAATGAACATGCCAGAATGGCAGCGGGGTGCCAAGCCCTGACGCAGACTCAGTGCAGACCTTAGCCTGGGCCAGCGGATCCAGCTTGGCCATCCCTGTAGGCAGTAAAAGTCTACAGGAATGATGTGTATCTGACATATTGTTTGGATGTCATTAACTACCAGCAGTGTGGACCTTAGACGAGGCTCTTTACCTCTCTGGACCTCGTTTTCTTCATCTGTGAATTGAAAATGGCCATAAGTACTTCAAGTCAGACTGCGAGAATTATTAAGATGGTTCATGACATGTAGCAGCCAGTCCTCCACACTACTTCCCTTCTGCCTCTCACCCACAGATTGATACGGGATAAAGGGCTTTGCAGCAAATGAATGACCACTTGAGGTCATATATGAACATGACTTCTAGGCAGCCAACCTTCTCAGACGGAGTTTAATGTGAACCTCCCACATGAAATGGGGCATTTGTTTTCAGGGATGAAAACAGCTATTCTACAAATTCGGTGGAATTAATTTTGAGCAAGACAACTGCTATGGTCTGCATATTGGTGCCCTCCAAAATTCATATGTTAATATGAGTATGTTTAACATCCAATGAGATAGTATGAAGAGGCGGGTTCTTTGGGAAGTGATTAAGTCATGAATGAGATTAGTGCCCTTATCAAAAGGAGAGAGTTTCTCTTCTATTGAAGATGCAGCAAGAAGGCACCTTCTTTGAAGCAAAGAAAGCCAGCTCTCACCAACACTGAATCTGTTGGCACCTTGATATTTTATTTTCTAGCCTCCAGGACTGTGAGCAATAAATTTGTGCTGTTTATAAGTTACCCAGTCTAATATATTTTTTATAACAGTCTAAATGGATTAGGACAACAACATAAAGTTGTCTCTGGAAATATAACATTGAACAGTGTCTCTACTTTCACTTTGGTAGGAAATATTGACAAGTTAATAACTTGTATTCTAAAAAACATACTTTTTTGAAGTTACAAACAACGTGGATTATAAAGCAAATGCAAAATAGTCAAATTAATTTTGAGTGGAGAGAATTGAGAACGAATATGCAAGGTTATACTAGCAGTATGATTTTAAAAGACTACATGTCTGAAAAGCAATGGGATTTTCTGAATTCTTCTCATGTTTACAGCCCCTTTCTGAATAATCCCTTCCAAACAGCAATCATAGGTTTTCCCTGGGACTCCACCGCCTTACTGTAGCTGGCTGAATTACGGGTATATGTTTGATTCTCATAAAAATATCTATTGGCTCATTAGCAGAGAATGGGGGGGTCTCGGAATTGCATCTTCCACCAATAAGAGGCCAAAAACCTAAAAAATGATTGCCAAAATACATCAAAAGCCAACTCTGAGAATAATTGCACTGGATAACAAAAGAGAAGCATTATCCAGCTGCTAATAATCAGAGCAAGAAGAAACTGATCCTGTTTGTCGTGGGGGCACCAGAATGCGCAGGAGCTGAGAGTTTCTCCTTAGGAGAAAATTATTAGGATTATCAGGGAGTCAGTACAAACACCAGATGAGTACACGGAGCTGCAGCTGAATCCTGAACAGCTCTGAATCACACTCCAGCACTGGACAGCCTGGCTGTGCAGTCTTTGCACTTACATCCTCTTGTGATACCTGCAGGGTATTGAGGTATCCTGACCAGGTTTGGATGCTCTGTCATCTCATAGAGCCTAACTATGGAACCAGGAGAGAGGAAGGATACCAAAGAGTAATAGCGTGCATGAGCAGCAAAAGAAACTACCATCAGAGTGAACAGGCAACCTACAGAATGGGAGAAAATTTTTCCAATGTACTCATCTGACAAAGGGCTAATATCCAGAATCTACAAAGAACTCAAATTTACAAGAAAAAAACAAAACAACCTCATCAAAAAGTGGACAAAGGATATGAACAGACACTTCTCAAAAGAAGACATTTATGCAGCCAACAGACACATGAAAAAATGTTCATCATCATTGGCCATCAGAGAAATGCAAATCAAAACCACAATGAGATACCATCTCACACCAGTCAGAATAGCGATCATTAAAAAGTCAGGAAACAACAGGTGCTGGAGAGGATGTGGAGAAATAGGAACACTTTTACACTGTTGGTGGGACTGCAAACTAGTTCAGCCATTGTGGAAGACAGTGTGGCGATTCCTCAAGGATCTAGAACTAGAAATACCATTTGACCCAGCCATCCCATTACTGGGTATATACCCAAAGGATTATAAATCATGCTGCTATAAAGGCACATGCACACGTATGTTTATTGCGGCACTATTCACAATAGCAAAGACTTGGAACCAACCCAAATGTCCATGATAGACTGGATTAAGAAAATGTGGCACATATGCACCATGGAATACTATGCAGCCATTAAAAAGGATGAGTTCATGTCCTTTGTAGGGACATGGATGAAGCTAGAAACCATCATTCTCAGCAACTATCACAAGGACAAAAAACCAAACCCCGCATGTTCTCACTCATAGGTGGGAATTGAACAATAAGACACTTGGACACAGGAAGGGAAGCATCACACACCAGGGCCTGTTGTGGGGTGGGGGGCGGAGAGAGGGATAGCATTAGGAGATACATCTAATGTAAATGATGAGTTAATGGGTGCAGCACACCAACATGGCACATGTATACATATGTAACAAACCTGCATGTTGTGCACATGTACCCTAGAACTTATATATATATTAAAAAAAAACATTAGGTGGAAAAAAAAATGTGTGCATGGGTAGACCACAATTACAAAAGATTCCAAATGACAGATTTGCAGTCTCGTCCTTTATCCTGTAGAGTAATGGGAACCCAGTGTTGTTTAAACAAAGGAGAGACAAACTTGAGGAAACATAATTTGGGAAGAAGATGATGGCTTGTGGAATATAGGCAGGAAGGAGAAGGAGGAGTTTTTCTAGCATGGCCAATGACAAGAGTCTAAACTTAGGCAGAGCGGTGTCAAGGAAAAAAAGCCAAATGGTAGCTCCCTCTGGCAATACCTGTACAAAACAAGTTCCAGATCATTGCCTTTAAGAATCTGACCAGAAGTAGTTTGCTGTTTTCTTTTATCATTTTCCCCAGTAAATATTTGTTGTTTTTTTGAGACAGAGTCTCACTTTGTCACCCAGGACGAAATGCAGTGGTGCGATCTCAGCTCACTGCAGCCTCGACCTCCTGGGCTCGGGTGATCCCCCCACCTCAGCCTTGGAATTCGCTGGGATTACAGGTATGTACCACCACACTGGCTAATTTTTGTATTTTTAATAGAGACAGGGTTTTACCATGTTGCCCAGGCTGGTGTCCAACTCCTGAGATCAAGCAATCTACCCGCCTCGGCCTTCCAAAGTTGTGGGATTACAGGCATGAGCCACCGTGCTCGGTCCCAGTGACCATTTTTATTGAAGTAAAATATCCAAACAAAAAGTCCATAAATCATATGTATAGCTTAATAAATTTTCAGTTGCATGATTACCACCCATGTAAATAACGTTATCAGTTAGGCAGAAGTGTTATATGAGGTCCTCCTGGTCATTACTGTTTTCAAAATTAATGAATGATTTCTAAAAATACAGATTAACTTCATGAAATGAACTCATTCAGTATGTACACTTTTGTGTCTGACTTCCTTTGCTCAACATGGTGGTTTAGGAGATTCATTCCTATGGTTTACTAACATATGCCATGCTCCCTTCACTGTCATTACTGTACAAGAATACAAGCAATGAGTACATCAGAAAATATTCATTCAAAGGTTGATCAACATGCGAGCTGTTTCCAGTGCTGGGCTATATGAACAAGATAGTAGGAGCAATATAATAACAGGAGCATTCAGTAACATATATTTGGAGACAGATATATATACACATTTTGTAGAATAAGTGTATGTTCTGCTTCTGTCAATACTAGGAAATACAGTTCTTAACTGTTTATACACAGTTTCTCTCCCACCTCTAGTTTGTAGAATTCCAGTGGTTTCACATTCTTATCAATATATGATATTCCCCATCATTATAGCTGTAGCCAGCCTGAGTGTCACTCATTTTAAATTTTGCAGTGCTTTATTTTCAGATTTTCTTTCTTTGCTTTTCTCCTTTCTTCTTACCTTCTTTCCTATTTTCCTGTTTCCTTCCATGAAATGCAGCTAGTTTTCATGAAACACTTGCCAACTTTTCTTCCAATTCTATTAGGTTGACTGATTTATGGCATTATTCTTATAATCTAGATATAAGTCTTTTGTTAGATATGTAAATCTAGTCTTTGGCTAGCATTTTACTCTGCTAATGATGTCCTTTGAAAAAATAAATAAATACACATTTAATTTTAATTTAATTCAAAGGATTTATCTTTCCTTAACGTTTACTGCTTTTTCAGTGTCCTGTGTAATAAATATTTGCCCACCCTAATGTCATGAAAATATTCTCTGATATTAACTTCTAGAAGCTATATTGTTTTACTTTTTCACATTTGAATGTACAATCCACTATATTTTAATCTTGTGCGTGGTAAGAGTGAGAAATAAAAATAAAATCTCCAACTGACAGAATGGACCCCCTCTTTGTCAAAGGGACCCTAGAGTAACCTTGAAAACTGAGCTCCCAGCCATAACAAGATGGCAAGTCAGGTGCACCTGGTTATACCCCCTCCCTCCCTAACTATGATTACACTTGCCTTGTGCCCTCACCCCTGCCCCCATCCCTAAATTCATGCAGTGAAGCCCTAACCCAAAATATGACTGTATTTGAAGACAGGGCTTTTAGGAGGGCGTATTAAGATTAAGTGGGGTTATAAGGGTGGGGCTCTAATCTGATAGAATTGCTAGGTTTATAAGAAAAATAAATTGATCTCTCTGTCTCTTCCTCTCTCACTCCCTTTATGTATGTCATGCGAGAACACAGAGAGAAGGCAGCCTTCTGTAAGCCAGAAAGAGGGACTGAACCTACTGGCACCTTCATCTCGGACTTCTCAGCCTCCAGAATGGCAAGAAACACTTTTTTCTATGTTTCAGCCACTGAATCTATCACATTTTATTATGGGATCTGTGATGGTTAATACTGAGTGTCAACTTGATTGGATTGAAAAATGCAAAGTATTGATCCTGGGTGTGTCTGTGAGGGTGTTGTTAAAGGAGATTAACATTTGAGTCAGTGGGCTGGAAAAGGCTGACCCACCCTCGAACTGGGTGGGCATCACCTAATCAGCTGCTAGTGCAGCTAGACTATAAAGTAGACAAAAAAACGTGAAAAGACTGGACTGACCCAGCCTCCCAACCCACATTTTTCTCTGGTGCTGGATGCTTCCTGTCCTCAAACATCGGACTCCAAGTTCTTCAGTTTTGGGATTTGGACTGGCTCTCTTTGCTCCTCAGCTTGCAGACAGCCTATTGTGGGATCTTGTGATCATGTGAGTTAATACTTAATAAACTCATATATATATATATATATATATATATATATAGGCAATAAAGTCAGATTTCTTAGATTTTATATATATATAAACTCATATATGTGTGTGTGTGTGTGTGTATATATATATCTTCTATTGGTTCTGTCCTTCTAGAAAACTCTGACTAATACAGCATCTCATGTAGACTAATACACTCTTCAAGAACCAATATTACACTATCTTAATTAGGGGGGCTTTGTAACAATCCTTAAAATTTGGTGGTTCGAATCCTTCCACACTGTTATTTTTTTTCTCAATATTGTCTTGGGTATCTTTAGCATGTTTTATTTTCACATACATTTTAGCAAAGTCGTTTAAAATCTCCATCTAAAAACCTGATGAGATTTCAATTAGACTTGGATTGACTTTGTGGATCACAACTCAAACATTTGCGTGATTATTTTTGCTTGAGTCTATCAGTACACTTTAGAATGCTGCAGAAGTGTTTTTTGAATACTCCCAGTTTGGTAAACAAATGGTAAAAAAGATGAGCTGTTCAGGTTCAAAATTTAATAAAATTAATAATGTTTACATAAAGTATCTTCTTAAGTGAAACATATTTTTCTCCCTTTCTGTGAGGACATGGTAGCTGAGATTGCAATGACTCCCAGTGCATTTCCGTGCCACCAGTCTTGATTTGTTCTAAGGCCTCTGCAGTTTTACCCACTACTGATTTGGCCCCATCAGTACAAATGTCACCACAGTGAAAAAGTCACATTTTATATTCAAGTTATTAGAAAATATTTTTGACTTCTTGGACATGCTGAGTGGAACTCAGGTCTTCCAGTGACCTGCAGATCAACATTGGAAAACTGCTGTTCTATAGCAATGCCGTGTGGTAACCAAATGCATGGGTAATAAAGTCAGATTTCTTAGGTTTTTTTTTTTTGTTTTTTTTTTTTTTTTTTTTTTTTGAGACAGAGTCTCACTCTGTCGCCCAGGCTGGAGTGCAGTGGCGCCATCTCGGCTCACTGCAAGCTCCGCCTCCCGGGTTCATGCCATTCTCCTGCCTCAGCCTCCTGAGTAGCTGGGACTACAGGCGCCCGCCACCACACCCCGCAAATTTTTTGTATTTTTAGTAGAGATGGCGTTTCACCGTGTTAGCCAGGATGGTCTCCATCTCCTGACCTTGTGATCCGCCCGCCTCGGCCTCCAAAAGTGCTGGGATTACAGGCATGAGCCACTGTGCCTGGCCAGATTTTATTCTTAGATTCAAATTACATAGATACTGTAAATCAAAAATAAAATCCTAAGCTCTGCCCACCCCCACAAAAGACTGTATGGGACCCTTCCCTTGCCAAAGGGACTCAGGCAAACCTGAAAAACTAGTTCAGGCCAACATGGGAAGAGGGAATGGTCAGACAAGCCTCATCATACTCTCCTCCTTTGGAGTTCAAACCAGCACTAATATTAATATGGAGATCCTAAGACTGACAGGACAGACTCTTTGTAGCAGTAAGTTACCAACTCCAACCTGACTCTGGTATAACATCACATGAAAGATAAGGGGCCCTGAAAGGAAATCAACGTATTTTTACCCCAAAATGTATTTCTCTGGACATAGTTTGAAGTGGCCCTGCAAAGCTGTCTCTTATGAAAACAGTTTGTATTCTGTGGAGAATCACCTTCCCTCACTAGGTCTCTCCAGAGAGTCTGACACCTTTGATAAGAGACATTCACATCTTTTCTCTCTGAAGCCAGCTACCTGAAGGCTTCATCTACAAGACAAAAGCCTTGGCTTCCACAACCCTCCTCTTACTGTAACTCAAGCTGATTTCAACTCTTCAGGCAGAGCTTAAACCTTTCAACCAACTGCCAGTCACGAATGTTTAAATCCACCTATGACCAGTAAGCCCCGCCTTCGAGATATCCCACTTTTTCAAGTCAAACAAATGTATACCTGACATGTATCAATTTATGTCTTTGGCTGTAATGTTTGTCTCTCTAAAATGTATAAATCCAAGCTGTAACCAACCACCTTGGGCACAAGTTCTCAGGACCTCCTGAGGCTGTGTTACAGGTCATTATCCTTAACCTTGGCAAAATAAACTTTTAACTTGATTGAGACCCGTTTCAGATACTTTTTGATTTAAAATACAAAACGTATCTTCTCAAAATAATAGTCCTCTGCCTACTCTCAAATACTTCATATTTAATTTTTTCATGGGACCTAATGGCTGAACATACTATGGTTAATTATAAAGCTTGAAGAGCACATAAGCCTAAGAGTGGGAACAAGGTGACATACATTTTCTAAGGTATAAATGGTTCCTGACAAATTTTTTCTTTCTTCTTTTTATTTTTTCTTTTGAAAGGAGATTTTACAATGTAATGTGACAAAGAATGATAAATAGTATAAGTGTGAAAATTACTAATTCAAAATCTAAGCGGTTGGAACTTTAAATTATTTTGAGCCTTAAAGGAGTGTGATTATAGGGCCTACGTCATGTGATAGGCAGCTGTAACCTAGGCAGCTGTAATCTTTGTTTCTCTGCTTATAGATTAGCCTTCTTCCTCATCTACATTGCTTTATAAAATGTGATAAATGACTAAAGGGTTCTAGGGAAGACTCCTTCCCTCCCACTATTGATCTTCATTATATATTAACTTCCCTTCTACCTCTTACAAAACGGCTTTATGTCTACCACATTTTCTAAGATGAAATGATAAATATTACATTTTTAAATTGGAAAGGAAAGTTGTATGAAAAACAAACTGTAACTAATTAAATTATTATAACTCATAAATCAGAATTATATGGAAAATGTTGTAATCCTGTTAAATTTCTTGGTTTTCTTCCTATATATAAGCAAGACCTTAACTTTTAACTTTGGAGCACTGACCCCATTTCTCTGGAGTTTGTGTTTCCCAGATGACCATTTCCACCCAGCTTTTTGCTTGAACAAGCTTTTAAAAACTGGATTCTGATCCCTTCGATTATTTTAGGTTGATATAAACAACCCCAAAGACAAGTTTTGCTATTTTGAGGGTATTGTCTGAAGCCATGTGTGCTAGCATACACATGAGGAATCCAGACATATAGATAATTATTTTTCCTCCAAGCAAATTTTTCCAGATTCAAAAGAAACAGTCTGCTTTGTAATATCAAACCATTGACCCAATCAATTAACATATAGTTGTCTTCCCAGCACAATGTAACTCACATCTGCTAGCTGAAGCCAGGGTAGAAGACATAATCAGATTAACCCTAAATTTAGGAAGTATCTAATATGTGCATTCTGATAGAAGCTAAGATTACAGAGGTAAACAACACATCTTTGCCTTTTTGGCATTAAGTATATGTTGGATCTTTGACCCCTTTCTTGACATATAGCTCACAAGACCTTTGGATCGCCAGAGAGATGAGTTTCTTTTATAAGCTAATTAAATGACTGGTGGCTGGGGCCCCTCTCTAGCTTCAGGATAAGCACTGGTCACTGGAAGAAACAAGGCTTGAGACTTTCAGTCCCACCTTCAAACTCCAGGGAGGGGAGAGAGGTTGAGATGAAGTTGGTCGCTCATGGCCAATAATTTAATCAGTCACGCCTACATATTGGAGCCTTCATAAAACCCAACTGGGTTCCAGAGGTGCTCAGTTTCAGGAAACATGGAGGTTCCTGGATGGTGATGATCCTGGGGAGGGTATGGAAAATCAACACCCTTCCCCCATGCTTCACCTTGTGCATTTCTTCCATCTGGCTGTTCATCCGTGTCATTTGTAACATCCTTTATAATAAATTGGTAAATGTAAGTTTTATCTTGAGCTCTGCAAGCTACTCAAGCAAATTTTAAAAACCTGATTAGGGGATTGTGGGAACCCTAATTTATAACTAGTTAGTCAGAAGCATAAGCCATAACCTAGGCTTGCAACCCCAATCTTCAGGGGGACATTCAGTGGGGACAGTCTTGTGGGACTGAGCCCCCGACTTATGGGAATCTGACACTATATCTAGGTAGACAGTGTCGGAATTAAATTGAATTAGAATTAACTGCTAGGCATGTAGGGAGAAATCCCTACAATCTGGTATCAGAAGTATTGTGCTGTTTTGAGAGAAGAGAGTAGGAAAAAGTACTCTTTTTTTTTCTGTATCACACAGCCATAGTAAAGCTACAGCTTAGTAGCCAAGACTGATAATAAAATATTTACAAAAGAATGTTATAAGTGTTTAAATTAAGAAATAAAATGTCTTCTAACATTCTTCCTCAGAAGAGGAGCACTGATTTGTAAATAAAATACTTGGGTTCAAAACTTAATCCCACTATTTATTACTTGTGACATTTTAGATTAAGTTGTGTATTGGAATTACTTAATCTAAAAATAAAGCTATTATAGTTTTGCTTAGTTACATTCTTAAAACTCCCAATCATAAACAAGAAATACATGTAATTAAAATTTAGATAATAATATTTAAGACGGTTGTTATAAAGAACAACTATATTACATAAAATATTAAATTATACATTATTAGATAAATACATTTTTATTATGTCAATCAGGATTTAGATTTATCACTATTACCTACTCAAAAATATATTTGCTTTTATTTATGTTTACACAAACCAGTTGCTTTTATCACTTTATCTAAAATAAAATTATTTTGTGGAATTTTGGAAACTTACGTGTTCATCTATGTCCCTGAATCCTGATTATTGAATGCATTTAGTGAAAAGAAGCTCATTATGGCATGGGAGGGCTTACTCCATCTTAATAACCCATCAGTGCCTTCTTTTGTTTCTTTTTTCTTAAGAAAAATAAATTTTAATATAAAATATCTTGAAAAAATATGCTTTTTCTTTGGAAAATTATTATATTTCAGCATTTTTCTCATGTGAATACAGGCATTCTTTGACACTGGTAATGTTAAGATCTACTTTACCATAAATACACAACTGCCCTTACTTTAATTTGAATTGTCCAATAAAATTGAATTTCCTATTTTGATTATATCTCATGCATAACGTTTTTCCATAGCCATGCCCGCAGAGCAATGTGACCCTATTCATCTTATGATTTTAGACTAAAAAAACTTTGCTGCAGATCAATTATTTTTTCTTAAGAGAGTTTATTAACACTTCTCCTCCACCTCTTCCTCCTCCTTCTTCTCCTTTTTCTCCTCCTTCTTTTTCTTTCTTCATCTTGTTCTTAACCAATATCAGACCCTCATCTTTTATGTTGCCTGTGTTCACTCTGAGCATGGTGATACTGGGTTTGGGATACAGACACACTAGGTATAGAGAAGAGTAATGGTGAAATTATAGAACAATTCTAGAAAAGGAAACCCTGGGAATTAAGCTATTAATGTCAGAGCTGGGCTTTAATTTTTGACATCATTTGTTCATTTAATTAAACACATGTACCTTTGTTCTATAATCCCTAGTATTACCATAATAAAATATAATAAAAGGCCTATGAGTTCTATACAAATTTTCCTTATATCATCAACACATATAATTAGGAATGGTCCCAAAGACAACAGAAGAGGGGCTACACATGGGGAAAAAAACAAAAACAAAAACAAAAACAAAACAACAGTGTTAGAGGAATGGACCCAGGGAGGTCCTCACTTGGTTTCAGCATGAGTACATTGTGGTAGGCCGTGCTCTATAAAGACTTTGTGAGCCTATGTTTTTGTCAGTAGAATATGTATTTTTTACATTTCTACTTCAAAACAAAATCATAGGCATTGGGCTGCCAGGCAAATGTTTGATGTCTATGACATCCAAACTATACACCTGACCACTAATTTTTGCCCAGGTGGCATTGGTATCTCCTTGGTTTTAACCACTTAAACTAGCAAAATAAAAAAAATTTTTAAAAAAAGAAAAGTGTATTGTTCATTGTTTAATACTGAGAGTGAAGTTTAGTTGTTTATTTATTTTCTTTTCCTTTTTGGGAGGTGGGGTCTATTGCAGATTTTCACATCTTTCTCTCACTGTCCTCACACCTCTTTTTTAAAATGGGAAAAATATATAAATGCATAAATCAGTAGGCGCTGACTGCCTCCATCTTCACGACCATCAGTGACTGCTCTGGGTTGATCACAGTATCACTATTTGTATCCACTGTGAATGTGCTTTTTCTTGGTTCAGAAGGAACCAAATAGTTAATTCATGGCATGATTATAGCCAACAGAACTCCCTGGTTGTTGTTGTTATTGTTAATACTAAAACTAAATACAACTCTTAAGGAGTAGAATATTCCAAAAGGATTGGTGAAAATTTTTTGTAGTTTTATTTTCTTAATTTTTCTTGCCTAATTATACAAGGCAAGAATTACCAGTATAAAATTCACTTTTTTTTTTTTTTTTTTTGTCTCGTAACAATTTTGTGTCTGGAAGGATTTCAGAAAGAAACAAGGAACTGAACTGAAACAAAGGTATTGTGGCTTTGGGGAGCATTCAAGAACTCTGAATCCCATCATTTGGACGTTGTCTTATTCTGAGTGTGCATGAGGCTAACCCTGTTCCATGGCTGAACGCTGGTCTTAGAAATACTTACATACAAATTATAGCATTTTGATCATTTTTGCTTTTATTTTAAATCCCAAGTTAATTTAAACCTAAAATATCTTCAGAGTAATGGAAGATTTATTTTTTCTCAAATCATCCCTATTATGTGTCCACTACATTGAAAGTCCCATTAAGACAGCCACATACTTCTAAGTCTATTGATAAGTGCTTCTGAACGCCATCCGTAAAAAGTCCTTTTAGACACTAAATTATGACAGTTTTCAGAAAGAAAAAGCATGCTATTCTGTGAACACAGGTGTATTCACACACACCAGAAAATTGAAATCCAATTCAGAAGGCAATATTGGAAACAATTTGAGCCTGAATCCAATCTGGCCAGGGCTTAAATAGCACAAAAAAAAATGACTCTGAAGACAATTCTGCCACTTTTTTTCAGTTCATTCTATATAACTGGAATCATCAATATGGAATTAACTGAAAAACTCACACGAAATCTCTTTTCATGTCATTTCAGCTAGATCAGAGGCTGAAAGTTACTTCAGACTATCCCATTTAAATACAGTGACAAACAATGAAATTAAGGAATTGAGCAGAAAGCAAAATAAAAATGTTCTTAACTTTAAAAAAATGTAATCATGAAGAAAACCTCTTCACTATTATTTTAAATAATAAATAGGAATCCCCAATTCAGATACAAACCCTTATACATTCTCTTATGTTGTTAGAATCTGTATGTTGACTATATATTTCATTTTATACAATAATTCGTTCATAAAAAGATGTTGTTCTTATTGTTTTGAGGAAAATTTTTCACCAAAAAAAGTGTTATTCATGTATGAAGTGGGAATTGAGTGGAAGAAATCCTTAGGAAAAAGAATTCTTTTGTCACATAAATATCAGTCCTATTAATTTATTTTGAATTTGTTTTTCCATAAAACCATTAAAGGATCTCTGGAAGTGGCTGTTTCCTGAAGTGGGTTACCCAGAATCAGTAGAGAGCCCTAGGGCTCAAGTGTGTGTGGCTTCTATGAGCCTGGGCTTTCTCTGGAGATGAGAGAGTATAGGGTAGGCTCAGAAGCTGCTCTTGAGGTTGGAGTTCTTGCTGCCTCCTGCCCAGTAATGATCTTGGTGCTAGGGTCTTAGTGTTCCTGGAAGTGGCTGGGTTGACCTCTGCTGGTCAGTCCTTTTACTCTCTGAAGTTGCCTGGCTGTGACAATAAATAACAGGGTCAACCTTCTTAAAACTGATGCTCAGACCCGCCAGACCTCAGACCTAGCTTCAGGGATCCTCATCAGCATTAGTGGGGTGAATTCTTCCTGCTTCCAGAGATACCTGATATGGATAAATGTTCTTAGGATTACAAGAGCATAGGAGGTTATTTGAATAAGATATGACAACGATTCATATCTTTCACCATTGATGACATATTAAAAGAATGCTGTTATCAAAAGGGGATAAAAATTAGTGGTACCCAGTGGAAAGAGACATATGAAGGGTCAGGAATATAACCTGTGGCTGTTGGGTACACAGAGGGTGCTCATGGGATTCAGAGAATTTTAAGACTGTAAGATCCACGGGGCCCTGGTGGGAGGGCTTTGGTGGCACAAATGACTTTCATAGGTGTTCATAAAACAGACCTTCTCAACCAAGACTCACAAAGCTGGGATTTTGGGTCTAAGTATAGACTTCACATTTATCTCTGATAATCTTTATCTGGTTAGATAAAATGTAACATCTTATATCTCTCTAAAATACCTCTAGAATGTGATAATTTTGACTGCTCCTTCATCATTTTGTGTGAGTGTGTGTGTGTGTGTGTGTGTGTGTGTGTGTAAGAGAATCTTATTCCATCCTACAGTAAACATCTGCTTTTGAGTACTTGCAGAATTTAAACCAACCTTTCTCGTCTTTTGGAAACTACACTAGTTTTTGCAGAAGGAACCAAATAGTTAATTCATGGCATGATTATAGCCAACAGAACTCCCTGGTTGTTGTTGTTATTGTTAATACTAAAACTAAATACAACTCTTAAGGAGTAGAATATTCCAAAAGGATTGGTGAAAATTTTTTGTAGTTTTATTTTCTTAAATTTTTCTATTCATTAAATCTGTGGTCAGCTATTTACATAACGTTCCTTTCATCTCCTTCGTTTCCTAGTTAAATTATTTAGAGTAAGTCCATGATACTCTGTATTTTTCTCCTCAATAATTTTATGTATCTCTGATAGAAAGCAAGTGTACCCCAATCAGTAGGTAATATGTATACAATCGGGGATCTGCAGGGCCCATTGTCAGTTTTAACCTTGAAGAACCTTGGAAGTTGAATGCTTTGCATTAAGAAGATGTTTCTGGAGAGATAAAGACAAACATTTTCACAGTTAAAGAATCTGGCAGGAGGGCTGGATTTGGGAGGAAGTTTAGAATTGGGGGTGGGCCTCAACTTTACACATATTTTTGAAAATTAAACTTGCTGGAGTCAGGCTTTGTAGGGGACTGAGACTGTTGCCAATACTCCTAATTGGGGAGAAAGGTATTTCCCTTAGAGACAGACTCCAGGGCTCATCTGCATTCAATGACCAGAAGAGGTTCTCAGTGGGGAAGGAGCGGGGACCTAGGGGACAGTATAACTGTAACTTAAGGGTAGAGTGAGCAGTTCTGGTGCTGAAAGTCCACAAACCCATTTTGAACTCTGACCTCCAGAATTGTAAGATATGAATTTGTGTTGCTTGAGCCATTAAGTTTTGATAATTTGTTATAGTAGCAGTAGGATATGAATACATAAGCTGGCATCTTCCTTGAGATTAGAGTCATAAAATCCAGCCTCAGTTTTCATAAAGAGATGCATTTTGTAATAGGTAGGTAACATGTTTCTTCTATTTAAGAATATTTACATATAAGCTATAAAGATAAATTATGATTTAAGGCACATGAAAAAAGCAGAGAAAAATGAGAGTTTGTAAGATGGAAAAGGTAGGATTTTTTGGGAGGCACTGGCTGTCACTGATAGAGGTATAAATAATAGATAATATATACGCACCCCCACCCCAACCTAGATTCATGGATTATTTAAAAATCTCAAGTAGTGTCTTAATCCTTTGGCTTCCGGGAGATGAAGACTCTGTAGACCCCTACTAAATATTATGGAAATATAAGAAAGAGGAAATTAAGTTAGAAGTAGATGAAAACAAAGTATCTGATAACCATGACTTGAAAGTCAAAAGGAGAGGAGAGCTCCTGGGAAGGAAATTGGAGGGAAGGAAAGTGTGAGGGAAGGAAGAAACCCCTCCCTTGTTCAGAAGCGGTTAATGAATACGGGCTGGAGTGCACTGACTAAGGCTCCTATGAGAGGTGAGTTTTCTTTAGTGAAAACATATGGTGGGCAACAACACACACCGGTGCTATTGGAGGGGGTGGGGTAGGGTGGGGGGAGGGAGAGCATCAGGAAGGATAGCTAAGGGATGCTGGGCTTAATACCTAGGTGATGGGATGATGTGTGCAGCAAACCACCATGTCACACGTTTACCTGTGGAACAAACCTGCACATCCTGCACATGTACCCCTGAACTTAAAATAAAAATTGAAGAGACAGGCGCGGTGGCTCACGCCTATAATCCCAGCACTTTGGGAGGCCAAGGCGGGCAGATCACCTGAGGTCAGGAGTGGAGTTCGAGACCAGCCTGATGAACATGGAGAAACCCCATCTCTACAAAAAATACAACAATTAGCCAGGCGTGGTGGAACGCACCTATAATCCCAGCTACTTGGGAGGCTGAGGCAGGGGAATCACTTGAACCTGGGAGGCAGAGGTTGCAGTGAGCCAAGATCTGCAACACTGCACTCCAGCCTGGGCAACAAGAGGGAAACTCTTGTCTCAAAAAAAAAAAAAAAAAAGAAAAAGAAACAAGAAAAAAAGAAAGTAACAAGTTATTTCTTTAGAGTTATGTAAGTCAAACACCAGTGTGCTGAACGCTTGGTGAATGTGTGTCTTTTTGGATGATGTTTTTATTGTATAGAGATTTTAGGGAAAGCTAAGCTTCAGTTTTCTAGCCATAAATGGCTCTTTTAAAAGTTTTAAAAAATAAAATGTTTATATATATAATGTATATTATATATTATAATGTATATTATATATTATATAATTATATACATTATATACATATTGTATATATTATATATTTTTATATACATTATATATACATTGTATATACATATATACGTATACATATACATATATACATATACATATATACACATACATATACATATATGTATATATACACATACATATACATGTATATATACATATACATATACATGTATATATACAATTATATATAATTGTATATACATTATATATAGTATATATACAATATATTATATACATTATAATATATAATGTATATTATATATTATAATATATTATAATATACTTTATGTACTATGTATAATGTATTACATTATACATACTATATAATATACATTATATATTGTATGTATAATGTATTATATTATATATACTATATAATATACATTATATGTACTATATAATATAGTATATATAATGTATATATACATAATATATTATATATTATATAGCATATATAATGCAATACTATATAATGTATATTATATTATATTATACTATATAATACATTATAATATACATTATATATACTATATACATAGTACACTATTATATTATAATGTATATTATAATATACATTATATTATATTATATAATGTACACTATGTATATATATAATGTATATTACAATATACATTTTATATTATGTATACTATATATACCATATATAGTATATATACAATATAATGTATATAATATATTATAATATATATATATTATATATGGCATATATACTATATATATGCACTTATATATACACACACACATATATTCACATTTTCTCTGACTGGGTACTTGGATGAGAGTAGACTTGATGTAGGGAGAGTTTTCCCAGTGATAATCTATTGCGGGCTACCTGCCTGCGGGGCATATAGGGACATCCTGCTTTTTCCATGGTGACCAGAAATAAGTCAAAACACCTGAGCCCTTTATATATATCATATATAAACACCTGAGGCCCTTTATAGACATCATATAGAAACACCTGAGCCCTTTATATATGTCATATAGAAACACCTGAGCCCTTTATATATATCATATAGAAACACCTGAGCCCTTTATATATGTCATATAGAAACACCTGAGCCCTTTATATATATCATGTAGAAACACCTGAGGCCCTTTCAGCTCCTCCTTCATCGCTTCAGTTGCCCCCAAATTTTCAAGGACAACTCACAGTCATTCAGCAGCCTCATGTACAAGGTTTGTTTGCCTTAATCAAGGTTAAGACTCAGAATAGTAAAGATTGTTTTTCTTGTTTGTTTTTGTTTTGTATTTTTAAAAATTCTTTTGGTTTCAAGTGATAGGAACTTAGCTCACACTTGCCTAAAAATACACGGGTAAAGGATGCAGAATTTATTAATATTGAGATTCACTGAATTGAAGGAAGGACGACTCTCAAGAACCAAAGGGCTGGAATTGGGAACCCAGTGAACATTAGGACTGACTCTGATTCTGCTTGCCTTTTACTCTTTCATTATATATAGGTGTTATCTTCATGATCACCAGCTCAGTTTCTTGACTCAATAGACAAAAGAAAATCCATCCTTCCAGCTTCCTGGGAAAGAAAAACATTTGGCTAGGTTGGGATTATAACACATCATGTTAAGAAAGATGGAATTCTATGATTGGCTCTTTCTGATTCATCTGCCCATCTCTGGGTAAAAATGAGTAAAGCCTATTTTTGGAAAAGAGGAGTAAATAGATTCTAGACAGGTTTAAAAAAATACTGCAGACTCGTACTCATTTAGAGCATCTGGGTGTTTTTTTAGAATTATCTCATCTATCTTGAGTGGCAACTCTTTAATAGGAAATTTACTTTACAATTTTTCTCCTGAAAATTGTTTCTCTTGTCACAGAAGACAGAAGCAAAAATAGAATTGAGTCATTTTTTTCTCAGATCCTCTTGCTGAAGCTTCATGATCTTGCCTTAGTTGTTTTTTTTTCTTTGAAAATCAGTCATTTCTCATTTTCTTTGAAATTTTCCAAATCCTCGTTATTTAAAATTTAGATTTCTGGAAATAATTATTTTAGGCATATTCTATAATCTCATTTTCATCTCTGGTTATGAACCTTGAATTTTTTTTAAATTCTACTTTAAAATCCAAGAGTATGAGTTCTTTGTGTTGTAACATTGGCTTCTTTAGATGTGCTTCCTGGCCTCCCCTTTCAAGCCATTTGAAATTACAGTGCCTGGATATGTGATAATGCCCCAATTATCTAGATGCATCTCTCATCCCATACTCCTGATCAAAACAAAATAAATGAAGGTCGATGCTCATAATTTTTAAGATGAGGGGAAATCTAGCAATCTCTAACTAGGATATTTAAAACTTACAACCATGTTCTGTCTTCTTAACTTTACTTGTGTTTTTTTTGTTGTTGTTTAGAAATAATTTAAGAGTGGCAATGTTCTTTTCATTTTCTCTAGATTGAACAACAAGTCATTATCAAAAACACAACTCAAGAAATATCAGAGCTCTTTAGAAATTTTTGGTTTTGTTTTGTTTTGGTTTGGTTTGTTTTTAGCTGAATAAGATGAGTAGCAGATGGTTTAGGTCCCATCTTGTCACCACAAACGGCTACGGTGCCAGTTGACTGGCTTCAATGGGAACATTCACTCACTTTCTCCATCTCTTTTACTACTCCAGATTTCCCTCTTTAACGAAGAGTTCTCCAAATTGGTGTAACCCAAGTCCATGGATTTTATGTAAGAATAGAGATTTTGTTATACATTGCTATTTTGCCTTTTCTACCAAGTAACCACTTTATTTGAAAAAAGTGATATACCATTTGTTTACATGAGTGGGTGATTGCCATGTTTTGAAAGTTTGGGGCCAGGTGCGGTGGCTCACGCTTGTAATCCCAGCACTTTGGGAGACCAAGGCAGGCAGATCACGAGGTCACGAGATCGAGACCATCCTGGCCAACATAGTGAAACCCCATCTCTACTAAAAATACAAAAATTAGACAGGCGTGGCGGAGGGTGGCTGTAGTCCCAGCTACTCGGGAGGCTGAGGCAGCAGAATCACTTGAACCTGGGAGGTGGAGGTTGCAGTGAGCCGAGATCGTGTCACTGCACTCCAGCCTGGGTGACAGAGTGAGACACCGTCTCAAAAAAAAAAAGAAGAAAAGAAAAGAAAATTTGGACGGACTGTCTAGCAGGGTCTTGCTGGTTGACACTGGTTTGATATGGTTTTCTCGTTCTTGACTCTGGCTCTGGGAACCTTAAATGTTCCTCTCAGTCGTGAAGTTGTGTAGGGAAGACTCACACTAACAAAACTCATAAAAGCCACACATAAAAACTAGAAAATTCGTAGATGTGTTTTAGTGAAACATATAATTATCCAGCACAGTGGATTGTGTTTGTATCTCAGCACATTCTCTCTAGATAATAGCAAACAGCTAAAAAATATTGAAATATATTCTGAGAATGAGATATGTACAAAGATTAAGCTGGAGGAAATGAATGTCGCTGAGTTGCTTTCACCAAGTTAGAATATCTTCACTTTTGTTCTTATTTATGGAGTTCTAACAGTTTTGGATAAACACTTCCAATATTGAGGCTGCATTTTTCTATGTTTAAGCCAACCACCCCTTTCCTTTGTTATCCATATTTTGTCATTGTTAGACAATAACCTCACACTGCTATTTTTTGCCTTAGCATTGGGAAACCACTTCTTGTTTCACCTTTTCCTTTTGGTAGGTATGTGATCTCCTCCCTGGGTATCAATTTTACTTCTTCAATCTCGAGGTTCTCACCGTGCCTTGCTATTCATTCACAACATAAATATCAATGACATCTCTGCAATTATTGTTAAATCTATCTTCAGACTCTGCTTTTCCCCTTCAGTCTATCACCAGGCCCTCAAGGTGGTAGATTGAAGACTAGCCTCATTCAATCCCCAGACCAACTGACATACTGAAGTCATTTCAAAAGCACTAAGACAGCTTCCCAAATGTACACAATTCTTCAAAATAGTGATTTATTATTTACATTGAAGGTACTCCGGGTTTTAGATTCTTCATGAGAAATAACAGCAGCTTATCATTGTATACTGGCTACCTAGACAATATACAGGATATAACAGATGCCTGAAAAGAACGCTCTCTGAATTATTTTTAAAATTCTCAGAGGAGGGGAGATAGTATTGAATTACAATGCCTTGTTAATTAACATAGTTCATTCTTAATTAAACTTTTATTGTAAGAGCAGAAAGCTAAAGGAAAAGAAGGTGTCCTCTGGATTGTTGACGGAGTAGGTAGAAGCACTATTAGAGAAGGACCACAAGAGGACACATTGCAAAACCAAAAGCACATGCTTTTACTGCACAGTCTAGCTCAGACCCCTTCCCCCATCCACAGAATGTCATGTGCAGTAGAAATTTAAACCATGGGGATTTTCCAAGAACAAATTCCCTAAGGGAGATTGCAAGATGCTTTAATCCATATGTTGAAAACTCATGGGTTTTAATGTAATTGACAGTTGGTGATTTCACCGCGGCTTTCCCCTCTCTTGCATCAGTGACTTATTGAAATTATATCTATAATAAAAAATGCAAGAAGTTATTCTTCCTACTTTTTCTTGCTTCAATTAATTCTATAGGTGAGCACATCAGCTACACAGGATTCCTAGTACATTAATCCGAAGAAAATCATTAGAATTCAGAGAGATTTATGATTCCATTTTTAGTTTTAGCAAAAATGACTGTGATAATCCCAACATAATTGATATATTTGGGACACTGCAAAATTAAATCTCAATAATGATTCAGTACCATAGTTTTGGGATTCAATCCATTTAAACAGCTATCCTTCATGGGAGAAGGGGAGCCATTCAGTGACATGTAAGAAATTAATATCTATTTCTCCTTCCTTCCTTCCTTCCTCCTCCTCCTTTTTCTTCTTCTTCTTTTCTTTTATTTCCTTCCTTCCTTCCTTCTGTCTTCTTCTGTTTTCCTTCATTCCTTCTTTCCTTCCTTCCTTCCCTCCTTCCTTCCTTCCTTCCCTCCTTCTTTCCTTCCTTCCTCCTTCCTTCCTTCCTTCCTTCCTTCTTCTTTACCCAAATTCTACCCATTTACTGAGGCTAACTTAAAGTCCCAGCCTCTCTATTAAACCATCCTTGACTGTTCATCCTCAACCACCCTTTTTCCTCTGAAGGAAAAGTTGACTCCAAGTTATGCAGCCTATTTTTTTTCCATACTCTTTTGATTATCTTTTCCCTAAAATGGAGCTTCAGGTTTCCTCATGCCCCACCCACTATAGATGTCACTGTTTCCAGGTTGCTTGATATTAAAAAGAGATTCATTTCCTCTAATAGGAAAAATTCCTTTTAGATATGAAATGTGTAATAGTACATTAGTAGTCTTTGGAAGATGTGGCAATATCTCAGTTTTGTCATTTCAATCAGAGTAGCTATTTGTTGTTTGTTTAGTTATTTAAAATAATTGTAATGATTAAGGGTAACTTATAAAAACGAAGAAAAAAATCAGGCTGGGCACAGTGGCTCATGCCTTTAATTCCAGCACTTTGGGAGGCTGATGTGAAAAGATATCTTGAGTCCAGGAGTTTGAGACCAGCCTGGGCAACATGGCAAGACCCGTCTCTACAAAAAATATAAAAATTAGCCAGGCGTGGTAGTGTGTACCTTTAGTCTCAGCTACTCTAGAGGCTGAGGTGGGAGGATTGCTTAGGCTCCAGAGGTCAAGGCTGCAGTGAGCCGAGATTGTGCCACTGCACTCCAGCCTGGGTGACAAAGTGAGACCCCGCTACTAAAAAACAAAGAGAAAAAAATCAAAGATGTACAAAAATTATCCCATGATATAGGTAAAAACCCACTTAAAAGTGTTTCTTTGGAATTGTAGTCAGTATTTATGTACAATTAAATCTAGAATAATAGCTCAAAACCTAGACATCTACTGGATTACTTTTTTTTCTTGAGTATATACTTAAAGTGGAAATTACAAAGAGCAAAACTTCATACAATACCTGCCATTTTAGCACATAATATTTTGCAATTTAAATGTATCCCACCTTACACATCTTGTAAAAGCCCAAAGTTAAAGAAGTATTAAGGATCAATTATTTTAGCTAAAGATTTACCAGCTGACTCCATTTGTTAATCTTTACTGAGATTAGTACAGAAAGTTATATAATTTGGTGAAATGAAAAGATCTATATGCAGTCTGCATAGCACATCTCTTGGATACATTGAAATGTGGGGAAAGAATGAAAAGAATCCAAATTCTCAGCTGCTTCCAGCTACCAGCCCATCTAAAGTTATACACTCTCATACTGCCTAAGTTTTGTCCATAAACGAAAAAAAAAAAAATGAACAGGAAGAAATATCTTAGAATACCCAAATAGTAGCTCTCAGAATCATATAGCACAAACATTGCTCCCCGTCAAGTCACAATGAATAAAATGAGTAAAAATAAATAAATAAACAAATAAAAGCAAACAAAAGCAAAAACATCTACCACAGTTGTGACCTTTAGGCATAAACATGGCTGTGATACCTGCCATTTGATAGCCCCCTTGCAACTAACCACATAGGGTATCTACAGGACTAATTCATGACCTAACCCCACCTCTCAAACATGCTCTGCCATTTCTCAGCCTGTTCTGTATGCCATCTTGTCTACCATTTGCTCTGGAGTAATGGTTTTCATTCTCCTTCAGCCTCCAAATCATTTTGCTTCTGACTGGATTAATTATCTGGTTTTGGAACCTATAAACCCTATAAAAAGTCTTGTTGGACATTCAAACATAATTCTGCAACTTATAGTATCACTTTGGATCCATTTAGAATTTGTCTGCTATGTACTTCTGTCTTTGTTGATAATCATTAATATTTAAAAGCACACTGATATTCATAAAAATACTGTTGTATGATTGTGCCTGCTTAATATCACTACAGGTAGTGATATTAATCAATGATTCAGATCAATCAATGTTTTCATTTGTTGTATGAGCACATTAACATCATGACTGATTTCCACAAACTACAAAGGGATCTCTTTGCTGTGCTGCATCAATTGTGTCTATGATTATGAAGATAGTACTCCTCTAACATTAAGCAGAAAGGAATGGAAACATCGTTGCCTACAAGACATCAAATAATTCACATTAACATATTAAAATAATAAATATTTTGGCCATTTGAGAATGTACTGACTGTACTGAAATCATGTAGGTTGTTTGCAAATGGATTATTCATTCTGAGGACAGCCCTGGCTCACCTCCTGCCAGCCTTTTTCCAGCCCTTTTTCCCTAGATTAAAGGTGATTAGGGTGTAACATGTGTTCCTCAAAATATTTACAATTGCATGTTCTTTATCACTATAAAGATAAAATGGCTCCATCTATTACATTAAAGTTTAATATTCTTTCCATCAGAGAAAATTTGATTATATGCCTTGCAAATACACACACACACACACACACACGTACATATGTACAAAAACAAATACAAACACATACATACATACATACATACATACACACACATACATACATACATACACAAAAATAGTCTTACACTTTTAGGACAAAATATTTTTCCTCCTAATACAGGATAACACTAAAAACTTCCTTATAGTTAAAAAAAAAAAATGTCTACATTGACAAACTTAAACCCTTTTTCTCTAGGAGAACCTCAGGCCTATAGGTGTACATGTATTTTCTTGGCGTGGGAAGAGGGTGGATCATGAGAGCTGTGCTAATGGTGATAAACGAGAAGTCCATGAATTTAAATCAACAATATGTGTTTAATGTCTACTACATAGCAGGAACTTCCAGATGCTGTGGAATACAAAGTTAAACAAAATATATTTGAACTGGTGCTTAGCTACCATTATTATAATAATTATTACTTAGTGGTGCTTAGCCAATCCCATCCAACAGGCAGAAATCTCTTTCATCGCATACCTAATAAAACCTCTTCAATCTGCAAATGAAAATGAGTCAGATAGTGACAGTTGTTTGAAAGTTTTATCATTATTATTACTTGCTAAAAGCTTCATATTTTATACCATAATATCATTAGCAATTATGTCATTTTCTAGAATAAAATGGATACATCTACTCAGTTTTCAAAGCTAAAGATCCCTACATGTGGCAGACTTTCTTTCTAATGCAATGTTCTACTCATCGTCATTCTCCCTATTCATTACTAAGTGCGTAATTTTGTTACCTGTTTAATAGATACATGGCCCAAACTAAACAAAATGGAGAGATAGTTTTTGGAGTAGTCACTATGGTGTTTGATTAGATTCTCTTATTCAACCTATATGATGCCTATAATGACTTATAGATGAATCAGCACATGTTCAGAGAGTTCAGAAAGTAATCACTCCAATGTTACAAAGCTAATACATGAAGATATGAGAATTTGAGCCCAGGCTTATCTCACTCTAGATCCTATGTTCTTTTCACCGTACCCTGCCATTATGTAACCAACGTGATGGCAGATGAATCGTGGCCAAGTTAGTCTGAACACTCTGGCTGGCTGGGCTAAGGATGGAGCTGCTGTGGGCAACACAGAGCTGAGGGGAAACAAGACGGGAACCGCTTGCATATGACGTGGCATCTAGCAGATTCTCGGTACTTAAGAGTTCATATTCTCCTCCTGGCAGAAGGTTCCTCAGAATATATTTCAAAAGTAAAGAGAGTTAAAAAACTAAAATGTGTTTTTAAGTAGTTCATTTTCCTTAATCTTGACATCTAATTTGGTAATACTTTACTTGACTAAAAAACATGCCAGCATTGTATTAATTATTCAGCCCTTCCCAGGCTTCTGCAAGCTTTAATTAGTGAAAGACATTTTCAGGACAAGTTATAATTTGCATGTCAACAAATTTGTTTATAAATTACACAGTAAAGGTAAAATTTGGTAGTATGTCAACTTCCCTAACTGGGATCGATGACACAGCTAGGTTTGCTACAGCTTGCACCTGCATACGCAGCCCTGAAACTCGGTGAACATTCTGTTCCTTTTAATTTCCTTACCCTAGACCTGTGATTACTTACAATTTAATTTAATTTTTGTTGTTCTGTAAGTCCCTATTTGTTATAATAGCACCTCAATTCCAAAGTCAAAGTAAATCTGTCCATAAATTAAACAAAATTGCATTTGTGATCTTAGATATTTACACAAAAATAAATTGGTTTGACTTGGCCTAAAAGAGTACTGCCCATCCAGTAAGTAAAAAATATAACATCAGATTCATTAACAAATTTTGAAAGTCAGACTTATTTCGGGAAGAAAAAGTAAGAAGACTTGACTTCAGTAAGGCCTGATGCCATGATGCCACTTGGTCATGTGGTCAAGGGACCAAGATTGTACAGTGTCAGGATTATTATTATTATTTCCTTATTTTAACATAAATGCATTTTCTACAATGTACTCTGACTTTTTTACACTAAATAAAAATCAATTTATATCAATTTCTTACAGCATTATATTTGGCTTACAAATCCTTCTTGCTCTCAAGCATTGGCAAGTGTTCATTTTACAGATATCGAATTTTGCTTTAAAATCATTTTCTCAAAGAATTATATCTGAAGGTGATCTTATAAATGTCAACTAATCCCGAAGCTAGACCCATTAGATAGTATGCTCCTATCGTCCCAGTGATTTCTCCCATCCAGAAAATCTGTGTCTGGATGAACAATTGATATGTGGAGAAATGATGGCAAAGACCTCACTAATAGATATACAAAAGTCCTGATTTCCTTCACAGTTTATTAATATTTTTGAGGTTGGAGAAAAACTTCAGACAGTCAGAGGCCATGAGATTAGATCCAAATCAGCAGAGGTATTGAGAGGACCTGCAGAAGACCACCAGCATCTGGGTGGAAGAGCCCTGGGGTGGAAATATACTGCTTTCTATGCTCAGCACCGCAAGCAATTCATCAAAAAGGCAGCTCCTCCATGTTTTAATTTGAGCTGTTTCTCTCCACAGGAACCTGACATGGAACTTTTGGTTCAGAGAAGAAGACAACCCTAGAGATAAATTTCAGAAATGAAGATCTGTTTCAACTTGCTTCCTCCATTGGATAACTACGTTGCTGTCAGTGTTTCAAATATACATGCCTGATTCTTCATCTCCTTTTCTTTAAAGACTTATGCAAGTGTGTCTCTGGTGAGTAGACCCCCAGCCAGTCATTTTGATCAGAAACAAACTGGTAAACAAAGAACATTGCTGCCTTTTCACTTGCATTTGCATCATTGCACAAACTGTTCCTCCTGACTGATGTGATGTATTTACTTGTCTGTTTGTTTAACCTTCTATTTATGAAAAATTTCTACTTTTTGTAGATCAAAGATTAAACATACAGGCATACCTCAGAGATATTGTTGGTTCGGTTCCAGACTACAGCAATAAAGTGAACATCGCAACAGAGCAAGTCAAGAATTTGTTGGTTTCCCAGTGCATCTAAAAGGCATGTTTACACTATGCTGAAATTTATTAAATATGCAATAGTTTTATGTCTCAAAAGTTTATGGATCTTAATTTTAAAATACTCGTTGCTAAAAAATGTTTCAGCAACTCATAACCATTTCACTGGTGGAGGGTCTTACACTGACGTTGCTGGCTGCTGACGGATCAGGGTGGTTGTTGCTGAAGGTCGGGGTGGCTGTGGCAATTTCTGAAAATAAGACAACAATAAATTTTCCCACATTGATTGACTCTTCCTTTCGCAAATGATTTCTCTATAGCATCTAATGCTATCTGATAGCATTTTACCCGAAATAGAACTTTTTTAATTGGAGTCAATTATTTCAAACTCTGATACTGCTTTATCAACTAAGTTTATGTAATATTCTAAATTCTTTGCTATAATTTCAACAATGTTCATAGCGTCTTCACCAGGAGTGGGTTCTATCTCAATAAAACATTTTCTTTGCTCATCTGTAAGAGCAAGTCCTCATCCGTTCAAGTTTTATCATGAGATTACAGCAATTCTGTCCCATCTTCAGGCTCCCTTTCTAATTCTACTTCTCTTGCCACTTCTACCACATTTGCAGTTATTTTCTCACTGAAGTCTGGAAACACTCAAGTCACCCATGAGGGGTGGAATCGACTTCTTCCAAACACCTGTTCATGTTGATATTTTGACTTCCTCCCATGAATCCTGAAAGTTCCTGATGGAATCTAGAAGGATAAATCCTTTCCAGAAGGTTTTTCAGTATGCTTTACCCAGATTTATCTGAGGAATCACTATCTACAGAAATTGTGGGCTACAGAATGTATCTCTTAAATGATAAGGATTGAAAGTCAAAATTATTTCTTGATCCCTGGACTTCAGAATAAATGTTGTATCAGCAGTGATGAAAACATTAATCTCCTCATACATTTCCATCAGAGCTCTTGGGTGACCAGGCACATTGTCAATAAGCTGTAATATTTTGAAAAGCACCTTTTTTCCTGAGCAGTAGTTCTCAATAGTGAGCTTAAAATATTCAGTAAACCATGCTGTAAACAGTTGCTGTCATCCAGGCTTTGTGGTTTCATTTATAGAGCACATGTCAAGTAGATCTAGCATAAGGGTCTTAGGATTTTCCGAATTGTAAGTGAACAATGAGTTCAACTTAAAGTCATCAGTTGCATTAACCACTAACAAGAGAATCAGCCTGTCCTTTGAAGATTTGAAGCCAGACATTGACTTCTCTCTAGTTAGGAAAGTCCCATTTGGCATCTACTTCCAATAAAAAACTCTTTTGTCTGCATTGAAAATCTATTGAGTGTAGCCACCTTCATCAATGATCTCAGCTAGATCTGGATAATTGCTGCAGCGTCTACCTCAATGCTTGCTGCTTCATCTTGCACTTTTATATTATAAGGGCAGCTTCTTTCCTTAAACTGCATGAGCCAACCTCTGCTAGCTTCAAACTGTTATTTTCCATCTTTCTCACCTCTCTCAGTCTTCATAGAAGAGGGTTATGGCCTTACTCTGGATCAGGCTGTAGCTTAAGAAAATGGTGTGGCTGGTTCAATCGTCTACACAGACCACCAAAATTTTCTTCATATAAGCAATAGGTGTTTTTCAGTTTCTTATTATTTGTGTTTTTACTGGGGTAGTACTTTTCATTTTCTTACAGAACCTCTCATGTGCATTCACAACTTAGCTATTTGGTGCAAGAGGCCTATCTCAGCTTTTGGCATGCCTTTCTTACAATACTTAATTATGTCTAGCTTTTGGTTTAAAGTGAGGAATGAGACACAAAACTCTTCATTTCACGTGAATGCTTAAAGGCCATTGTAGTGTTATTAATTAGCTTAATTTCAATATTGTTTTATCTAAGGTTATAGGAAGGCCCAAGGAGAGTAAGAAAAATGGAAGAGCAGCAAGGTGGTGGAGCACTCATAATACACACATTTATTGATTAAGTTTTCCATTGTATTTGGGCACAATTCATGGTGCCCCAAGACCATTACAGTAGTATCATCAAAGATCAATTATCACAGATCACCATAACAGACATAGTAATAGTCTGTTTCATAATAGTAATGAAAAAGTTTCAAATATTATGAAGATATCAAAGTGTGACACAGAGACAGAAAGTGAGCACATACTATTGAAAAATAGCATTGGTAGACTTGTTCAACACAGAGTTGCTGCAAACCTTCAGTGAGAAGCATGTTGAAACTAAGTGTAGTCAAATGAGGTAGGCCTGTACTTTCCTGAGAAATTCCTTCTCAATTTCCTAAAGTGAGGTTGGTTCAATTCCTCTTTACTGACATAGGACCATGCATACTCACATCAAAGAACATAGTATGCCACATCAGGAATGCCAATTTACA
Organism: Homo sapiens; assembly: GCF_000001405.40. Classification (NCBI taxonomy): domain Eukaryota; kingdom Metazoa; phylum Chordata; class Mammalia; order Primates; family Hominidae; genus Homo; species Homo sapiens. Next base: position 4,589,177 of record NC_000002.12, on the reverse strand, counting down.
GTATACAGTGCTGAAAACTGCTCCTTTTAAAATGTAAAAGAGCAAAACCAAAAACTTTTGTGAAGTGGGACTTCCAGTGTGGCAATATAATTAATAAAACTGGACATTACTGCCAACAATCACCCCATCAGGACTCTGGAAATTGACCAAAGCAAACGTTGAACTAAGAAGTGGTCATTTACTGTAAAGAAACAACTGGATTTTGAGGAAGAAGGGTGGGAGCCTGTGGCATCCTTACTTGGGGCTTCGCCCTTCCCCCACCACAGCTGAGTCACAGTGATAGTTCTACCAGAGGAGAAAAAAACTGAAAGTCTTTGCCAGAGGAGCCTGACCTGATATGAAGTAGAACAACGTAAGACACCATGCTCAAGCAGCACTATCAGTAACAAGAGCAACATTGATGATGAATCTACAGAAGAAAAGTGACTCAGCAAGAATGAAGATGTGGCATGGATTCAGGCAAACAGAATGGCAGAACCCTCAGGCATCTATCAGGGACATCCAAGAAATGAGACAGATATGGGGTCCTTGGTGAGCTTCCATATGTCTATGAGACTTCAGAGAGGCCAAGATCTTCACACATTCCTCACTTTGGCCTGTGATTATCTGTAGAGGACATATGAGCATGCACAACAAAATTAAAGAAGGAAGAGACTCCAAACCTACTGAACCATTGAAAGTGTCCCCTGACCCACAGAGATCCACTGTCATACAATGGAAGACTTATTCTTTTGAGGTGTTAGACCACAACCTCTGATTAATGACCGGCTCACCAATATGCTATTCAGACACAAAGATGACCCTAGGAAGCCAGGCAAAAAATAACAGTAATAATTATACATACACACAGAGTCATGTGCCACTTAGTGTTTCAGCCAACACAGACAGCATATATAATAGTGGTCCCATATGATTACAGTATCATGTTTTTGCTATATTTTGTTCTATGTTCAGATATATTCAAATACACAAATACTTACCACTGTGTTACAATTGCCAACAGTTCTCAGTATAGTCCCATGCTATACAAGTTTGTAGCCCAGGAACAATAGGCTACATCATATAGCCTAGGTGTGTAGATGCTATACCATCTAGGTGTGTGTAAGCACACTCTATGATGTTCACACAGTGTGGAAATTTCCTAACAATGCATTTCTCAGAATGCATTCCCATTGTTAAGTGATACAAGATTACACACACACACACACACACTTTCAATTGAGCAGAAACATCAGCAGCCACATGCCATGGGGAACAGAATCTATAGATTTAGTACACACAAGTCATTATAGAAACAAAAGATGAATTCAAAAATTCAACAACAATCCTTGAGGGACAAAAGATCTGAATCCACAAAGTAGAACTATTTTATGAAAAGGTTCAGGTTCCAATGAAAAATTATGAGACAAGGAAAGAAACAGTAAAATTTTTTCCTACTATTAAAAAAAAGCAAATCAAAACCATGTAACAAAAACTGTCACAGAGATGGCATAAATATTGGGCTTAGGAAAAAAAAATCTAAGCAAGCTACTTTAAATATATTGGGGGAAAAATAACTAAACAAAACCATTTTTAGGAATTAAAGAAAATGTGATGAAAATAGCTCAATAACTAGAGCATTAGTTACTGTGATAATTATTTTATAAATGACCTGGTAAAAATTTCAGATTTGAAAACTACAATAACTAAAACTTTAAGAAAAAATTACTATAGTGAATTAATACCCGACTCTATGTGGCAAAGACACACACACACACACACGAATCTGTAAATTAAACTATACCAATATTTTACAAACTCTCTCAGAAAATAGGAAATAGTGTCCACTATTCATATTATTCCATAAGGCCAGCGTTAACTTGAAACCAAATCCAGACAGAGACATTGCACACACACATAGAATAATTAAACTATAATTTAATACCTCTTGTTAACATAGACACAAAATCCTAATAAACATTAGCAAACCTAGTCCACCAGCATATAAAATAACAAGATAAAGTAAATTTATTCTCCAAAAGCAGGTTGGGTATAACATTTAAAAATAAAAATATATAACATTATATTAATATAATAGAAAAAATAGATATAGGAAAAGCATTTGGCAAACTTTAACCCATATTTATAATAAACATTTTCAAGAAACTAAGAAAAGAAAGGAATTATCTCAATTTCATATAAAGCATCAGTGAAAATACTGTGGTTCATATTATATTTAATTGGAAAAGACTGAATGTCCTCTACCTCACACAATTAGGAACCAGGCAGAGATGTCCACTCTCATGACCTCTGTTCAGCATTTTACAGAAGATTCTATTCAGTGGAACAAGAAAAGGAAAGAAAGAGAGAGAACGAGAGAGGAAAGGAAGGAAGGAAGAGGGAGGGAGAGAGGGAGGAAGGGAGGGAGGAGGAAAGGAGAAAGGAAGGAGGAAGGATAAAGAGAGAGAGAGAAAGGCAAGGGGTTAAAGACATCCAGATTGGAGAAAATCAAGTATATAACATTTTTTATTTACAGATGACATGATCTTTTAGATAGAAAAATTTAAGTAATCCATTTTTAAAAAATGCTAGCACTAATGAGTTAAACATGGTCACGAGATGTATTACTTTACAAAAATTAATGAATTTTTCAATATATAAACAACTACTAATTCAAACAAAATTTAAAAAATCATTCACAGAATTATCAAATAATATGCTTAGATATAAATTTAATATTCAAAATTACAGGACTTGCTTACTGAAAATTAAAAAACATTGCTGAGAAAAATTGAAGAAAATCTGAATAAATGGGTGGATATTCTAAGCTAAGGATTTAGAATATTCAATGAGGTTAAGATAGTAATTTTCCTCAAGTTTATCTGTAGACTTTACATAATTCCTATCAAACCCCAGCAGGCTGTTTTATAGAAATTGACAAGCTTATGCTAAAATATATAGTGAATGTCAAAAAATACAGAATCAGAAAAACAATTTAGAAAAGGAGGTTGTAGGAGATACAATAAACAATTTTAAAAGTTACTGTAAAAGATACAAAGTAATTAAGATAATGTGGTACTTGCATGAGGATAAACATATGAATTAACAAAACATAACTGAGAATTCAGAAATAAACTTGCATTACGGCTGACCAATTTTCAGCAAAAGGCCCAATACATTTTAATTGACAAAGGATAGTCTCTTCAATAAATAATTCTGAAACAATTTGATATCCAAGTACAAAGGACAGATTTCGATTCTCACCTCATGCCACACACAAAACATTCCCTCAAGATAGATTCTAGACCTAAATATAAGAGCTTAAGCTATAAAATTTATGGAAGAAAATGAAGGAGAAAGTTTTCATTTACCTTGAGTTATATAGAGAGCTATCAGTGATTATATCTATAACACAATCCAAAAAAGACAAAATTAGTACATTAAACTCCATCAAAATTAAAACATCTGACTTAAAAAACACCATTAAGGAATTAAAAGGTCAAGCCACATAAAACATTTTAAACTCATATATCTGATTGTAGCAAATATTTTCTTATTATATGTCTGAGCACTGAATAGAACTTGTCTCCAGGATATATAAAGAAGACTTTCCACTCAATATAAAGAAGAGAAATAACCCAATTTAACTGTAGGCAAAATGTTTGCATAGGCGTTTTACAAAGTAAGATATATGGACAGCTAATATGAACATGAGATGTTCAGCATTATTAGTCCTTAAGGAAATGCTGGTAGGAAAAAGGAAGGAAGGAAGGAAGGAAGGAAGGAAGGAAGGAAGGAAGGAAGGAAGGAAAGAAGGAAGGAAGGAAGGAAAGGAGGGAGGGAGAGAGGGGAGGGAGGGAGAGAGGAGGAGGGGGAGGAGGGGAGAAGAAGACACAAAATAAAAAGAAAACGCCTTGACAAAACTGAAGAATTTGGAACCCTCATATTGCTTGTAGGAATGTAAAATGATGCAGCCATTTTGGAAATAAAGCTGTCCCTCAGGAAGAGGGATTGGTTTTAGGACCTCCACGGATACCAAAATTTGCTTATGCTCAAGCCCCTGATAAAAAAATGACATGATCTTTGCATATAACCCTACAAATATTAGGTTGGGACAAAAGTAATTGTGCTTTTTGCCATTAAAAGTTGCAAAATATATATTTTATATCATCTCTAGATATACTTTATCTATATCCTATACTTTAAATTATCTCTGGATTACTTATAATACCTAATACAACATAAAGGCTATGCAAGCAGTTCTTATACTATCTTTTTAAATGTGTATTACTTTTACTGGTATATTGTTACTTTCCATAGACAAGAAGTTTTTTTTTTTTCCAAATATTTTTGATCCCAGATTGGTTCAATCTGCAGATACAAAACCTGCAGACACAAAAGTCAACTATAGTTTGTCAGTTCCATTAAAACCTTACAAAGTTAAACATAAGCTCACCAGTGACCCATGAATTCTACTCCTAATTATCCAGTCAAGATAAATAAAAACATATGTCTACACAATTATGAGCACATGTATGTTCAAAGTAGCATTATAATAATAGCCAAAATCTAGAAACACTCCAAATGTCCATCAATTGGTGAAGGAATAAATAAGACCTGGTATTGCTCTTCAGTGGAAGGGCAATTCTTTGTTCAAGATGCCAAGAACCTGGACACCCTCTACCAGTAATACAAGCAGACACCAATGGCCAGATTTATTTAGTTATTTTTCCAAAACAGTGGAGGGGGAAGGACAGCAATGGGATGGCTTGGTGGTGGGAGCACCTGGCATTTCCCTCACATTTGAAAAGAGCAACAGCTGTGCATTGGCTGCAGGGTAGGGGAGCGGGGTGGTGGGGGAATGGGGAGGTGGGGGAGTGGAGAAGTGGGGGAGGGAGAGGGGGGAGTAGGATGGTGGCGAGGTAAGGAGGTAGGGGAACAATGGGGAGGTGGGGAAGTGAGGAGGTGGGGGAGCAGGGGGTGGGGACAGGAGTGGGGAGCCGTGGAGTGGGGAGGTGGAGGAGCAGGAGGTGGGGGAAGGCCCTGATGTGGCTGGAACTGACAGGAAGCGTTTTGAGCTGCACTTTGGGACACATTACCAGGGTCCTGAAAATGAACATGGGCTGTCCATGAGTGAGTGAGGTTGTACTGAAGTTCTGAACTGTAGAATACAAAGCTAAGGAAAGAAAAATGTATTTTGTGCTATCAGACCCTCCGGATTAGACAAAGGAAAATCAAGATGTGTTCACCCAAAGAATAAGCCGGAGAAGCTCTCTAATGTGTGGTTTCATAGCATAGTTCAATCTGAATGAGTTAAAGCCAGGCTTTCAAAACGGTTCTATCAGCAGACCTTTCTATAGTCCTGCTCTTGAAATGGATGGATTTTCTGTCCATTACCCACACAGGCCTCCAGGAAGCCTGGTTTAAGACGATGCATCCTCAGACTGGCCAGCCCATGTGGAGCGTTCTGTTGTATTTCTGAGTTGACACTGGGATTTTGCAGCCCTTCTCTGAGAATCAGGCTTTCCAAAGCTGCTCTAACTGCTTGGTCTCTCTCCTATCGTGAATATCTTCAAGGGATATTCAAAACTACAAGGACAAATTGTAAAAACTTTTCTGTTCATGTGCAACCCATCTAAGTTGCACTAAGTTGCACCCTGGAGCAATATGCTATTACAGAGAGAGGCATTGTTGCTGTTCATCATCACAACTTACAGGGCAGACAGTGGAGCAGTTAATTTGTTAACTTTCTCCATTGCTCATCTTTCAGCCCACATCACATCTGCCTTCACTGGGAACCCGAGTGCCCTTTCTCTCTCTGACCACACTCCCTTTCTGGTTCTGTGCTTCCTCTGGACCTTTCTATCCCTTTGTTCTCCTCTGGCAAGGGCACAGCTCCATCCTTATTCAGGCACTGCTGGTTCTTTTAGGCAATGAGGACGTTCCTCCCAGCTTTATCCTGGAGGAGACCATTCCTATGAACATTCTTGGTCTCTCCTAGGAAGGTTTAGATTTATGTTCAGAGTGGAAAATCTAAAATGCAATCGAGCTTTTAAAATGTATATATTACTCTTAGCTTTAAATTATCTATGTGCTATCATGTTAATATTTCTTCTCCCCTTCTCCACTATTATCATAAAACTTCTCCTCATCAAGATGTAAAATGATGAAGATACAAAGACATTTTTGCCCACATACTCATTTCGTAAATATTTACTGAGCCCTTGCTGTGCCAAACACTTTGCTAGGACTAGGGGTTCACAGGTGTTCAGAGTAGAAACTTTTCCCTCAAAACCTTACATTTGTATGGCCTAGGTGGGGTGGGGGTGGGAGCTGTCAAGAAAACAATGAAATATAATGTAATGTGATATGAACTATGATAGAACCAAACAGTGCACTGTGAGAACGTCCAATGCAGACTGATTTGTTTGGCTTGTTTTGGAAAACCAGAAAGGGCTTGCTGGTCAGCTTCAGATTTATTCCTTCATTTAAGAAACATCTACTGAGTGCCTACATTGTGATTAACGCAACCTGATCCTGGAAATACAAATATGAATAAATATAGGCTCTGTCTTAGAAAATTTCAGAATCTAAGTGGGGAAGTAGAAAAGTGATAAAAAATTACATCTGTCAATGTCTTATGTGCAACTTACTATAATTTTACGTTTGCAGGAAAATACAGAAGCCATGGAGAAGCTTGAGTGCTAAAGGACCCAATAACTACATTTTCATTGAGATGGCTCTTTGGAAAATGACTTTTGCAGAGTTGAAGAACAAACCTTAAAAATTTCATCTATAAACACTACCCATCTCAAGTTCATTGAGAGGCTAGAATAGGCTGATGTATGTAAAACAGTAATAAGCTTGTTATTAATATGAAACATAGTTTTATTAATATTATTTAGATATAGAATTTTACTCAAGTAATCTGGTCATCAATTCAACACAATTTAGAACACATAATTTGGATAGAATTCAATTTTTGTATAAAATACACTGAGGAAGTAATCGATTCTTTTTTAAGTTCACAATCAAATACAATATGGACTTTCCTTCATAAATTTACTCAGATAATAAAACCGTCAAATGCTACAATCACTATCAGTTGGACCGACCTCAGATTATTAAAAGTTTGTAAAATACCCTAGATCAAAGTTGATACAAAGATTACTTTATTTCTTGATGAATATTAGTCTAATGAAAAGTGAACTGCTCTGCCCAGAAGAGACTGTGGGTTCATTTCAATGGTAATTAGTAATTAGAGCTTTAGAAAATTATGAAACCTTTATCATTTCAGGATCATCATGATTGTTGTTTTTTGTCTCAAACTTTTAAAGCGTTCTAAGGGGCAGATACAGTCCTGATATCGTGGTGGTTGTTTTTAAAGATGGTCATAATGATTCGTCTTTGAAGACTAGGTAGAATTGAATTCAATTCCCCACTCTGAAGCAATAGCCATTTTTCTTAAGACATTACTCATGTGACATAAATGCTCTAACAGCCCTTGGGTTGTTTGTTGAGCTATCCAAATGTCTCAAGTTTCAATTTAAAGAATAATTATGGATATGTATAGACCTCATATATCAAAATGGTGTTAGAAAAAATTTAATTTTGAGTAATCAATACATTCTGTTCCTCAGTCTGGTTATGTGGATTTTACTTCTAAGAACTTCATTTTTGCCTATATTTACATCACCATTTCTTTACCAGAATTGGTAAAAATTGATGACTCTTTTAAAACTTTGTTTGTTGGTTTTTTTTGTACGGCTGTGGAAAGAACTGAGGAAACTCAGTTATTGAATTCATCTAAAAAGCTTATCTAAGGCTATCTTATCTCACTTACTTATGTCTGTAAGTAAAATAATATACTCATATTTTCTGTTTTTCTTTCATTTCCAGATTTAAACTTGTGTAACTTCTCCCTAGAGATGAAAAATGTGTTGTAACGTACTACCACTAATAAAGCTTATGATTTTAAAGAAATAGAATAGTTTCAAATTAAAAAGAGAGAGAGAGCAGGAAGAACTCCATAGCCTCACTTTTTCTAAAGTAGAAAATGTTCTTATTTTATGAACTCACATAACTCCATATATTGATAGATATTTGTCCACTATCAATCATCATGAATATGCAAAGTGCACATTACTTTCTCATATTTTTTTATCACCGTGTTTTCGCTTTAGTAATATTTTTGTTAGTTGAAATTTACTGAGCTTTTTGAAGTTCAACTTAATATCAATATATGTTTCTCTCAGAAATTATGACGACTGCTAACAAAATTATAATATTTACTAGAAGGTATAATTTGATACAATGTTTCAGCAGTATAACAGAATTAATTATATTAGAATTTGACAACTTTCCCCAAACTGAATATATTTAAACAGGAGTTGGTTTAATTGAGTCAAGGAAGTGAAAGACTTTTACAATAAAAACTACAAATATTGATAAAATAACTTTAAAAAGACCCAAGTAAATGAAAGGGAATACTATGTTCATGATCGGAAAATGTAACATTGTTATGATGGCAAGACTCTTCAAACTGATCTACAGATTCAGTAAACTCTGTATCAAAATCCCAATGGCCTTTTTTTGAAGAATGGAAAAACTTACTTATCTTAAAATTCCTATGGAATTGCAAGGGGCCATGAACAGCAAAACATGATGAAAAATCATAATAGTTAGATGACTCACAATACACTGTTGTTTCAAAAGTTTTACAAATATACAATAATCAAAATGGTATGGTACTGCTGTAAAGATACAAATACAGATGAATGGAATAAAATTGAAAGTCCAGAAATAAACTCAGACACCTATGGTCAATTGATTTTCAACAAGAATGCTGAGACCTTCCAATGGGGAGAGAACAAATGGATATCTTATCTCAAATCACATATAAAAATTAACTCAAAAAGGATCAACAACCTAAATATAAAAGCCCGAAGTACAAAATTCTCAGAACAAATCAAAGGCAAATTATTGTGACCTTGTATTTGGCAATAGTTCCTTAAATATGACGTCAAGAACTGAAGTAACAGAAACAAAAGTTGGTAAGTTGCATACCACCAAATTTTTTTAAATCCTGTCTGTTGAACACTATCACGAGATTGAAAAGAAAACCCACAAAATGAGATAAAATATTTGCAAATCTTGTAACTGATAAGGTCTAGTATTTAGAATTTTAAAAGAAATATTACAATTCAATAACAAGACAAAATTATCAATTAAAAATGGGAAAAAGACTTGAACAGAGAGTTGTTGAAGGAAGACATACAAATGGCCAACAATCACATAGAAAGATGCTCAATATCATTAGTCTCTAGGGAAATGGAAATCAAAACCACAATGAGCAACCTCATGACACCTACTATGAAGGACAACATAAAACATAATTTAAAATATCAAGCATTGGCAAGTGTGATGGTTTGAGTGTGTTCCCCAGAATTATGTGTTGGACTTTTTGCCTCAGTGTGGCAGTGTTGGGGAAGTGGTGCCTTTAAGAGATGATTAGGTCATTTAAAGGAATTAATGCTGCTCTTGGGGAACTGGGTTATTTCTTGCAGAAGTGAGTGACTTCTCATTATGTTGGGACTGGATTAGTTACTGCAAGATTGAGTTGTTATAAAGTGAGGCCACTTATTCTTTTTTTGCCTTTTTTGCACATGCCTGCTTTCCCCTATGTTTTTCTGCCATAATACTACCCTCATCAGATGCAGCCATCTGATCTTAGACTTTCCAGCTCTAGAACGATGAGCTAAATAATTATCTTTCCTTTGTGAATTACGCAGTCGCAGATTTCTGTTATAGCAACAGAAAAGGGACTAAGACAACAAGGATGAAGATAAATTGGAAGGCTTATGGATTGCTTTTTAGAATGTAACATGATGCAGCACTGTGTAACACAGTTTGTTGGCTTGTCAATAAACTAAGCAGAGTTACCATATGGCCAAACAATTCCGCTCCTTGGCATATACCCTCCAAAACTGAAACCCTGTATTCAAACAAAAATGTGTACATGAATGTTCACAGCAGGTCTATTCATAATACCCTAAAGGAGAAATAGCCTGAATGTTCATCAACAGATGAACAAGCAAACATAATCTGGTATATCCACACAATAAAATAGTTTTCAGCTATAAATAGGACTGAAAAACTAATATATACTACAACATCGATGAGCTTTGAAAATATTTTGTCAAATAAAATAGACACAAAAGGACCAAAATTAGATGACTCTACTTACATAGAATCAACAAATGTATAAAGATAAAAAGTGGATTAGTGGTTGCCTCAGAAATGGGAGGAAGAAAGAATTAGGACTGATTCTTTAATTTGTAAGGCATTCCATTTGGGGAATGCCTTATAACTTTGTTATATCACCATTTGGGGTGATAAAAGTGTTTTGAAACTAGATAGTTATATGGTTGCACAACTTAGTAAATGTATAAAATTCCAATAAATGGTATTCTTTAGTACAGTTACAATGGTAAGTTTTATGTTACGTGCGTTTTGCCACAATAAATATACTTTGAGTAAAAAAAAGGAAGAGAACCAAAAACATTTATTGAGCAATCGGCAATCACATAGGAAGATCCTGTTAACCTGATGAGACAGAATTGTGTAAGATTCAGTCCTTGTACTTTCAAGTACATATGTACTGTGTAAACAAAGCACCTAAACAACTAGTATACAATATTTTACAGTTGACTATAGGTGATGATTAAAATGCCATAGAAACACTGAGAAAAGAATATTTGATCCTTCCTGCATGGAGGGAGGTATTGACTTAGGAAAACAACAAAAAGCATAACTTTGTTATAATAATGAATAATACATGCTATTCCTTCTCTTAGAAAGTAGGGGAAGGATAGTCTAGGAAAGAAGAACAAAGAAGAAAACAACAACAAACATGTACACAGGTACATACATGAAGCAAAAATGTATATTCAGTCAATTTAATAAAGTTGATTTTGTAATAAAAGCTAATAATTTTTTAAATGTTATTTAATGTTCTTCACAGCTCAAATAAAGAAGCACAATTATCATTGCTTTGATTTTATAAAAGTTGAAACTATGGATGAAAAGAGATTAGTATTTTTCTCCAAATCAGAAAGCTGGTAAGTGATGAAGCTGCAATTAACCAAGTCCAGAAAAATGTCAGAATCTGTTCTTTTAGCCATTATTCTCATTGTGTTTTGAAGCAGTTAGAATTAAGAATTGTGACACAAGCAAGGACTGGATGAAGAAGGCCTTTCATAATATGCTGTTATTTGGATTTTATTTTCTAGGAAATGAAAGCAATTGCACAGTTTTATGCATGGGAGTAATTGCATCTGAAGTTAGAAGTATTATACTGGCAACGATGTGGAGAAGATGAACTAATATATACTCAGAGGTTTTACACTGATCACCTGCCTGGGATGCCTTGGAGTTGTGAGAAGTAACAAAAGAGAAATGCAAATGAGGGAAAGGGAATTAGCATCTGAACAGACATGTTGTCCTTGCACTTTTTATTCAGCATGTTATTAATTCCAGTACTGATGCAGAGGGTTTAAGATTACATTTTCCATTTTATCACAAAGAACCAAAGGCTTAGAGATTTTAAATGACCTGTGTATGTCACATAGCTGGAAGGTCATGGATTTGGGACCAAATCTATGTCCTTTTACAACCAAAGTTTATTTCACTATTGTCTCAGTATGTCTGGGCTGCTTTAACAAAAAGAAATTTATTACTCACAGTTCCAGAATCTGACAAGTCCCAGATCAAGTCACCAGTGTCTGATGAGGGCCTGTTCCTCATAGATTGCACCTTCTATGTGTCCCCACAAAGCAGAAAGAAGAAAACAGGGTCCCTCAAGCCTTTTTCTTAAGGATACTAATTCCATTCATGAGGACAGAGACCTTATGAGCTACACACCTCCTAAAAACCCTACCTTTTAATATCACCACAGTGGGAATTAGTTTCAACATGAATTTCGGAGGAGCACAAACATTTAAACCATTGCAACTATGTCATGACATCGAAACAATTTTCTAATCTTATAAAAGGTGCTAAACCTTGCAAAACTAGTGAGAAGAATGCAAAAACGCTGCATGTGTGTGTTTGACAAACTTTAACGAGTATTCCATTATAGAAATACCCTCCAGGTTGACAGCAATAAGAACTTTCTTCTATTGCTCTCTTTTGACTTGATTTAGTCCAGTTGGCTTTATCATTTTAATGTCTCTGCTGCTGTAACTGTGAAGTGGCTGCTCTGTTTTCACACTTATCCATGCAAGCTTTCCCTGGTCTTTTTAGCTCAAGTGAAAAATCGTTCATTTCTTTTTCTACTAAACCACCAACTAAAATGTACTCTATTTATTAAAAAATTTTATCATCATAAGAAAAAAATGAATTTGAGTCATCAATAAATGCATACTTATTATTTCCATCCTTTAGCCAGATGAAAAAGGAAAATTAATGTTTACCACTCTCAAGTTAGTGACTAATACAGGTTGAAGACAAACAGGCATACAATAAAAAACACCATATTCCAAAAGGGAAGTTAGCAAATGGAATATCTCATACACACACACACACACACACACACACACACACACACACACATATATGTATTTAAATAACATATTCATTTACCATTTTAAGGGTAAGAATATTAAGTAGGAAATAATACATTTTGACTAGAAAAAGAAAAACATGATGAATACTTAAAACTCGTAATGAAGCATCTCTACAGATTCCTGGGTTAACCTCCAGGTATCCTGACTTGGTAGGTTTAGGATTATACCCGGGGATCTGCATCTTTCATAAGCTCCTAAGTGATTCTTGTTCACCAAATATGTTGAAAACCACTGACCTACTTAGTGTAATAACCTGAGAAACAGAACATTTGGAGTGCTTCTTAATGTGATCTATCTCTTCTTAGATCACTGCCATTCAGATGTCTAGTTCTGATTGTTTGAAAATGGTGCTATTGTGCACTTAGGTACAGATATAATGCTCATGAAAATGAACAAGTACTTGAGGGTATTTGAAAAATATAATCTTGGGGCTTACAGAAAGATGGAAAGGTAAATAGGTTGCAGTATCACAAGTGAAATCAGCTGTAGATAATAGCTTTCTCCATCTGTGGATAATAGCAGAAAATAGACTTGAAAAGAATCAAAGAAAATAGAGATGGAATACATATTCATTTTAAAATGTAGCTGGATGATTTATTCAACATTAGCATTGTTTTTTTAATCTTTCCAAAGGTAAAAAAGAACCTGAGTGAAAAAATATTTTAGGCTGATTTAATATAAAATTCATTGAAATAGGATTTGGAAGGTACAGGTTAGAATCTCAAATAAACAATGAATTTATCCTATTACTTGTAGTCCATAGATCCTCTTCATTGATCATGCATCTGCTGGGTTTATATGTAACATATTCTTCACCACCTCAAGCTGTCTAATATCCATGGATGGGTTTACATCCTCATGAGTCCTTTCCCTTCTTGGGTACTTTTGTAGAAGATACAGTTTGAGGCTACTAAGGAATCATACTCTTGCAAAGGCCTCACTAAAGCCTGCACAGAATAATTAATCTTAGTAGTGGGTTGTCATTAAAGAGGCTAATTCTGACATAGGAAAGAGATCTGAGGAGCTACTCAAGAGATGAAAGCAAAACTGGTAGAATTATAGAAACATTTTTCTGGGAAGGGTTTTGATGTTGTTGTATCTTGAATATCTTTTAGCTCAAGAACATTTTTCATAAATTATGTACTGTCTAAAAAGAAAATTATGATTGCTTAGGTTAAGGTAACATATGTACATTGATATCACTTGTGAAATTGATTACACTAAAAATATATAGGGTGAACTGAATTCTCTGTGAGGCCTATAAGCCATGATAGGTTGAGAAAAACACTGGAACCAATATTTTCTTTTTTAAAAAATTTATTATACCTTAAGTTCTGGGATACATGTGCAGAATCCAGTAATGGGATTGCTGGGTCAAATGGTATTTCTAGTTCTAGATCCTTGAGGAATCACCATACTGTCTTCCACAAGGGTTGAACTAATTTTCACTCCCACCAACAGTGTAAAAGCATTCCTATTTCTCCACATCCTCTCCAGCATCTGTTGTTTCTTCACTTTTTAATGATTGCATTCTAACTGGTGTCAGATGTTATCTCATTGTGGTTTTGATTAGCATTTCTCTAATGACCAGTGATGATGAGCTTTTTTTCATATATTTGTTGGCCTCATAAATGTCTGCTTTTGAGAAGTGTCTGTTCATATCCTTTGCCCACTTTTTGATGGGGTTTGTTTTTGTTTTTGTTTTTATTTTGTTTTTGTAAATTTGTTTAATTTCCTTGTAAACTCTGGATACTAGACCTTTTTCATATGGATAGATTGCAAAAATTTTCTCCCATTCTGTAGGTTGCCTGTTCACTCTGATGATAGTTTCTTTTGCTGTGCAGAAGCTCTTTAGTTTAATTAGGTCCCATTTGTCAATTTTGGCTTTTCTTGCAATTGCTTTTGGTGTTTTAGTCATGAAGGCTTTGCCCATCCTATGTCCTGAATGGTATTGCCTAAGTTTTCTTCTAGGGTTTTTATGGTTTTAGTGTTACATTTAAGTCTTTAATCCATCTTGAGTTAATTTTTGTATAAGGTGTGAAGAAGGGGTCCAGTTTCAGTTTTCCGCATATGGCTAGCCACTTTTTCCAGCACCATTTATTAAATAAGGAATCCTTTCCCCATTGCTTGTTTTTGTCAGGTTTGTTGAAGATCAGATGGTTGTAGATGTGTGGCATTATTTCTGAGGCCTCTGTTCTGTTTCACTGGTCTGCATATCTATTTTGGTATGAATACCATGCTGTTTTGGTGACTGTAGCCTTGTAATATAGTTTGAAGTCAGGTAGCATGATGCCTCCAGCTTTGTTCTTTTTGCTTAGGATAGTCTTGGCTATACAGGCTCTTTCTGGCTCCATATGACATTTAAAGTAGTTTTTTCTAGTTCTGTGAAGAAAGTCAATGGTAGCTTGGTGGGAATAGCATTGAATCTATAAATTACTTTGGGCAGTATGGCCATTTTCACAATATTGATTCTTCCTATCCATGAGCATGGAATGTTTTTCTATTTGTTTGTGTCCTCTCTTATTACACTGAGCAGTGGTTTGTAGTTCTCCTTGAAGAGGTCCTTCACATCCCTTGTTAGTTGGATTCCTAGGTATTTTATTCTCTTTGTAGCAATTGTGAATGGGATTTCACTCATGATTTGGTTCTCTGTCTACTATTGGTGTATAGAAATGCTTGTGATTTTTGCATGTTGATTTTTGTATCCTGAGATTTTGCTGAAGTTGCTTATCAGTTTAAGCAGTTTTGGAGCTGAGACCATGGGGTTTTCTAAACATACAATCATGTCATCTGCAAAGAGAGACTATTTGCCTTCCTTTCTTTCTCTCTGAGTACCCTTTATCTCTTCCTCTTGACTGATTGCCCTGGCCAGAACTTCCAATACTATGCTGAATAGAAGTGGTGAGAGAGGGTATCCTTGTCTTGTGCTGGTTTTCAAAGGGAATGCTTCCAGCTTTTGCCCATTCACTATGATATTGGCTATGGGTTTGTCATAAATAGCTCTTATTATTTTGAGATATGTTCCATCCGTACGAAGTTTATTGACTGTTTTTAGCATGACGGGGTGTTGAATTTATTAAAGGCCTTTTCTGCGTCTATTGAGATAATCATGTGGTTTTTGTTATTGGGAACCAATATTTTCTAAGGATTCTCCAGACCTAATGTTTGAGAATCTGTGATTCTAGAATTTGGTGATATGATAAATGCTTCAAGTGTTGCTTTTTATATTATTGCAACAATTATCGTGCTATTTCTTTTGGCACAGAGAATTCTCAAAATGGTTTCATAGGTGGAGTGTAGGTAAACTGTTTTGTAAAATTGCACAATTAAATTTGAAATATCAAAATTTGTTGTTGGACTGTTTTAGCTCAAGATGTAGAAAAGTGGAAAGAGTAGCACCCCCTACTCTTCCAACAACAAAAACCTAGAAAAAGTGCATATGAATGACTTCTACGGAATTCACTGGAGAACTAAGGTCACAGGGAAACAATTGGCCGAAAATGTGGGGAGAGACCATTGGCGCACTTAGAAACAAGTCTTAGGGCAGACACTGTCAGACAGCACACAGTCCAGTAAGAAGACTCGGCTGAAATTTTTAATAAATTGTTCAAGGCAACAGTGCGGGCTACTAAAGGAGGACGGGGCTCCTGAGGACCACAGTCTTCAGGGTGTTTCCTCCCAGTTGCAGCCTTTTCTTGCATAAACCCTTGAAGGCATGCATGCGAAGATTAGGGTAAATTTAAGAAAGCTTCCATGTTGTTGGCTGGGGAAAGGTAATAGTAAGCAAGGACAAAATTCCTCCCAGATGCTACTTTGTCACCTCTCTGAAACAACGAAAGCTTTAATCTTCAGGGAAAAAGTAGTAAATACCGACATCTTAGAGACTTTTGAAAACCCATTGAAGTTTCAAGAAGGAAATAGGAGGGAAGAGCTGCACCTCAGGGAGTAGAGCATAAATACATGCCTGTCCTAGCCCTGGTGCTGATGAACAGGCAGGAATATTTATGAATGTCACAATTTCAGAGCCGGGTTCACAAGATCTGCCTAAGATTTGGACATAGTAAGAGTATTGCAGAAAAGCACCTCCTTCAGTCCGACCATTGCTGTAACAAGGCTTTGAGTAGAAATTGCCACGGGAGCCAGCTAGGAGAGTGCTGAGAAAGCAGATGCTTCCCGGACCAGTGTGGAGGGAAGACACAAGCCCAGGCAGAGATATAGTATATCCAGAATTCTGAGGAAAACTAGCCCACACTCCAGTATGGGCATCAGTGAAACTGAAATGGGAAAACAATAGAAAAAAAAAATGAGTAACTTCAGAAGCTGCTTCCTAGAAAAGATCAATAATGGTGATGAACTTCTACTCAGACTGACCAAAGAAAAACAGATCAACTAGAAAATGTTACTATCAGCAATTAAAGAAAGGACATTATTAGTGAGCACATGGATGTGAAAAGGACAACAAGGAAATGCTACAAATATACAGTGAAAAATTTGACATCTATTTCTATTGAGATTAATTTGACCAGTTCTTTCAATGACATAAACTATTGTCACTTACTTAAGAGAAAATATATAGCATGAATTCTCCTACATCAATTAACAAAATTTAATTTTTTTGCATATACCATTGAAAACTATAGACCTAATTGGTTTTCTTTGTAAATTCTAGTAAATATTTAATTTTTAAAAATGCCAGTTTTATACAACCACATCAAGGAAATAGTTCAAGAAGGAACACATCAAACTTTTTTATGAGACCAGTATTACCATAATTTGAAAACCAGATAAAGATAATGCAAGAAAATGCAACTGCAGACTAATAATCCTTATTAAGATTATTTCAAATATCCTCAACAAAATATTAGCAAATTCATTTAGTAATATATACAAATAGTAGTACATTAAGACCAAGAGGGGTTGTACCTGGAAAGGAATTCAAGGCTACCTCAACATCTGAAAGTCACTCAATATAATTCATCATGTAAACAGACTAAATAAAAACAGAATTGTATCAATAGGTACAAATAAAACATATGCCAAAATTCATATCATTCGTGTTAAAAATTATCAGCAAGAGGATTCTGGAAGGATGATGGAGTGGGAAGCACCAAAAATCTGTAAGAAAAATTAATCAGCTATCAAAAAACTTCCTGAAAAAGAGAAGTTCTGGACCTAATGATGTCACTGGTGAATTATGTCAGATATTTAAAGGAGAACTACACCAACTCTTCTCAACATTTTCCAAAAAATTGGAGATGAGAGAACACTTTCTAAATAATTCTAAGGCCACCAATATCTTGACACTAAAACCAGAAAATGACACTATAAGAAAAGAAAACTACAGACCAATATCTTTATGAAAATAAATGCAAAAATCCACAACAAAATTCTAACAAACTGAATTTAGCACCATATTAAAAGAATTAAACACCATTACAACATGACATTTATTTGTGAAATGCAAAGATGGTGCAACATATGAAAATTGAACAATGTAATGCACCACATTAATAGAATAAAGGGGAAACTAACACATGATTATCTCAATTGATATAGAAAAAATGTGTCAAAATTCAACCTTCTTTCATAATGAAAACACTCAATAAACAAAAAAAGAAGGAAACTAGTTTAACATATTAAAAGTCATATATAAAAAATCCACAGTAAACATCATGCTCAATGGCAAAAAACTGAACATTTTTTTTCTTCAAGATCAGGGGCAAGGCAAAGATGCCCATTTTTAGCACTTCTATTCTACATAGTACTGAAAGTTCTATCCAGGTAAATTAGGCACTGAAATTAAATAAAAGGGAAAAAGTAAAATTATCTTTTTTGCAGATAACATGGTATTATAGATAGAAAACCCTAAATATTTCACAAAAAAGTGTTAGAACTAAGAAATTAATTCAGTAAAGTGTTATGATACAAAGTCAACACACAAAAATCATTTGCATTTTTATGCACTAACAATGAATAAAGTGAAAAGAAAATTACAAACATGATTCCATTACAGTAGCATCAAAAAGAATAAAATAGCTAGGAATTAAGGATATGAATGTCTTATACAATGAAAATTGTAAAACATTGCTGAAAAAAATTAAACACATGAAGAAATGGAAAAATACATCTCATGTTAATGAACTAGAAAACTTAGTATTGCTAAGATGTCAATACCCAAAGCATCTATAATGCAACCTTTATCAAAATCTCAATGATTTTTCCCCATGCAAATAGAAAAATTTATCCTAAAATTCATATGGAATCTTAAAAGACCCAGAATCACCAAAACAATATTGAGAACAAAGAACAAAACTGGTGGTTTCACAATTTCTGATTTCAAAATATGTTACAATGCTACGATACTTAAAACAGTATGATACTAGAATTTGAAAGGAGAGAGGCAGAGCAAGATGGTCTAATGGAAGCCTCTAGCAATTGTTCTCCTCACAGGAGCACCAAATTGAGCAACTATTCACATCAAAAACATCTTCAAAGAAAACAAAACCACATGTGCAATCACAATACCTGGTTTTAACATTATATCAAGGAAACAGTCACTGAAGAGGGTAGGAAAGGCAGTTTCAATTTGCCCACACCGCCTCTGTCCCATAATCTGGCAGCAGCAGTGTGACACAGAGAGAGAATCTGAGAACTAGGGGAGAGAAAACACAGTGATTGTGGGACTTGCATTGGAATTCAGTGCTGTTCTGTCACAATGGAAAGCAACATGGGGCAGAATTAAGCTGACACCCATAGGGGGAACATTTAGACCAGCCCTAGCCAGAGGTGAATTGTATATCCTAGTGATGGGAACCTGAGTTCCAGAAAGGCCTACCACCACAGCCTAAAGTGTTCTCAACTTGAAACTGAATAAACTTGTCTAGGCCACAAGGACTGAAATTCCTTGGCAAGTGCTAGTGCTGTGCTAGGCTTGGAACCAGTGGACTTGGAGTGCATGTGACCTAGTCAGACACCAGCTGGGACAGCCAAGGAAGTGCTTGCTTTACCACTCTCTTAACCCCAGCCAGCAAAGCTCACAGCTTCAAAAGAGATCCTTTCTTCTTCTTGAGGAAAGGAAAGGTGAGAGTAAAGAGGACTTTGTCTTGTGATTTAGATACAGGCTCAGCCACAGTAGAATAGGGCACCAGACAGAGTCCTCAGGCCCCTATTTCAGGCCCTAGCTCCAGGATGAAATTTCCACACACCATGGGCCAGAAGAAGACCTGCAGACTTGAAGGGAAAGACCCAGTCCTGGCAGGATTCATCACCTGCTGACTAAAGAGCCCTTGGGCCCTGAATATTCAGCAGTAGTAGTCAGGCAGTACTCACTACATGCTTTGAGTAAGACTCAGAGCTGTGATAGCTTCAGGTGTGACCCAGCACACTCCCTACAGGGAAAGACTCCTTATGCTTGGGCAAAGGAGAGAGAAGTGTAAAGGGTACTTTGTCTTGCAGATTGGGTACCAGCTTGACCACAGTGAGGTAGAGCACCAAGTGGGCTCCTGGGGTCCCTGATTCTTGATCTTGGCTCATAGATGGCATTTCTGGAATTGCCCTGGGCCACAGGGGAGCCCACTGGCCTAAAGGGAAAGACCCAGGTCTGGCATCATTCACAAGCTGACTGAACGGCCTTCAGACCTTAAGTGAACTTTGGAAATAGCCAATAGCCAGACAGTACTCACCATGAGCCTGGGGTGATGTTGGCCACAGGGATAGATTCCTGTGCTTGCATAAGGACTGAAAGAAAGGGAAGGGAGAGTGGGAAGGACTTCTTCTTGTGGCTTGGGTGCCAGCTCAGCCACAGTAGAATAAAACCCAGGTAGAGTCCTAAGGTTCCAAACTCCAGTCTTGGCTTCTGGATGGCATCTCTGGACCTGCCTGGGACTGAGGGATATATGTTTCCCTGAAGAGAAGAATACAAGGCTGGCTGGATTTGCCACCTCTGATTGTAGAGCTATTGAGCCTTGAGTGAAGATGAACTGTAGCCAGGCAGTGGTCACTGTGGGTCTTGGGCAAGATTCAGCCTATGTGGGCATCAGGTATGACCCAGCATAGTCCCAGTGGAGGTGGCCACAGGGTCCTACTGTTATTCCTCCCCCAGTTCCAAGAACATACATTGGAAAAAGGAGGGTCTCTTCAATTAATGGTGCTGGGAAAACTGGATATCCATAAGCAAAATAATGAAATTAGACTCATATCACTCACCACATACAAAAATTAAATCAAAATGGATTAAAGAATTAAATCTAAGACCTGAAACTATAAAACTACTACAAGAAAACTTTGGGGCAACTCTTCAGGACATTGGTCTAGGCAAAGATTCGTTGAGCAATACTCCACAGGCACAGGCAACCAAAGCACAAATGGACAAATGAGATCACTTCAAGTTAAAAAGCTTCTGCACAGCAAAGGAAACAATCAACAAAGTGAAGAGACAACCCACGGAATGGGGGAAAAATATTTGCAAACTCTCAGTCTGACAGAAGTTAATCACGAGAATATATTAGGAGCTCAAAAAGTCTATAGAAAAAAGTCTAACAATCCAATTAAAAATGGGCAAAATACATACAGAGATATCTCTCAAAAGAAGACATACAAATGGCCAACAAGTGTATGACAAGGTGCTCAACATCATTGATCATCAGGGAAATGTAAATCAAAACTACCTTGAGATTATCATCTCACCCTCGTTAAAACGGCTTATATCCAAATGACAGGCAATAAAAAATGCTGGGGAGAATATGGGAAAAAGGGAACCCTTATACACTTTTCATGGGAATATAAAATAATGCAACCATTATGGAGAACAGTTTAAATGTTCCTCAAAAAACTAAAAGTAGAGATACCATATGATCCAGAAATCCCACTGCTAGTTACATACCCAAAAGAAAGGAAATCAGTATATCAAAGAGATACATGCACTCACATGTTTATTGTAGCATTATTCACAATAGCCACAATCTGGAAGCAACCTAAGTGTCTGTCAACAGATGAAAGGATAAAGAAAATATAGTAATGTATACAGTGGAGTAATATTCAGCCATAAAAAAGAATGAGATCCTGTCATCTGCAAAAACATGGATGGAACTGGAGGATGTTATGTTAAGCAAAATAAGCCAGGCACAAAAAGACAAACTTCAAATGTTCTCATTATTTGTGGAAAGGCACTAAAAATTAAAACAATTGAACTCATGAAGATGGAAAATAGATGATGGTTACCAGAGGCTGGGAAGGGTAGAGGAAGGGGGTCAGGGGGAAGGCTGAGAGTGATTAATGGATACAAAAATACAGTTACAATGAATGAGATCTAGTATTTAATAGCACAATAGGGTTATTACAATCAATAGTAATTTATTGTATATTTTAAAGTCACTAAACGATTATAAATGGATTGTTTGCAGCACAAAGAAAGGATCAATGCTTGAGGTGATGGATACGCCAGTTACCCTGATGTGATCATTATGCATTGTATGCCTGTATCAAAATATCTCACATACCCAAAATACATACACCTACTATGTACCCACAGAAAATAAAATTACAAATAAAAATAAATAGAAAAATAAAATAAATTGTTGAATTTATTTGAAAAAATAGTATGGTACTGGCATACAGACAGACCTATAGATTGATAGAACAGAGTAAAATATGCAAACAAATGCACTTTAGCACATACCTTACATTTATACATAAATAAAACATACAATATAGAATAGTAAAATTTTATAAGGAAACAGGAAAAAATCTGTGAAACCTTAGATTTGTTGATTAGTTATTAGATAAAGCACTGTAATCTTGACCAATAAAAATGTTTAAAGATTAATAAATTGTACTAACTCAAAATTTAAAATTTGCTCTTTGAATTGCATTATAAAGGAAAGAAGAAGACAAGCCGCAGACTGTCAGAAAATGCTTTAGAATCACATACCTAGTAAAGGATTTCTATTCATAAGATTTACTAAATCCTAAAACTCAACAATAAGAAAACATATAACTCTATCAAAGTATAGGGAAAGATCTGTTTAGATCTTTCACCAAAAAAGATACATAAAGGGCAAATAAACATATAAAAACAAATTTCACATATTTTGTCATTAGGAAAATGCAAATTAAAACAATGAGATATTGATATACATGTATTAGAATCTAAAATTCCAAAAAAAAAACCTGACAGTACTATTTGCTAATTAAGTTGCAGAGCAACAGAAACTCTCATTCATTGCAGAAGGCAATGCAAAATTATACAGCCACTTTGGAAAATACCAAGGCAGCTTCTTATTAAATTAAACGTAAATTTGTTAGTCAAAATTGCAATTCTACTCTTAGGTATTTACACAGGGAATGTAAAGCTTATGTTTACATAAAACCTTCATGATAGATAGATAGATAGATAGATAGATAGATAGATAGATAGATGATAGATAGATAGATAGATAGATAGATGATAGATAGATAGATAGATAGATAGATAGATAGATAGATAGACAGATGATAGAGATGTAGCAGCTGCTTTCTTCACAATTGTCAAAAACTGGATGAAATCAAGATGGCCAGCAACAAGTTAAGGAAAAAAACAAACTATGATATATGCAAGCAATGGAATATTATTCAGAGATAATAAGGAAAAAGCTATTAATTTATGCAAGAACACAGATGAATCTTAAATGCATTTTGCTGAGTGCAAGAATACAGACATTTATGTATTATACTAGGAGAGACAAAACTATAGGGAAGGAAGACAGATAGTGATTGCACTAGTTCAGAAGACAGAAGAATAGTTGACAACAAAGAGAAGACACAGAGAAAATTTTACAGTGATGAAACATTCTGTATGCTACTAGAGTGAGGGATCTGTGGGTTCATGGATTTGTCCAAACACAAAGAACTGTATGACATTAAAACTGAATTTTACTGTATGCAAATACAAACAAATCAAGATTTAGGGGGGAACTAAGAATAAAATTCAGCCTGGTATAAATTAATAATCCACATTGTAACATTACATTGTATTGCAAATGTATGATATAACTGCTCTGAAGTGGTTGGGTAAAAAAATTGACCGCAATAACTTGGAAAGTTTGTTTTGATACTATAAGACTAAGTAATTTTTTTTAAAAAGGCATACAAACACTGACAAACACTGTACTATTGTTGGTAAATGTGTCCTTCATAGGATATATTAGCAATTTTGAAGCTACTTCATAATATTTGGGTTAAAATTAAATAAATATAGTTAATGAGAGTTGGGTCACTCACTGACAGAAAATTTACAAACAAACAAGGAAAAAATATTAAAATGAACCATATGGTGCTAGATTAGAATTAGATATGTAATATTGGCTTATGTTTATTTTACTATATATACAAATAGAAAGTTAAGCAAGTAAATATAGTATGAATGTATGCATGAGTTAGTGTACATACATATATTTTCTAACTCTGTCTTCTGTGAGAGCCCAGAAGGAGTGACACTCTATTTGCAATGAGCACACCTAATGCTCAG
The DNA here is from genome assembly GCF_000001405.40 of Homo sapiens. Taxonomy (NCBI): domain Eukaryota; kingdom Metazoa; phylum Chordata; class Mammalia; order Primates; family Hominidae; genus Homo; species Homo sapiens. The sequence continues at coordinate 4,565,069 of NC_000002.12, read as the reverse complement.
ATGTTGGTTTCTGAATACCATTCTCCAATAAAAGGTAACCAAGGGTTCCTTGTGGAAAAGACATTAAAGATCTGGGACATGCAAAATACAAGATAAGCTGGACTATCTTTTCAGTTCACAAAGTGAGGAAGGGCCAAAAAGAGGAAATGTCAAAAGGACATAAAAGACAGCCTGATAGACTCAATCACAAAGCTGGAACAATTTGTGCAGAATTAGTAAGAATATCATATTTGGTTATAAATCTGAAAATAAAATAATTATCTAGGAACTCAAACTGAATAAAATGCATGTTTGAGGCCAGATACAGTGGCTCATACCTATAATCCCAACACTTTGGGAGGCCAAAGTGGGAGGATCACTTGAGGCCAGTAATTTGAGAACAACTTAGATGACAACATGAGACCCCATTTCTACTAAAAACAAAATTATTAGCTGGGTGTGGTTGCACACAACTGTAGTCACAGCTTCCCTGGAGGCTGAGCCAAGAAACTCTCTTGAACCCAGGAGGTGGAGGCTACAGTGAGCTTTGAGCTATGCCCACACCACTGCACCCCAGCCTGGACAACAGAGTAAGACCCTGTCTTTAAAAAAATGCATGCTGGAATAATTAAATGAATGAACAAGAAAGGACAGTTATTTTTACAGAATTCTAGTTAATAAATGTAGACAAAATGAGGAAAAAAGACGATCATCCTTAAAACAGCATGGTTAATAATTTTTAAATTTTTTTTGTTTCCATCGGTTTTTGAGAAACAGGTAGTATTTGGTTACATGAGTAAGTTCCTTAGAGGTGATTTGTGAGATTTTGGAATACCCACCACCCAAGCAGTATAGACTGAACACGATTTGTAGTCTTTTATCCCTTACTCCCCTCCCACTCTTTCCCCTGAGTCTCCAAAGTCCATTGTGTGATTCTTATGCCTTTGCATCCTCATAACTTAACTCCCACTTATGACTGAGAACATATGATGTTTTGTTTTCCATTCCTGAGTTACTTCACTTAGAAAAATAGTCTCCAGTTCCATCCAGGTTGCTGCAAATGCCATTATTTTGTTCCTTTTTATGGCTAAGTAGTATTCCATCATATATATACAAATATATATATATATATATATATACACACAAATATACAAATATATATATAAATCACAATTTATCCATTCATTGATTGATGGGCGTTTTGGACAGTTGTATATTTTTGGAATTGCAAATTGTTCTGCTATAAACATGCATGTGCAAGTATCTTTTTCATATAATGACTTCTTTTCATCTGGGTAGATACCCAGTAGTGGGATTGCTGGATCAAATGGTAGTTCTACTTTTAGTTCTTTAAGGAATCTCCATACTGTTTTCCATAATGATTGTACTAGTTTACATTCCCACCAGTAGTGTAGTGTTCCTTTTCCCTGCATCCACACCAACATCTATTAATTTTTTATTTTTTAATTATGGCCATTCTTGCAGGAGTAAGGTGGTATTGCATTGTGGTTTTGATTTGCATTTCCCTGATCATTAGTGATGTTGAACATTTTTTCATATGTTTGTTGGCCATTTGTATATCTTCTTTTGAGAATTGTCTATTCATTTCCTTAGCCCATTTTTTGATGGGATTTTTTTTCTTGCTAATTTGTTTGAGTTCCTTCTAAATTCTGGATATTAGTTTTTTGTTGGATGTATAGATTGTGAAGATTTTATCTCACTCTGTGGGTTGTCTGTTTACTCTGCTGACTGTTCCATTCCTGTGCAGAAGCTCTTCAGTTTAATTAAGCCCCACTTATGTACCTTTGTTTTTGTTGCATTTGTTTTGAGTTCTTGGTCATGAAGTCTTTGCCTAAGCCAATGCCTAGAAAGGTTTTTCCAATGTAACCATGGTTATTAATTATCACAGGCAAAATTCTTTAATGAATGCTAAAACTAATGGACAAAACTTTAAGGAGAGACAATATTTTCATAGCCACAGAATATCTCCTCCTAAATATTATTTATACTAATTGCTGCTACGGTTTTAGCACATCTTCAGATGTTTTGATGATTATTTTTCTTTTTTTTCTTTTTTTTTTTTTTTTTTTTTTTTTTTTTGAGACGGAGTCTCGCTCTGTCGCCCAGGCTGGAGTGCAGTGGCGGGATCTCGGCTCACTGCAAGCTCCGCCTCCCGGGTTCACGCCATTCTCCTGCCTCAGCCTCCCGAGTAGCTGGGACTACAGGCGCCCGCTACCACGCCCGGCTAATTTTTTGTATTTTTTTTAGTAGAGACGGGGTTTCACCGTGTTAGCCAGGATGGTCTCGATCTCCTGACCTCGTGATCCGCCCGCCTCGGCCTCCCAAAGTGCTGGGATTACAGGCGTGAGCCACCGCGCCCGGCCGATGATTATTTTTCTGTAGGGTAGAATTCAATTTACCCTTTATCGGGTATGGACTACACTTGTAGTGACACACTGTTAACACATACAGTGTGAAAAGGAAAAAAAGAAGTAAATTTACAGTGCAAAAACTAGGCAGATAACCACTTTAGCCAAGTAATGAAGGTCATCAGAAGTAAATCACGTTGACGTCAAATGCCATTCTTATGATTTGATGAGTAACATTCATCACCTATGTGTTCATGTGATCTGTGGCAATCTCCTTCCAAGCCCATGACTTCAGTCTAATTATGAGAAAACATGAGACCCACCCAATTTAAGTGACAGTCTACAAACAACTAAGTAGTATTCTACAAAATCGTAAAGATCAAAGAAGACAAGGAAAAATGACAAACTTTTACAGATTGGATGGATTTAAGGACATATGATAAGTACTCACAATCTGAGCTCCTGAATTGAATCTTGAAACTGAAAAGAATATTAGTGCAAAAAATGAGGAAATTTGATTAAACCAAAGATTAGTTGATATTATTGTGCCAGTGTTTATTTCTTAATTATATTCAATGTTAGCATGAGGGCAGTTTGAGTGAAGGGCATGTAGAAACTCTCTCTACTATCCTTGCTACTTTTCTGTAAATGTAATACATTCCAAAAATAAAAATACTGATATCAAAACAACTAAATTTCATAAATGTGTAATTATTCATTTATTCACTTATTCATTATTTTTATTATTTATAAGGGTTTAAAAATGTTTATTATATACAAGGTACTTACTCATGTACTGCGTTCCTCTGTGTCCAGCAGTAGAATATGCAAAGAGAAAATAACCATACCATCGAGAGAATTAGCATAGAAGCAAATGTTTTGGAAGAATAGAAAGAGCTGTTTCTTTGAGATCTCTGAAGTCACATGATTGTTGATGGATTAGATGTTTATGTGGGAGGAGGAGCAGCAGAAGGATTAGCTAAAGATTACCTCCACATTTGTAGCACCTCTTTGTGATATTACCTTTAGGTAATTACCCATTTGATAAGTTAGATGTTATTTCCAATAAACTAAATTTTTCTATCGTATTTTTGTTTATCTTTTTCTTTCCCAGTCAACGTTATAAACCTTACTTTGGATATAGACCTTGGATAAATTTGGAAATGCAAATGTAGGAGATAATTGAGCAGTCATTTCCTTCTTTGGAGACATAATTCCTCCATTTCTACTTAAAGAAATGTTACTAGAGGTGCAGTCAGTCTCATTCTTATTAACTTGTTTTCACTACAGCCAGTTCCCCCTGGGGACCCTGCTTTCATTTCAGTGGCTAAATCAGTGCTGTTTTCTCTCCCTCACCCAGCACATCTGCCATGCATTAAAACACTTAAGACTCCATATTTCTTAAAAATAAGTGTGCTTTCAACAATATGAGGTAGACCTGAGCTATGATAGCATCCTGTTAGTTTTGATTTAAAAAGAATATACATATATATGATATGTGTATGTATGAAATGTTATAAATATATAAAATATAAAAAATTACCCCCTCACACACATGCAATGAAGTTTAAGCTCCAGTGAACACTGTTGGTTGAGATTAAATGTTTTTCAAATGCTAAATTCAGTTGCTTTGAAGTCTTTCTGGAGTAGGTGTGCTTTGAAATAGACACATCTGCCTTGAATGAAAATAAATTGAAGATCAACCACATTCTACCAGCGGAAACAATTTGAAGTTGCTCTGAAAACAATTTCTTGCTGGACAGCTTATTCTCCTTCAAGGCAATCTATGACTTTCTTAGGCATCTTGCTCACGCTTCAATTCTTCAACAATATATGCTGGACTTGCCTCAGAGCTCTAGCTTTGAAATACATCAAGCCAAAAATGGCTGAGCAAATGTGCATCACCAGACTGCAGGGTTTTAAAGAGGTGTCAGCAACCATGAATTTCAAATCCAACCAACTGGCAAAATGATTCCCCCAGATATTGTGGGGTTTTGCATTTGTGAAGAGTATCTCCGAAGGTTGAATTATCTAATGTTGTCCACATTTTTACCTGAAAATTGAGGACAGAGTGTATCAAATTGAAAAAAAAATATGTGAACATTACTTATGCCTTGGGGATGTAAGAAATTAACCTGAGTGGGAAGAAAAGCATGTGGAAAGAAGAATAATTGTAAATAGTTATCTCTACCACATTCCTCTCTACCGTTAGCATCTCTTCCTGGTTTGATCTAGCGTTTCTAAAGCACACACCTGGAAAGTCTGTTAATCCTTGGGCTGATTAAAATATTTAAAGTCCTTCATTTTTAATGAATAAAGTTGCAATTTACTTCACTTATTATTCTAAGGCAATTTAGAAAAGTCATCTTCCACTTTACGTTGGTACTTTCTCACATTTAGTCCTAAATGTAAAGATATAAAGACATATACCTGAATGATACAGTTGAAGGCAAAATGCAGTGATAGAACAAGAATGGGACACATGGGCATAAACATATACTTCTAGGCATGAACCCAAGTGCACTCTCTATTAACCGTATGTTAAGCCCAATACTCAGCTTCTCGTAACTTCAGCTATTATACCTGGAAATTGAATATAATTATGTATAGTAATCTTGATGGTGGTTGAGTTGGTTGAGCGATCTAATGCAAACCACCTGTTACATAAAGAGGATATTTAATAGGATGGTTCAGAGTGTAGGATCTTTAGTGAGATGCCTGAGTTTAATGCCCACTAACCATTTACGAGGTGTGGGTCTTAGACTTATTCTCCCTTAGTTTCTAGATCTGCAGGATGGGGATAGTTGTAAATACAGAGTGTTCATATCATAGTACTGATAAGGGGCTTAAGTGAGGATGTGTGTGTGTGTGCGTGCATGTGTGTGTGTGTGTAATACATCTTAGGATAGGACCTGGCACATAGTAGGCATTAAACAGAAATGTGATATTAGATTTATTAATAACTGATTTTTTTCTGAGACGGAGTCTTGCTCTGTTGCCCAGGCTGGAGTGCCGTGGCTTGATCTCGGTTCATTACAATCTATGCCTCCCGGGTTCAAGCAATTCTCCTGCTTCAGCCTCCCGAGTGGCTGGGATTACAGGCACGTGCCACCATGCCCGGCTATTTTTTTGTATTTTTAGTAGACACAGGGTTTTGCCATGCTGGCCAGTCTGGTCTCAAACTCCTGACTTCAGGTGATCAGCCTGCCTCGGCCTTCCAAGTGCTGGGAGCCACCGCACCAAGCCAATAACCAAATTTTTATTACTCTATTTGTTCTTCTGCAAATTTCATTAACAAATTGTTTTCTATTTTTGATACGGTTGAATTTATGGCTCTTAATATTAACAGTATTTAAAATATTTACTTCAATAAAATTCAATTTTTTCAAATACACATTTGAAATTTTATAAATTAATCAGCCTCAAGTAACTGGCACTCACATCAGAATAAGAGTCTTTGAAATTAGAATGTCATGCACTGCCAATTTTGAAAAGTTTTGTTATCCATAAGAAAAATGTTACTGAAGTCAACCCTACCTGAAAGGAACTGTGCTTTGCACAGATAAACAGTATTTGTAAGAGATAGGAGAGAAATTTTTCTGAACCGCGGCTGGTCTAATGCTTTGCTTTCGAAAGTAAAAGTTTATATATACTGATCTCTATTGAAATCGAGATTCTTAAAGCTGTGAATTACAATTGTTTTATTCTACTTTAGCCCAACAAATTTTTGTTGTTGTTGTTTTAAGACAGAGTCTTGCTCAGTAGCCCAGTTTGGAGTGCAATGGCGTGATCTCGGCTCACTGCAAATTCCACCTCCCGGGTTCAAGCGATTCACCCATCTCAGCCTCCTGAGTAGCTGGGATTACAAGTGCTCACCATCATGCCCAGCTAATTTTTGTATTTTAGTAGAGACAGGGTTTCACCGCGTTGGTCAGGCTGGTATCAAACTACTGACCTCAGGTAATCCGCCCACCTTGGCCTCCCAAAGTGCTGGGATTACAAGAGTAAGCCACCGCGCCGGCACCCAACAATTTTAAAAAGTGTTAAATATCATTATATTAAGCTATTGCAGAAGTTTGCCAATTAGAAGATGAAGCATTGATTAATATTAAGGTTAATACAAATAACTAATCTGTGTAAAAATTATTAAAGCTGAGGAAAAGTTTGAACCTTTGTATAGCAAATTCCAAATTGTAACGGCACAACTATTTAATATTTTTAATTAACCAAATATTTTGTGGAGTATATTTGTAAAAAGAGCTTAAGGCAGTATCATGAATTAAGTAAAAATTATAAAATTACTCAAATGCCTTAGCCTAAGCGTACATTCAATCAACACTTTTATGTTTTCTATCAGATTATAGCTCTAGGTCATAATTTTAGGTATCAATGACAAAAAAGAATATGCTAATATATGAAAAAATTCTGTCTAGTCAAATTCCACTTATTTTATGTATACTCTAACTCTTAAGACAGGAAATACACTAAAATATTTTTGAATTTTTTTTCAAAACAAAGGTTAAAACAGACAAGAGTAACTTTGACTAACAAGAAATTCTAAGCTGTCAGATATAATTGTTCCCACAAATTAGGGATAAATAAATTTTACTATTTGTAAAAAGCTATATATCTCTTGATTCATTTATCAATTAATAATTGGACATCTATTAAACATTTTGTTGTACAAGATAGTGAACCTTGGGAATAAAAGAATATAACAAATTATCATACTGAATAGACTATGATGGACATGTTGGTATAGGGTAATTTAAATCACAGGTCATTATCAAAGGAAAAAAGCAGGAGAAAGAAAAAGATAATTTTAAAAAAGTGATTGATGCCAGCTGGAATTACCTGAGTGTTTTTGGATTCAAACAACTTTAGCTTGAAGCTCCATCCCAATTGCAGTGTGCACTCACTCTCCCTTAAAACTTTACTCTCCTGAGTGAGCAATGCCATGTCCAGACTCTCTTGCCCCATAATGATAGCTGCCTAATTCTATTCCACTGTCAAATGTCATCTACACAAAGTCAGTGTGTCCAGTATAACGTGCATTGAATATCCAGAAAAATAGAAGAGGTTTGCATTAGGACAGGAGTAGTGCATGTGTGAGTTTACAATATTATGTTTTGTAGAATTGTGCAAACAAGAAGAAAAACATCTTGCTAGAAGCTCTGTTCCTGCCTTGAAAAAAATCTTAAAATTGAGTATTAGAAACGTCTATTAAAATTCTATTGATGCCTCGCTAGCAGAAATTTCTCTGAATCAATGTTCTTCATGGGCTTCGGTTCACTGTCATCTTGCTGCCTTTATTCACCTGTTCTTCAGTTTTCTCCCCTTTCCTTTGTCACTGCTTACCCCAGCTTCCAGATCCTCTCTATTCCAGAGCAGTTTGGCAAACACAATTCTCTTCCTATAAGGAACTGTATTGCTTATTTGAAAGTAATATAATTTTTTTCATGTAACTTTATGACAAAGTCGAATACCTGCTACATGCTATATTTTTGCATACACTGGATTCTTATAATTCCTGGAAACAGGTACTATCATCTCACTCAGATGCAGGGAAACTGAGGTGAGATAAGTTAATATATCAAAATGGGAAAATTTTAACATGTCTGAATTCACAAGTGGAAAAGGCACAGCCACGAATTAAACTCAAGCCTACCTAGCTCCAAAGTACAAGGATATTTTACTATTATATGATATTTCACAGATTAGAAAATAAATACAGAATTTTATTCAGCAGAATAACGTCATTTAAACTTAGACAGATGAAAATTCCATATATTTTCTCTAGAACATAGCTAAATAAAGAAAAGTTAGATTTAGATTTGGTACATTTGCTGCGCCTTAATGATCCCTATCCTTGCTGTTCAAGGTGTGATCCTCAGAAGAACAGCAGCAGCTAAACATGAGTCTTGTGAAAAATATAGAATCTCAAGTCCCACTGTGGAACCACTGACTCAGAATCTACATGTTAGTGAGATTCTGAGGTCATCCCTCAGCCCTTTGAGAAAGACTCATCTATGATATCATGTTATTTCTCAAAGTGGTGAATCAAAAAATTATCATTTGCAACTAAAATGGAAGTTGTCTGGCATGTGATGCTATGGCATGCAAATAGTCATGCTTCCATAGAAACATATGATGGCATATTCATGCATATGCGCCTCCGATTCCTGGGTAAACAAATGCATATCTTAAAGTAGAGATTGCTAATTTGATTCCGTGGCTATGGTGATAGGATTGGCAGAAACGCCCATGCTCATTGACAAAATCTAAAAAGGAAAGAACAGGAGAGAGGCTCATCTGCCTCCACTTCCCTCTCCCGTCTCTGGCCACTGAGTCATGGTTGTTCTTGGACTTCAGCCCCCTATGACACAGACAGGCTGTGCTGGAATTAGACAAGGTGCAGGAGTGGCCACCCCACCCCCACACACACCTCTGCGTTATTTACCCCAGCCTAGCCCTGACACACTTCTATTTCAGGGCGGGTGACTCAATTCACACCATGGGCAACGCTCAGCTCTGTGACAGTGCCCTGCTTCCCAGAGGTCTGGAATCAAACTTCCAACATATCTACATACTGTTAATTGTTCCCCTCTGGCAACAATGAAAATAAAAGTAATGTTTTAATGCTGTTGAGGTGACTGTGTAATGCAGTCGTTTCCAAAATGTACCATTTATGCAAAACTTCCAGAGATCTTGCTAAAAGGCAGATTCTGATTCTCGGGCTGGATGTGAGATTCTGCATTTCAAAAAAAATCCCAGGCGAGGAAGGTTCTCTGACCACACTGTAAACTGTTACTTATATTCATAATGAATTGAAAATCTAGCAAAAACTGTGCTTGAAAAAAGTAATTAGGAAGTAAGTATCACAAGTCTGTAATATATTTTGACATTGTGATTGGCTTTCTAATGAATTTATGCTATATAAATATGCAGAAATGTAGACAAAAATATACACAATAGAGTATTCTTCGCATTCTTAATATGATAGTAAAAATAAAGTGAAAATAATGCTCACAAAATAGAAATTTGACAAAATAAAACAAAACAAAATAAACATGGTTCCTCCATGTAATTTAAAGTCATTTAAACATAGATTATTGAGAAAAATGTATAGGCATGCAAAATATTCCAAATAAAATTTAAAGAGAAAAATCGGCTATGAAATGATATGTTGGAGTTAACCCCCTATTTTATTAGTTTGTATGGAAATTTAGAAATAGCTGAATATTTAGAAGCATTAAAAGGCTACGCA